>NC_000008.11:9189533-9494014 GCF_000001405.40 Homo sapiens | reverse complement strand
TGATTGATCTGAACAGGGATAAAAGTCATGACGGAAATTAGCACTGATGATTCCAAGGAAGACACTGGAGGTGAAGCTGGGAGGGTGGGGAGGAGGGTGCTGGGAGACTGAAGCTAGTAGAAGAGGGAGCTGTGACATGAGCAATTAGAGTTTTGGGGTGGTTTTTAAACTCCTGCCGACGGAGGTGTAGAGGCCAGGTGAGAGAGGCAGTCATATGTGTTGCAAATTCTTTTTTTCTCAGATTGTCTTTTGACTTTATTAAAATATATTTATATTATAGGCTGGGCACAGTGGCTCACACCTGTAATCCCAGCACTTCGGGAGGCCGAGATGGGTGGATCACAAGGTCAGGGGCTCGAGACCATCCTGGCTAACATGGTGAAACCTCGTTTCTACTAAAAATACAAAAAATTAGCTGGGTGTGGTGGCGTGTGCCTGTATTACCAGCTACTCAGGCGGCTGAGGCAGGAGAAATCGCTTGAACTCGGGAGGCGGAGGTTGCAGTGAACCGAGACTGCGCCACCGCACTCCAGCCTGGGTGACAGAGCAAGACTCCGTCTCAAAAAAAAAAAAAAACCAGAAAACAAAAAACATAATTACATTATATATTAATACATATTTACGAGGTTTTACTTTTTTGTTTTTTTTAATTTGAGACAGGGTCTTGCTTTGTCATCCAGACTGGAGTGCAGTGGTGTGAACATGGCTCACTGCAGCTTCAAACTCCCGGGCTCTAGTGATCTTCCCAACTCTTAGCTTCCTGAGTCGCTGGGAATACAGGCATGCGCCACCACGCCTGGCTAATATTTTGGAGTTTTTATAAAGACAGGGTTTCACTATGCTTCCCAGGCTGGTCTCAAACTCCTGGACTCAAGTGATCTGGCCACCTTGGTCTCCTAAAGTGCTGGGATTAAAGGCATGAGCCAACATGCCTGGCCACCATTTTTACTTTTTATAATGTCAAACTTATCAATCTTTTTTTCTTTATGGCTTTTAGTATATTTTACGCTTAGGAATTCTTCCCTAATCCAAAATTATAATTACTTTTTTAAAAAAATAAAAACATTTTTAGATGATTTGTTTTAGTATTTTGATTTTCCATCTGGAGTCTACTTTGGATAAATGAGTACGCAGGAATCTAAATCTCTTATTTTTTTCTACATGGCCAGCTTAATGCTCCAACACCATGTTTTGAAATACCCCAAGTTGCCCTTTGAATTTTTATTTATCACAAATTCAAGTCTTTCCCTCTTTATTACTAACCAGTCTTGCACTAAGATTTTCAGTTCACAGGCTTATTTAACATTTCTGTGCTCTAGGCCTTCTGTCTCTCTGTTTATCATAAAAATCTGAAAGCAAATGTCTTTTGCCTTTAAAATCCAGATGTATCCTTGAACCTTAGGCATTTAGGAGGGTTTGGATGTATCTGGTCCTGGGGCATTCGTGGTAATCCTGCCATTTGTGCTTTGGGAGCAAAGATGGTAAGATAGCCCCTGAAGGAAAATCCTCTCGGTCAGTATTCTCTTTCCTAATGACTTGATTTTGATCAATATACTTTCTCCAGAAGAATGGTGGAATGCAGAGCCATGGGAAAATGGGAATATGATATTCATCAGTCCATTTATTGAACAGCAACTCCAATAGATGTTTATACTGCAAAATCCTATTGTAGGTATTTTTAGATTCAACCAGGAAGCCATCCAGATCAAGTAACATTGCACTGCTGCCAAGCCCACTAATGACCCTGAATTTTTTTTTTTTGAGACGGAGGAGTCTCGCTCTGTCACCCAGGCTGGGGTGCAATGGCGCAATCTTGACTCACTGCAACCTCTGCCTCCCAGATTCAAGCAATTCTCCCGCCTCAGCCACCTGAGTAGCTGGGATTGCAGGTGCCCACCACTACACCCAGCTAATTTTTGTATTTTTAGTAGAGACGGGGTTTCACCATGTTAGTCAGGCTGGTCTTGAACTCCTGAACTCAGGTGATCCACCCACCTCGGCCTCCCAAAGTGCTGGGATTACAGGCGTGAGCCACCGGGCCTGGCACCCTAATTTTTTTGTTTGTCTCTTATGTTCAGAGTTCCTCCACTTCTCAAGTGCTTAAGTACCTCCTTAAACTTACATGACTTTTGATTTTGAAAAAGAGGATGGAACACCAAGCAGCATTGCCCTAGAGAAAGGAGTAACAGGCCTGCCTCATTGACACTTGCCATCCACCCGGTCAGGCAGGAGCTGTGCTCTCAATTCCCTTCCCACACTCTTGTTCACCCCTCATGTTCTGCAGTCTCACTGTGGTCTCACTGAGTCCAGCAGGAAGACCCTTATGATGCGTGGTCTAGATGGCCTTTCCGATTCCCATTCCAACATGCAAATGAGAATATGCTTAGAAAGTTCTCGCGGCTCCCCACTGGGTGCAGAATGAAGCCCAAGCCCTGGAGCCTGGTAGGCTAGATTCTTCCCACTCTGACACTAACCTACGTTCTAGCTGGATCTGCTACTGTTCTCCTCCACGGACCCTCCCATTTATTTCTGCCTGACAGCTTGGCCACATGTTGTCATATCTCAAGCCTTGTTTACTGAGTTCCCCATTCCTGTAATACAATCCCTTGCAATCCCTGAATTGCAAAAGGTTGTAATGCTGGAATGCCCCCATCCACATCCCAAACCAGGGAAATATGACAGATCCTGTAAGGCTCATCTAAAGAGAGCCTTCTCTATGCCCTCAGGCAGAATCCGTCTCTTCCTCATGAGTACTTCGTTTATATCATGATTAAAACAGAGCTTGCCATTTCTTTGAGAGTTGATTAAGACCCTAGCTTTACTGCTATAATGGGGTTGCTTCAGTCGCAAAATCGTAGCTAAACCTTTTGTCTCCAGCATAGTTGCTCTGTGGTGAGCATTTTCCATGTACTATCCCACCTTATCTTTCAAACAGTCCTCGGAGCCAGGCATTTTTATAGTCTTCGTTTTCAAATGAGAACCTTCAGACTTGAAAAGATTAAGTGGGAGGCTGAGGTGTGCAGATCACCTGAGGTCAGGAGTTTGAGACCAGCCTGACCAACATGGAGAAATCCCATCTCTACTAAAAATACAAAATTAGCTGGGCGTGGTGGCGCATGCCTGTAATCCCAGCTAACTCGGGAGGCTGAGGCAGGAGAATCACTTGAACCTGGGAGGCTGAGGTTGTGGTGAGCCGAGATTGTGCCATTGCACTCCAGCCTGGGAAACAAGAGCAAAACTCCATCTCAGAAAAACATAAAATGAAAAAATTAAAATAAAAAAGTAAGTAACTAACTTGCACACAGATTTATAGTCAATCAGTATATCCAGTACCTGGGACTCAATCCCTTTGTCTGACTTCAAAGCCTGTGGATGAGTAAAAGAACCAGTCCATGTGCTGGATGCAACTTGGTGACTTCTCCCAAAAAGAAATGTCCTTGTGTAAATGTCCTTGTCCTGCTTACAGTCTGTGTGACCTTGGGCAAGTTACCGAATATCTCTGAGTCTTCGGGTGTACATCTGTGAAACTAAGATAATGAGCTGCTTAACTACCTCACAGGGCTTTGGAGAGGATTAAATGAAATAATGTATGCAAAATACATAAAGGCTGGCAGAAGTCAGTAACAGACACCTTCTCTTCCCTTTTCCCTCATTGCCTATTCCACAAAGACCACAAACTCTCCTACAAGGCGTGTCCGGTTGCCCTGACCAGAGACGAAACCGTGCAGAGGCTGTGGAGATAAATAACCAATGGAATGATGAGTTTGGGCAGAATTAACCGTAGCTCATGCTGCTTCCCACGCAGATCCCAAGTGAATAATGATCTGAAATATACCATACCATTGTTTTTAACTTCCATACTCATTTTGGGGGAAGAAATGGCCTCATAGAATCCTATAAAACAGGAGACATAACTACAAATGATCTCTTGCTTGTCCTAAAGGGACTATCTCTTCTTGCCACAACATCCCAGAGTTTGGTCACTGGCTTTCAAAATCAAAAGAACAACAACACCTTAGAGATTTTTTTTTTTTAATTCACATCACTCATACTCTTATCAAATAACTTTGATGGTCTCTGTTGCGGTGATACAATTGCAGATCCCATGACTGCTGAGAAGGTGGGTAAGGAAAACCGTCACAACACTTTTGAGGGTGTGGCTTTATGGAACTTTGGGGGTATCTTTATTTGACTCAACTTTCAGGTATCTAGTGTATGTTTGGCACCTCCTACATGTGAAGGGTTACAGGGTGAGGTTGAGAGTTGCTCTTTCCAAACTCTTCTAGTACAGTGGCAGAGGTGAAGAGGCAAACCACAGCAATGAATGCAGAGTGGCTGGTGATTTGAGATAGGTCAACACAGTGTCAGAGGAGTGCAAGAAGAAATGCCCAGCTCATCTGGAAGTCAGCCGGGAGGGTGGGGTGGCCAGGAGCTGCCCAGAGAAGGTATCCCACGGTCTATATCTCAGAAGAAGAGGAGGAGTTAGCCAGCATAAGAAGGAGGAAATAGTCTTCTTAACCCAAGAGTCAAACCTGCTATTAGAAATGGAAGCAAACGGCCAGGCCCAGTGGCTCATGCCTGTAATCCCAGCACTTTGGGAGGCCTGGCTAACACGGTGAAACCCCGTCTCTACTAAAAAATACAAAAAATTAGTGGGGCGTGGTGGTGGGCGCCTGTAGTCCCAGCTACTCGGAAGGCTGAGGCAGGAGAATGGCGTGAACCTGGGAGGTAGAGCTTGCAGTGAGCTGGGATCGCACCACTGTACTCCAACCTGGGCGACAGAGCAAGACTCCATCTCAGAAAAAAAAAAAAAAAAAGAGTTACAACGTGACTGAGCTGGGATTTGAAACTGGTTTTCCAAAGCTACGTATCGTTCTTCTGCATCTTTCTCCAAGCTGTGTACATTTTTCCCAGCTGTATTCCAAATTGAGCACAGCGCCTGTCACATTGTGGGCACTCAGTAATTTTGCGAAATGACTAAGTGATACATAGAACGTGTACATCAGTGACTAACAAGGCAGGGTGGCAGAAAGAAGAGTATTTGATACACTCTAAGTCTCATATCAAAGAAATGCTTATCACGTTGTCAAGGAAATTCTGTGGTGTTTTGTGTTGAAGAGATTTTCCCTTTCTGCTTTCCTATCTATTTAGTGAAGGACTATCGTTCCAACAACAGAGGTAGAAGTCCAGGCCGTGGGAGTGAAATCCTACCCAATAAAAGCCTATTTGGCAAAAGGAAGTAGGGGAAATGTTACGGAAAATCTTTCTGAGTCTTTTTCTCTGGGTCCATAAGCACAACATTGTACAATGTGCTTCTCTGGGCCCCCAGCTGCATTGTTTATGGAATCACTGCTTCCTATCCTTACTCTAAAGTCCTTCCCCAAAACACCTTTGCCCTTTGTCTGACCTTCAAAGCAATGCAGGGCCTCTCCAATGAATGTCTTAGGCTATAGCCCAAATGCAAAATGCCTTTCCTTTTTTATTTATTAAGGATGCCATTTGTCATAGATGACTGTCTGCTAATGCATACTATTGGCTTTAATTGGATTGGATTCTCCATTATGCCACAAATATTTATTAAACAGCTTTTATGAACAAGGGAGGACATTATTAATTTTCCTTTAGATGGCAGAGGAAACCTGTTGTCATATGAAGTTCCGCTAACTGAGTTCGAGTCCTGCCTCTACCATCCATGACTGGCTACCATCCATGATCTGGGCTGCTGAGCATCTTACTTTGAACATCTGTAAAGTTCAGATATTCACTGGATCTTGGCCTGTGGCCTAACTGTGCCTTAGGTGGCCTGTGGCCTAACTGTGCCTTAGGGGATATTTGGGGATCTGTGGGAGTGTATGGGACCATTACAAGGACTGCAGGTTGCTACTGGCATTTAGTGCCTGGGACCAGGGATGATAATGCCATGGATTATGGGGCCCAGTTCCCTACCACAAGAACATATTCTGACCAAGATTGTAACTGTGTCTCCACTGAGAAACACTGACTGAACTCATCCCCAGCTTCAGTGTTCCTTAATTTCAGAAGCGACTGAGAGGCAAATTATAGTTCTGCTAACTCTCACAAAGTCAACAAGCAGTGATGTTAAATATAGGCAAGCCACTGGCAAGATGCCTTCCAAGGAGCAAGAACAAAAGAAATGGGAGTATGAAATACTGGTGGACTTTGCAATGCATGCTGGCAAATAAGTTGCTAAAATACCATTCATTTTGTAGCACATTTTCTATTAATTATCTTAGACACTTTGTAAAGCAATAGCTTGAACGCCACATGGAATATTAATTCTGCTAATGAATTCAGTGACTGTGTTTTCCCCAGCTTGTCTCCCGAAGCTTATCTTCATACTGCTTCAGTTCACATGAAAGAGCCATAGACTTGGTAAGCTTGCCTTCACACCATTGAATTTCTTTTATTACAAAAGAGCTATATACTCCAGACTTACTGCTGCCTAATGATTTCATTTTGCCATTAAAGCTAATTGTCAATAAGGATAATGAAAATGACTCCCAGTCATTTTAGTAATTTGAAACATCATGAGCCTCATGGTAGCATGATGCTGGCTGGCAGTACCATCCCGGGCCAGCTCTGTCGCTACTCACAAGGCATCCCCTCTGGAACAGGTCCGTTCATAGCCCTCTGTGCCTGGTGAGATTATAGGGTTCCAAAGCTGTTCTCAGACAATACAATCTATTTTTAAAACATTGACATATGCAAAAAATGTGGTTATTGACCAAATCAACGTTTCAATATCTTTCTCCCATGTCGCTCAGTTCGAGCGTATTTGAACCAACCTGCTCTTCTCACGTTTGGGAGTGGGGCTAGGAGTGGAATTTCGGGGGTTTTGTTTTCCCTGGTTTTTAGGGCTACCTGGCCTCATTTCCTTATTTTCTCTGGACTCGGGTATCCATTAGCCTTACCACATTAGATGTGAGCCGTGTGGGGCAGGCTCCCTTACCACAACCAAACCTGGATTTTGTTTTGAGCAGCCATGAGTGCAGCTGCAGGTGATGATGGATGGTGATTGGTCATGATCAGTTATGACAAGCCTGTTCCCTCATTTTCTAGCCTCTCTTGCAGAGAAAATTTGCTGTGTTAACTAGCTCTGGCCAATGAGATCTTGAAATCTAAAGGGAATTCTTCTGGAGGGATTTCTGAGAAAGCTTCACTTTATCTGACAACAAACAAACAAACAAAAGGAGAGAACAGATGAGGCTTCGCCTTTCCCCTTGAGTGTGAACATAATGCCTGGAGATGCAGCAGCCATTTGTGACTAGTAGGTGGAGCAGAATAATATAAATAATCTCATTTCTTGATGGCGTCTTTCAGCACCTGTCTTGACTACCTGTCCAACTCAGGACTCCTTGGAATGTGAAAAAAATCAACCCCTATTTGTCTACATCATTATAGTGAAATATTATTTTATTCACAAATATAAACCTTATTGACCTTTTTTCCTCTACATACACCTTTTTTCCTATACCTATACCTATACCTATACCTTTTTTCCTATACATACACACCTATCCTAAAGTTTAATTTATAAATTGGGCACAGTGGGCCGGGCGCAGTGGCTCATGCCTGTAATCCCAGCACTTTGGGAGGCCGAGATGGGTGGATCACAAGGTCAGGAGATTGAGACCATCCTGGCTAACGCAGTGAAACCCTGTCTCTACAAAAAAAAAAAAAAATTAGCCAGGCATGGTGGTGGGTGCCTGTAGTCCCAGCTACTCGGGAGGCTGAGGCAGGAGAATGGCGTGAACCTGGGAGGCGGAGCTTGCAGTGAGCCGAGATCACACCACTGCACTCCAGCCTGGGAGACAGAGCGAGACTGCGTCTCGAAAAAAAACTGGGCACAGTAAGAGATTAACAATACTAATGAATAATATAAAAGAACAATTATAATAATATGCTGTAATAAAATTTTGTGACTGTCGTCTCCTCTCTCAAAATATCTTATTGTACTGTATTCATCATTCCTGTGATCTGTCAATCTGATCACCGAGATGGCGACTAATGGGTGGGCAGTGTCTACAGCATGAATCCACTGGACAAAGGGAAGACTCATGTTCTGAGTGGTACGAGCCATGCAGGGGTGAGATTTCATCACAATACTAAGAACGCTGTGCAGTTTAAAACTGATGAATTATTTATTTGGGGGATTTTCCATTTAATATTTCTGACAGCTCTTGTCCTGGGGTCATTGAAACCTTGGAAAGTGAAGTCTTGGATAAGGGAGGCCTACTGTATGGAAAAAGAAGACAAGCAAAAAAAAAAGAGAGAGAGAGAGAGAAAAAGAGAAAGAAGAAAGGTACAATCCCACCCACCCTTAGTAAACACTCCCAAACACTTAATATAAGTTCCTGGCCTCTGGAGCTTCTGTGCAAGAGTTTTTGTGCTTTGGGTCATGTGGTTCTGCAACCCTGGCCATTGCTGGGAATCAGGTGTCTGTGACGGTCCCAAAGGCAGAAATACACAGATTGGACACCAGGAAGCCAGAGGTCTCTGAAATGATTTGGTGTGAGAAATTTAACCAGAAAGGGTGCTCTATCCTGAGTGATTTGGTTCCTTCTTTTGGAGCTAGGACAGAAGAAAAACAAAGCTAGATGTGAATAGTAGAGAAGCACAGAGGTGAAGAAATACAGAGAGGAAGCAGTGAGCCAAGGCCATGGGGCAGTAGGAGTAGGGAGTAAGCAGAAACCATGGGTTAGAGAGCAGGCCGAGAGGCGTGTGTAGTCATTTGGCAGTGGCCAAAGTTAGGGAAAGACCAAAAGGAACTGCATCCTGTGGGTAATAGAATAAAGCCGGGAGCTCTAAGGCGATGACAAGGCAAGCTGTCACACGGCCATCTATTCCTGGTTTGCCAGATGGGAGCATAGAGCCACTGCTGTGTTCTGAACAGGATGAGGTCACTGCAGTTCCATAAAGCCTGAATGCACCTCATTCAAAGTTTCCTTTTCATTCTTCCTCTTGCATGTCGTCTGATGTAACCTAAACCTACCTCTGTTCCAGTCATCCCCTCCAAAACATGAATATAGTCGCCTTTATGTATACATGTATCCATGGATACATGCACCTATTTTGTTTGTTAGTATTTTATTTTATTTATTTATTTATTTATTTATTTATTTATTTATTTATTTTTGAGATGGGGTCTCGCTCTGTTGCCCAAGCTGGAGTGCAGTGGCACGATCTTTGTTCACTGCAAGCTCTGCCTCCCGGGTTCACGCCATTCTCCTGCTTCAGCCTCCCGAGTAGCTGGGACTACAGGCGCCTGCCACCACGCCCGGCTAATTTTTTGTATTTTTAGTAAAGACGGGGTTTCACCATTTTAGCCAGGATGGTGTCGATCTCCTGACCTCGTGATCCACCTGCCTCAGCCTCCCACAGTGCTGGGATTACAGGTGCGAGCCACGGTGCCCAGCCGTTTGTTAGTATTTTAAATGGGAGCAGCCATTTGTCCTGTTTGGTAATATTTCCTCCTTACATATGAGTGTATCATGAATATCTTACCATATTAATGAATATAACTCTATCATTTTTAATTGTGTATTGGATACTTGCAGAAAACTTCCCCTTCTCTCCTAGCATACAGAGAAATAGCAGATAAGATAATAACAGGATATTAAAATGAGCTGTGCTCCAAAATAGGAAAGGGAATCATCATGGACAAAAATAGAGGGATCCCAAAGTATTTTTTTTTTTTTAAATAGCAGTGAGGAGAGGCTGAAACTTTGTAGTTCAATGGGAACCAGAAATCCACACCATTCTCTCTCAAGCTGGGAACCAGATTCCTGTGACTTTAGGTCTGAGGCTGTGTTAGATACTCCTACCAGTCAGGAAACCACAAAGATCTTAGGAGCTCTGTGTCAGGAACTGGGATCAAAGACTGAATATCAGAACAAAGATTCTTCCAGTGCTCTCTACTAGGGTTCTAGGAACTTTATGTTAGGAACCAGGGGCAGAGATCAAATATATATTGTTGTGATTTTTCCTCTAATTTCAGTCTTGAGGTCTCTCTTTGGAAATTGACTATAAACTCTAGCCCTGCCCTGATTGGAATCCAAGGAGTTTGGTCATGGATGTTTACAGTGTGCCTTTGGTGGGATAATTCTTTATCCTGGTGGATGGCTTAATGTCTAAGTGTCCAACCTGTGACCAGATGTCCCTTTCACAGGAAACCTGTTTATATTGGCAGATGCCCTTGTGGTTCTCCTCTGACTTGTGTCCAGTTTATTCTTACTCTGGTAGCCACTCTCTAGGAGAGCTCTGACTGGGAAAGAAGTCAGGTTCAGGTGTGTTGGTCAGGTGAGACAGAGGAAGCAGCACAAAAAAAAACATAGGGAGTAACAGAAGCAGTGTGTTCCTTACAGATCCATGAAAGAAGAGGGATGCTGATGAAAGACAAGCAGAAGATTGCAGAGGGAGGGACAGGAGGAGACTGGAGGTGGGGGTGCTTGGGGGAGAGGCCAGGCATCATCATGCTCAACCAGCAGGTAGCAAGTGAGAGAGAAAGAGAGAGAGAGACAGACAGAGAGACAGAGAGAGAGACAGGGCAAATCTGTGTGCCAAAATCTTTACTGGGGTCCAGGGCTTTACCCAAGTGGTTTTCCTGTGAGGAGTTCTAATTGGTGGGTTTAGAGAAAGTGGACCTGAGTCTGTAGGGACCATACTGTGACTTTGTACTTAGGAGTGCTCACTGTAGCATATCTACACCGTCTATGAGGTTGTGGGATCATGGGATGAGTCTGGTATGTTGAATCTATATGTCCCTTAGGGAGATGGTTGTACAGGGCAGGTATCTGGATTGACCACATGATCTATCCTACAGCATGTTCCATGTGCGCTTGAGAAGAATGTGTATTCTGCTGCTTCTGGGTAGAATCTTCCTGTATGTCTGTTAGGTCCATTTGGTCTAAAGTGTCATTCATGTCCTCTATGACCTCATTCATCTTCTGTCTGAAAGTTTTATCCAATATTGAAAATGGAGCATTGAAATCTCCTATTATTATTGTGAGGCTCTCTATTTCTCCTTCAGTTCTGCCAATGTTTGCCTCATATATTTGGGTGCCCTGAGGCTGGGTCCATATTTACTTATAGTTATTATTGTCTTCCTAGTGAATTTATCCTTTTATCATTGAATAATATCCTAATTTTTCTGTGGTAATTTTTGATTATTTTGTCTGATGTAAGTGTGCTCTCTTTGGATTCCATTTGCATAGAACATCTTTTCCAGCCTTCCACTTTGGCCTATGTGTGTTCTTAAATCTACAGTGAATCCTTCATAGACAGTTCCAGTGCTCCAGGTACCTGTCATGCTTCTAGGCCTCTGGAGCTTTTGTGTAAGAGTTTTTGTGTTTTGGGTCATGTAGTTCTGCAACCCTGGCCATTGCTGGGAACCAGGTGTCTGTGACTGTCCCAAAGGCAGAAATAGATAGCGTATAGTTGGATCTTGTTTGTTTTATTAAAAATTCATTCAGCCATGATGTATGTCTTTTGATTGAGAAGTTTAATCCATTTACATTTAAATTTATTACTTGTATGTAGGGATTTCTATTGCCATTTCATTAATTATTTTCTGTCTTGTGGCTTTTTTGTTCATCTTTTCCTCTCCTACTGTATTCCTTTGTATGTTGATTTTTTTTTTGTAGTGACCTGCTTTGTTTCCTTTCTCATTTTCCTTTGTGTACCTTCTATAGGTATTTTATGTGGAGTTACCATGGAACTTACATAAAACATCTTATAATAACAATCAATTTTAAGCTGGTAACAATCTAACTGTAATTGTATACAAAAACACTACTCTTTTACTTCTCTCTAGTTCTATACTGTGTTATTAAAATCACAAATGACAGCTTTTAGGAGTGTGTGTCCTTTAACAAGTTTGTATAGTTATAGTTATTTTTTATACTTTTGTATTTCAACTTCTTCTTCTTTTTTTTTTTTTTTCAAGACGGAGTCTCGCTTTGTTGCCCAGGCTGGAGTGCAGTGCTGTGATCTTGGCTCACTGCAACCTCTGCCTCCCAGGTTCAAGTGATTCTCCTGCCTCAGCCTCCTGAGTAGCTGGGATTACAAGCGCCTGCCACCACGCCCAGCTAATTTTTGTATTTTTAGTAGAGATGGGGTTTCACCATGTCAGCCAGGATGGTCTCAGTCTCCTGACCTCGTAATCTGCCCGTCTCGGCCTCCCATAGTGCTGGGATTACAGCCATGAACCACCGCACCCGGGCTTTCTATTTCAGCTTCTACACTGGAATTAAAAGTGATTTATAACTACCATTACAATATGAAAGTATTCTGTATTTCATACATTTACTTTTACCAGTATGTGTTATACTTTCATATGACTTCATTTTGCTGTCTGACTTCCTTTCATTTCAAGTTGAACAACTTCCTCTAGCCTTTCTTGTAGGGCCGATCTAGTGGTAATGAACTCTTCCCTACATTCCAATGAATGTAGGGAAAGTCTTTATTTCTCCTTCAATTTTGAAGGATAGTTTTGTCATCCTCTTTAGAATTAGTAATACACAAATAGTATTGTTGGTTTGCAGTTTTTTTCTTTCAGTACTTTGAGTATATCATCCCACTGCCTTCTGGCCTGCAAGGTTTCTATCGAGAAATTTACCCATAGTCTTAAATATGTGCCCTCATACGTGATAAATCACTTTTCTCTTGCTGCTTTCAAAATTTTGTCTTTGTCTGGGTGCGGTGGCTCACACCTGTAATCCCAGCACTTTGGGAGGCCGAGGCAGGCAGATCACGAGGTCAGGAGATTGAGACCATCCTGGCTAATACAGTGAAACCCCATCTCTACTAAAAATACAGAAAATTAGCCGGGCATGGTGGTGGGCGCCTGTAGTCCCAGCTACTCGGGAAGCTGAGGCAGGAGAATGGTGTGAACCCGGGAGGCGGAGTTTGCAGTGACCCGAGATCACGCCACAGCACTCCAGCCTGGGCGACAGAGCAAGACTACGTCTCAAAAAAAATAAAATAAAATAAAAAATAAACAAAATTTTGTCTTTGATTTTTGACAATTTGACTATAATGTTTCTTCATGTTGACTTCTTTGGGATCATCCTAGTTGGAGTATTTTGGGCTTCTGAGATCTGAATGTCAATTTCCTTTCCCAGATTGGAAATTGTCATCTATTTTTCTTAGATGAGCTTTCTGCTTCTTTCTCTCTTTCTTCCTCTTCTGCTGCTTCCATTATGCATATATTGGTGCTTCTGATGCAGTCCCATAAATTCCTTAGGGAATTTTATTCTGATAAATTTACTCTTTTTATTGTTTTTTCTTTTTGCTCCTTTGATTAGATCATTTCAAGTGACTTGACTTTGGGTTCCCTGATTTTTTCTTCTGCTTGATCAGGTCTGCTGTTGAGCCTCTCTAGGGAATTTTTTGATTCAGTTATTCTATTTTCCAGCTCAAAAATCTGCTTGAATCTTTTAAATATTTTCTACCTCTGTGTTAATGTTCTCATTTTGTTTATGGACCATTTTCTGGAGCTAATTGAGCATCTTTATGGTGGTTCTTTTAAATTAATTGTAAGGTAATTCACATCTACATTCCTTTAGTGTCAATTTCTGGAGATTGGTTTTGTTTCTTTGATTGGGCCATGCTTTCCTGTTTTGTCACATGCCTTGTAACAGCCACCTCTCAGTCTTTATGAACTGGCTTCATACAGAGGAAGACCTTCACCAGTCAGCCTGGCTAGAGACTTTACCAGAATCTCACACCTTCTCTGTAGATATGTCTTCTCTGTCTCTGTGCATGTAAATTCCCAATTAGAAGGATTTTCTGGTTTCTTTTTTTGGGAGCTCATAATCTATTACTCCTTATGGTGTAAGCCTTCCATACTGAAGTTTCTCTGGAACTGGAATTTCAACAAGCCTCCCAACTCAGTTTTCTCATCAACAACTTCCAGGCTTCTAGAGTGTGACAGTTCCTGTCAGAGCTTTGAGTCAGATGAGACAGAAACCAGTCTCTTGGGAAACTCCTGGAAAAGCAGTAACATTGGATACACATTCCAACTCTTTCCCTCCTCAGGGAGAAGCCAGGAGTTGGGAGGTTTTTCCGCTCATTCCATCCTGACATCAATTGAGTATATGCTAGTCCAAACTTCACATTTGTTTTCTGTTTGTTTTTTGAGACAGGGTCTCACTCCGTCACCCAGGCTACAGTGTAGTCACCAATTGCTACCTCCGCCACGTAGGTTCAAGAAATTCTCCTGCCTCAGCCTCATGAGTAGCTGGGATTACAGGCGTGAAGCACCACGCCCAGCTAATTTTTGTATTTTTAGTAGAGACAGGGTTTCACCATGTTGGCCAGGCTGATGTCAAACTCCTGACCTCAAGTGATCCGCCCGCCTCGGCCTCCCAAAGTGCTAGGATTACAGGTGTGAGCCACCGCGCCTGGCCTACATTTGTTCTCATTGCCCTCCTGGCTCTCTCTCATGTTAATGCTTAGATTCAGGTAAGATAGAAACCAGGTTCTTGGGCAACCCTCGAAAAGTCTGTATGTTGGATATATGTTTCAATCTTCTCTTTGCCTCCCCAAGGGAGAAGCCCCTGAAGAGTTTCTTACAATTACACTGCATTGAGCCAGGGAAAGGCACTATATGGTGAGTAGTGCCACAAATTAACGTGGCTGATTTTGTGCATCTGGGGTGCAGGAACCTCATAACTTTTTTCAGGATTTCTCATGAAGGGAATTATTCTGTGTATTGTAGAATCGGTGTCTCTGTGAGGAGAAGGAGGGTCTGAGGCTTCTTATTTTGCTATCTGGCTTGCTAGATACATATTTTAAAATTATCTTGTAATGTCATTAAAAAGCAGTGTTAAAAACTTTTCTAGCAGCATCATGTAAAAAAGAAACAAGTGAAGTTCATTTCAATAATATCTTCTGTTTAACTGAGTATATCCTTACTACCATTTCAACATGTAATCATTTTAAAATTATTAATAAGATATTTTACATTCTTTATTTTGCAATGTTTTTAAATCTTGTAATGTTTTTTAAAACACAGTGTCAATTTTACACTTAGAACACACTTTAGTTTGATTTACCCACAGTTTATGTGCTCAACAATCACATGTGGCCGGTAGCTACTGTATTGGATAACATAAATCTGTAATATAGATATCTGTAATATAGATTTACTCTTATTAACAAATTAAAAAAGACAACCATAATACTAATTTAGGGCCATTCACAGAGGAGAAAATCTGAATGACCAAAAACATATGTAAAAGTATTTTTTTATAGAGAAATAAGGTCAAAGAATAAGATACCATTTTATATCTATTGGATTGTCAAGATGTTTAAGAGAAACAGAAGAAAATCATAAAACTTTTGGGTGGTTCTTTCTATGACTGCCTTTTTTCAAACAGAAAAGAATATTTTTTCCTTCCACTTGATATGAATCTAATTTGCATTTCTGTCCTCGTTGGAAATGATGACATGACGGAATGAGAAAATGAGTAATGATATGGTTACATTAGTTTGTTTCTTGTACTTATGGATGAGCCTCTATAAATCAATCAAACGTTATCAGACTTTAGCTTTAAAAACAAAATTACTCAAATTCAGTTCATCAAGTTTTATAGACTTTAGCTATAAAAACAAAAAATATGGTTTAGATTTTTATATATGAAATGTTATTTTAGCATAGGCTTTCATTATAGTCCGAAGGATTTACATCTCTGAGAGATTTTAATTTTTTGGTTGTTCTGACAGGTTGATTTCAAATTTCTCTCCAAATTAATTTTTATTATCCAGTGAATTTCCATCAATCTCTCAATTATAGCAAATGATCTGTATGTGACTACCTATAGAAATCAATCTTGGGAAGAATTCCTTTTTGGAAGGACTACCTTTAATTGCTGTCAGTATGTTTGAAAGTTCAGATTTCTGCAGATTGAGCATTTTTTAGACAGCGGCTCACCTACAGAGGGTAAAATGTTTCCCGGCCACCAGCTTTAAGATCTGTCTGTATATCTGCCTGTGGTTAGTCTTAGTCAAGCAGAACCATTGATGAGAACAAACATTTTTTTTTCTGTGATTGAATAAAAGGACTAGGGGAATTGCCCTTAAAATAAAGACAGAAAAAAGAAGCAAGCTGTTTTATTCCCTGGGTATTGTCATTAGAGAAGAGACCAAAGCACAATGGCCAAGCTGAAGAATGAGTGTCATTGAAACAAGAAATCTGGGCCAGACCAGCCCGGGGCACAAGGGATTGTGGGTAACCAAGTCTTCTGAATGTCACTTAAAAGGGTTCCACCAGGCGCACACACCTTAAAATGATGCTTCTAATTGTTCTTCCTTTCTTTTTTTCTTTCACAAATCACAAAGATAAAGTTGGGGAAAAGCCCAGCAGGAAGAGCCAGCTGCTGAGCCTGTTATGAGAAGAAAGACCTCGGTAGAATGCTAATTTTTCTTTATTATCTTACCCTCTACAAAAGGCCAGCGGGCAGGTGAACACTCTGCCGAGAGAATCTGTGGAGTTTTGATCAGGAGCAGCAGTCTGTCTGCTGTGGTGGAATTATCTAAAAATCTCCACGAACAGGGTAGGAGAAAGAAGCGGTAACCTATGTGATTTCCATCAATTCTCCAAGGCCATATATAGCTTGCTGGTGGACTGAGGAAAGATAACAGGCTCTGCTCTCCTTAGCTGGAGACACACAGCTTCCAGAACACAGGCACATTGAAGAGAAGCAGCAATGTGTATTGTAATTACTTCTGGGAAAGAAGACAGGTTTGGAATCAGGCTTCTATAGCAAAGGAGGTCTTTGCACAAGCTACTGTGCTCCTCTCTCCCTCTCTCTGTCTCTCTCTCTCTCACACACACACACACACACACACACACACACACAAACCCCAATGCACTCAGCACTGCAAACACCCAGAGGACCACGATCAATTGTTCAAAGCACAGTGATCCTGATCTGCCACTCAGGAAATGCAAATACTGATGTTTGAGAAGAGTCAGGGAATAAGAATTCCCTGTTTAAAGAAAAAGGCAGAGAGGCTGTTTTTCTGAACCTCAGATTAGGAAGACAGAAAGAATCGTCCATGTTTCTCTGCTCAGACCACATATCTAACCAGAAGGCTTTTACACTGATTCTGTGTTTGACTGAAAATCATGCCAGGCAGGCCAACGTCTCTTTTTCTTTGAGACAGAGTCTTGCTCTGTCACCCAGGCTAGAGTGCAGTGGTGCTATCTCCATTCACTGCAACCTCCACCTCCCAGGTTCAAGTGATTCTCCTGCTTCAGCCTCCCAAGTAGCTGGGATTACAGGTGCCCGCCACCACGCCTAGCTAATTTTTGTATTTTTAGTAGAGACAGGGTTTCACCATGTTGGTCACTCTGGCCTCAAACTCCTGACCTCGTGATCCACTCACCAAGGCCTCCCAAAGTGCTGGGATTACAGGCGTGAGCCACTGTGCTCGGTCACCAACATTTCTTTATTATGTTTCAAACAGTTCCCGTGGGCTACTACCACTTTTCAGCTCAGAGAACTACCTCATCTCCAAGAGTTAAAAGTCACAGTCCCAAGGGTGCTTCAGGACGTTTACTAGTTCGTGTTTGGCCACGCACCTTTAGCGCTCAGTTCTTGCAACGTCTTCTCTCCAAGTAAATTCACCGACAGGCCGAAGGGAGGAGGTGTTGCTAGTCCCTGCCTCTGCTAGTCCCAGTTAAGAATCATTCGCTCTCAGTCCTGCCCCACTTACAAATCAATCCTGATGGAGGTAGAAAAATCCACTGCCAGAGTGGGCAGACCAGACTGAGAGATCCAGAATTAGAACTTGCTGTAAACTCACTTACTATCCTGGATTTCCTACGCATGCCCGTTGGGTCAAAGACCTCCCCTGACCCCCAAGATATTGCTTACCCCTGCATAATCACTTTAGCTATTGTTAAAAATGCAGATCCCTGAATCTCACCCCAAACTTTTAAATATGGGTGGGCCTGGACATCTGTATTTTAACCGAGGAAGACCAATAGCCTATAAGAAGGAATATAATGCAGTGACTAAGAACACAAGCTCTGGAGAGATTCTCTGCTCTTTCCCTTAATCTTGGTGTAATCTTGGGGAAAATTACTTAACTTTCCTCTGGCTCATTGGTTGGATGGTGATAATCACCTTAATACCATCCCCACAGAAAGGATTAAATGAGTAAACCAGTTGAAAGTGCCTAGAATGGTGCCAGGCCCATAGTAAGGCTTGATAAATGCCAGTTATTCCTCATAATGTAATAAGCACCTCAGAGAATTCTTAGAATCAAGTTTGAGATCCACAGGTCCAGTGTGTTTATCTTGGATTATAAATCTACTTTTTGGCTGGACACAGTGGCTCATGCCTGGAATCTCAGCACTTTGGGAAGCTGAGGTGAATGGACTGCTTGAAGCCAGGAATTCAAGATTGCAGTGAGCTACAATTGCGCCACTGTACTTCAGCCTGGGTGACAGAGCAAGACCCTGTCTCAAAAACAACAACAACAACACCAACAAAACAAAACAAATCTGCTTTTTGCTTAGCCCTCCTGAGTCCTCCTGGGTTTGGAGCTCTGTGTTGTCCTCTCAACCTGTGTCTCTCAAACTTAGACCCACTTGACTCTCTAGTAAATCTTTCCTACCCTTCTCTGTGCATGCTGGGAATGGGTGTCTTACCCAGTTCCTGCCTGCCCTTTAGTCAGAATGGACTGGTCACTGAGAACAGGAATGCTGCTGTCGGCTTGAGGAGTATCTGCTCCCCAAATGGGGAAAAATACATTTTCTGTATTTTGGCCCCAACCATAGGAAGTCCCTGATCATTCCATATAATTTGTCATCAGAGATTGTTCCATCCTAGCCCAAGCTGCTATGCTTCTTTGGGCACAGTACATTAGGAAAGGACCCCTTCTGGCTGGGCACAGTGGCTCATACCTGTAATCCCAGCACTTTGGGAGGCCAAGGCAGGAGGATCACTTGAGATCAGGAGCTCGAGACCAGTCTGAGGAACATGGAGAAACCATGTCTCTGCTAAAAATACAGAAACTAGCTGGTCTTGGCAGTGCCCACCTGTAATCACAGCTACTCGGGAGGCTGAGGCAGAAGAATCACTTGAACCCAGGAGGCAGAGGTTGGAGTGAGCAGAGATCATCCTGCTGCACTCCAGCCTGGGTGACAGAGTAAGACTCTGTCTCAAAAAAAGACAGACTCCTCCCCTTAGGGATCCAACCTCAGAGTGACCACCTGTCTCATTTTTCCCAGGACTGTCTTGATTCTAGCACTGAAAGTCTCAAGTCCCTGGAAATCTCTCAATCCCAGGTAAACCAGGTTGGTTGGTCACCCTGTCCCCTGTAGTTACTGGGTTGGGTCACCGGTAGACCAAGCAGAAATGCCTAATCTGACTCCCAGTCACAAGGCAGTGACTGACCTGGGGCCTGGCCTTAGCCATAAAAAACCTACAGAGGCACGGGCTGGGCACGGTGGCTCATGCCTGTAATCTCAGCACTTTCGGAGGCAGAGGCGGGCAGATCACGAGATCAGGAGATCGAGACCATCCTGGCTAACTCGGTGAAACCCCGTCTCTACTAAAAATACAAAAAAAATTAGCCGGGCGTGGTGACAGGCGCCTGTAGTCCCAGCTACTCGGGAGGCTGAGGCAGGAGAATGGCGTGAACCCGGGAGGCAGAGTTTGCAGTGAGCCGAGATCGCGCTACTGCACTCCAGCCTGGGCGACAGAGCGAGACTCTGTCTCAAAAAAACAAAAAAACAAAAAAACGAAAAAACAAAAAAACAAAACAAAACCTACAGAGGCATGCATCTCAGAGCAAGAGAGACCTTGACTGTGTTGGTTTAGGCCACCCAGGCCTGGAAAACATAATAGCACTCGATTTGCAAAGCTGACAGAGCACAGTTGTACCAAACTCTTCATGTTTTCTGTAACTCAGTAGAGATCCAAGGACTCCCACACTGTGGTGCTTCACGGTAGACACTCAAAGTTTGTATCCTCCAGTCTGCCAAGTTTTCTAATGTGAATAACAGCAAGAGCTATAAATATCAATTCTTCCCTGGGTCTAGAGATTTATAGACTGATTACAGTTGAGTTGAAGAATGGCAGAAAGGCTTGCTTTCTTAATTTTTCAGAAGAGATTTGGGAGGGAGAAAACAAGGATCTAGATTTTATAGAGCTGTAGAAATTACCAATATTGCCAAGGTGGTTAATCAACACCCAAAGACAAAACAAAATCTCACCCTGTGCTTGCATATATAGTCCTCTAGCCCCAGTAGGTGTGAGTAATAATACTGAAATGAAGGAAATTACTTGAAGGAAATTGCCTGAATGGGACTGTTACAAGAGCAGGGTAGGGCTTACTTAATTAAAGCACAGTTTAATTACTGCTATAACTTAAGGCAATGCTGTACTGCGCAATAAGGTGAGAATATGAGAGGCTTGGGCCTTGGTGGATAACAATTAATTTCAAACAGTTTTTGGGGGGTGTTGGTAAAGCATGATTAAATACAGGAACAGGCTGATAAATGAATCATTAGGGAAGCGCATTTTTAACTAAATAGAAATGAGTCTAGGAAGAATAGAAAAAAGTCATTATAATTATCATTGTGTGGCCTTGTTAGGGAAGAGAGGGAGGATGGTCTCCAGGTCAGAATAATAGCCCAACCTACCTTGAGCTCAGGTTCTGCCTCTTTGATGGAATCTGGTTCTCCTGGGAAGTGCCCAGGAAGTAGTAAGCTCATCATCGCAGCAGGGCTGCTCAGAAAAATCCCTGAACCTCCGCTTTCCTTGGGTCATACCCTGCTCCAAACCATCACTATGTCTCTGCTGTCTCCGAGAGGCCAGAGTCCTAGTGCAAAATCCACATCGGGCCTCCCCTTCTCCTTGACTAATTTCTGGCAAGAACATTCTCTTTTCAGACTGTAGTCTTTTGTTTTTGTTTTTCATTTGTCAACCGGGAAGAGAAAAATCTTCTCTTACCAACCTCAAAATAAAATTGTAAGATGAAACAACATATAAAGGTATCGGTAAAGGAAGTTTTTTGTTTTTGTTTGTTTGTTTTGTTTTGTTTTGTTTTGTTTGATATGAAGTCTTGCTCTGTTGCCCAGGCTGGAGTGCAGTGGCACAGTCTTGGCTCATTGCAACCTCCGCCTCCTGGGTTCAAGCAATTCTATGCCTCAGCCTCCCAAGTAGCTGGGATTACAGGGCCTGTCACCACGCCTGGCTAATTTTTGTACTTTTAGTAGAGACAGCGTTTCGCCATGTTGGCCAGGCTGGTCTCGAACTCCTGACCTCAGGTAATCCATCTGCCTCGGCCTCCGAAAATGCTTGGATTACAAGTGTGAGCCACTGCACCCAGCCAGGAAAAGGTTCTTCTAGTCAAACATGAAGATGAGACAGGAACATAAAACATTGTCTTTCATTTAAGGGAATTGTCCAAGCTGAGTGAGAATGAGAAAAAAGGAAGTCCTCGACCTGTTCAGAAATTTATATACGTATCAGTGTATTCAAAGAATTTCCATATACTCTTTATTCAAATTCACCAATTGTTTTTAACATGTTGTTACCAAAACACCAGGGGTTCGCTCTAAGTCCTGCTACTTGGTGCACAGAAAGTCAATCACTGAGACAATGGGTATTGCCAAGGAAGGTTTTAATCAGGTGCTCCAGTGGAGGAGATGGGAGATCAATCTCAAGTTCATCTCTGTGACTGAGTAAAACTAGGGATTTATATAGCAGGGAAGAAATGTAACAATGTGTGGGAAAACAGGAACTAGGGAAGGGGTAAGGAAAAGGAGTTGGTCAACAGGAAGCAGGTGGTTGCTTAGAAAAACAAGAACTAGGGCCGTGCACGGTGGCTCACGCCTGTAATCGCAACACTTTGGGAGGCCGAGGCAGGCGGATCACAAGGTCAGGAGATCGAGACCATCCTGGCTAACACGGTGAAAGCCTGTGTCTACTAAAAATACAAAAAATTATCCGGGCGTGGTGGCAGGCGCCTGTAGTCCCAGCTACTCGGGAGGCTGAGGCAGGAGAATGGTGTGAACCCGGGAGGCAGAGCTTGCAGTGAGCCAAGATTGCACCACTGCACTCCAGCATGGGCAACAGCAAGACTCCATCTCAAAAAAAAAGAAAAAAGAAAAAGAAAAAGAAAAACAGGAATTAGAGAGAGGTAAGGAAGCAATTATGAAGGATGAGGGGTCTGGCATCTCATTGTCTGGATATGGCGATCTGGTGAGTTTCAATTCTTTGGTACTTTTTGAGAGGCCTGAAGAAGGAACTCAGATAAAACAAATTTAAGTTTTAAGCTTTAAGACCAGAAGGGTCAATTTCTATGTCTATCCAAAATAATGGTCTATGGGACTATTGGGTCAGTTTCAATGTTACCTCATTTGTTCTGTCTCTCTCTCCACACATGCACATACACACAAAACACACATTATTATATAGAGTATGTTGACTATCACTGTGTTTAGAACATGTAATCACAGTAGTTACAAAATTTGGAAGTTCAACATAGACATAATAAATGCTTTATCAAAGACATATTCCAATTTTGTCAGTGGTTCTGATGAGAGCTTTATACCATGGTTTTTTTTTTCCCCTTCACTTCAGGATACAGTCCAGGGTCAGGTATGATGTTAAATTGTCACATCTCTTTATTTTCCTTTAATCTGTAATTGTCCTGTCTTTCTTTATCTTTCAAAACGTTGGTACTTTTGAAGGCAACAGGCCAGTTATTTTACATAATGTTTTTCAGTTTGGATTTGTTTGATGTTTCTTCATGATTAGATTCAAGTTTTGCATTGATGGCCAGAAAACAAACAAACAAAAAAACCCTGATATTGTATCCTCTTGGAGCATTGTATCTGCAGGCACACAACGCCCATCTGCCTCTCATTACCGGTGTTAATTGTGATCACTTAGTTTAGATGCTGTCCAGTTTCTCCACTGCATTATCACTATTTGCCCTTACAACCACGAAATATTCTGTGGGGAGGCACAGTAAGACCAGATAAATAAACTGCTCCTCATCAAACTCCCTTTCTACCTCAGATTTAGCATCTATTGTTGATTCTTACCCAAAACAATCTTCACTGTGATCATTGCAAAATAATGGTTTTTAACTCCATTACTTCCTGCACATTTATCAGTTGGCAGGGAGTGATACAGTTAAAAATCACGAGTTTTATTTTTAATGAATGAGCTTTATGAATGAACTCTTCCTCCTCACTCTCCTCTCTTTCTCTTCTGTCTCTCTCTCTGCCTGGTTGTCTATCATCAGTATAGACTCAGGGCTCCTGTTCTGGTAAAGGATCATCATCCAATACAGTTCTTGTTTACTTTCATGCTCAAATTCTCCTAGATGAATGAACTCTTATCTATCTATCTATCTATCTATCTATCTATCTATCTATCTATCATCTATCTAATCTGTCTATCTACCTACCTACCTTTCAATCTACCATCTGTCTCTTTATTATTATTATTTAGTTACTTTTTTTTGAGACAAGGTCTTGCTCTGTTACCCAGGCTGGAGTGCAATGGTGTGATCACAGCTCACTACAGCCTTGATTTCCTAGGCTCAAACGATTCTCCTACCTCAGCTTCCCAAGTAACTGGGAGTACAGGCATGTGCCTCTGCACCCAAATTTTTAAAAATTTTTTGTAGAGATGGGAGTCTTGCTGTGTTGCCGAGGCTGATCTGCAACTCCTAGGGTGCAAGCAATCCTCCTACCTTGGCCCTGCAAAGTGTTGGGATTATAGGCATGAACCACCATGCCTGGGCTATCTAGTTCTTTATTATCAGTAAGGACTCATAGTTCATGAGTCATTTATTTACATGTCCATTCATAAATAAACATTCTGATGCCCCAATTTTTTTAAGTTTAGCCAGTGAGAACTCCTTCAATGTAGCCATGGTATTTACAAATGAATATCTGGCTACTAGATGTGTTAATTGCTTTTAGGTCCTTTTAGCAGATAGTACTAGAAAATATCCATAATTTTAATATACTTGAAATATGAGTCTATACAGATACTTCCAATTTCAACCCAATCCCTCCATAGTGTTCTTTCTTGCCTTTCTCAACTCTACATTTTTATATCTTCCTTCTTCCACAGCGAGTATCCTGGCTCCCAATAATATCATCATATATGCTTTTTTGCTCGATTCCACAATACATATAAAATGACTTCAGAATTTCTATTCTAAAACCACTATGAAAAACAAAAAAGAAAACAAAAAACCATAAAACCCTCTAAGAAGCTCAAGATTTGTTTGCAGTTTTCCCCTAGACTGAGGGTATATAACTAAAGGACTGTGTTCAAATGTTCCCTGTATGTATTAGTCTGTTCTATTGCTATAAATTACCCCCTGAGACAGGGTAATTTATAAAGAAAAGAGTTTTAATTGGCTTATGGTTCTGCAGGCTCTACAGGCTTCTGTTTCTGGGGAGGCCTCAGGAAACACAATCCTGGCTGAAGGTGAAGGAAAAGCAGGCACCTTTTCACATGGCCAGGAGGAGAGAGAGAAGGAGAGGAAGAAGGAGGAGAGAGGAGAGACATTGAGATTGAGTTAAGGGGGGAAGTGCTACACACTTTAAAACAACCAGTTCTCATGATAACTTTATTATGTGACAGCACTAGGGGAATGGTGTTAAACCATTAGAAACCACTCCCATGATCCAATCACCTGCCACCAGGCCCCACCTCCGACACTCAAGATAACAATTCAACGTGAGTTTTGGGTGGGGACACAGACCCAAACCATATCATTTTGCCCCTGGCCCCTCCCAAATCTCATGTCCTTCTCACATTGCAAAATACAATCGTCCCTTCTCAACAGTTCCCCAAAGTCTTAATTCATTCCAGCATCAACTCAAAAGTCTAAGTCCAAAATCTCATCAGAGACAAAGCAAGTCCCTTCAGCCTATGAACCTATAAAATAAAAAAAGAAGTTATTTACCTCCAAGATAAAATGGGGGTACAGGCAGCGGGTAAATACTTCCTTTCCAAAAGAGAGAAATTGGCCAAAACAAAGGGGCTATAGGCCCCATGCAAGTCTGAAACCCAGCAGGGCAGTCATTAAATCTTAAAGCTCCAAAATAATCTCCTTTGACTCCATGTCTCACATCCAGGCCACACTGATGCAAGGGATGGGCTCCCAAGGCCTTGGGCAGCTCTACCCCTGTGACTCTGCAGGGTACAGCCTCCATACCTGCTTTTATGGGCTGGTGTTTAGTGCCTGTGGCTTTTCCAGGCACACAATGCAAGTTGTCAATGGATCTACTATTCCGGGGTCTAGATCATGGTGGCCCTCTTTTCAAAGATCCACTAGGCAGTACCCCAGTGGGGACTCGATGTGGGGGCTCCAACCACACAGTTCCCCTCTGCACTGCCCTAGTAGACGTTCTCCTTGAGCATTGTATCTGCTGGTACACGATGCCCATCTGTCCCTCATTACTGGTGTTAATTGTGATCACTTAGTCTGTGATCACTGCAGCAGACTTCTGCCTGGACATCCAGGTGTTTCCATGTATCCTCTGGAATCTAGGTGGAGGGCTGCTTTGCCTATGGAGTAGCCATTCTTTTATTCCTTTACTTTCTTAATAAACTTGCTTTCACTTTAAGAACAAACAAGAAAAGAAATCTAGGTGGAGGCTCCCAAGCCTCATTCTTGCTCTCTGGGCACCGGCAGGCTTAACACTGTGTAGAAGCTACCAAGGCTTGGGCCTTGCACCCTGTGAAGCAATGGCCAGAACTATACCTTGGCCCCTTTTAGCCATGGCTGGAGCTGAGGTATCCATGATGCAGAGCATTATGTCCTGAGGATGCACAGAGCAGCAGATCCCTGGACCTGACCCATGAAATCATTTTTTCCCTCCTACACTTCCAGGTCTGTGATGGGAGGGGCCACCACAAAGGTCCCTGAAACGTCTCGGTGGCATTTTCCCTATTGTCTTGGCTATTAACTTTTTTTTTTTTTTTTTTTTTTTGAGACAGAGTCTTGCTCTGAAGCCAAGGCTGGAGTGCAGTGGTACGATCTCAGCTCACCACAGCCTCCGCCTCCTGGGTTCAAATGATTCTCCTGCCTCAGCCTCCTGAGTACCTGGCACTACAGGCACATGCCAGCACGCCCAGCTAATTTTTGCATTTTTAGTATAGATGGGGTTTCACCATGTTGGTTAGGATGGTCTTGATCTCCTGACCTCATGATCCTCCCACCTCAGCCTCCCAGAGTGCTAGGATTACAGGCATGAGCCACTGTGACTGGCTGGCTATTAACATTTTGCTCCTCTTATGCAAATTTCTACAGTAGGCTTGAGTTCCTCCCCAGAAAATGTTTTTTTCTTTTCTACCACATGGTCAGGCTGCAAATTTTCTAAACTTATGTGCTCTGCTTTCCTTTTAAATATAAGTTCCAATTTCAGATAATCACTTTGTGCACACATATTAGTGCATGCTGTTAGAAGCAGGCAAGTCACATATTGAACACTTTGCTGCTTACGAATTTCTTTCATCAGCTACCCTAAACCATCTCTCTCAAGTTCAACAATCAACAGATCCCTAGAGCAGGGGCATAATGCCGCCAGCCTCTTTGCTAAAGCATAGCAGGAGTGACCTTTACTCCAGTTCCCAATAAGTTTCTCTCCATCTGAAACCTCCTTAGCTTGGACTTCACTGTCCCTATCACTATCAGCATTTTGGTCTCAACCATTCAACAAGTCTCTAGGAAGCTCCAAAGCTTCCTTCATCTTCCTGTCCACTTCTGAGCCCTCCAAATGGTTTCAACCTCTGCCCAATAACCAGTTCCAAAGCTGCTTTCACATTTTCAGGTATCTTTATAGCAATGCCTCACTTGTCTGGTACCAATTTTCTGTATTAGTTCGTTCTCCCCATGTGTAAGTCTGTTCTCTCTGTGTTGCCCCATGCTCTAAAGAACTACCTGAGACTGGGTAATTTATAAAGAAAAGAGGTTTAATTGGCTATGGTTCTGTGGGCTCTACAGGCTTCTACTTCTGGAGAGGCCTCAGGATGGTGGAGGGGAACCAGGCCTATCTTCACGTGGCCAGCAAGAGAGAGAGTGAAGGGGACATGCTACACACTTTTAAACAACCCGATCTCATGATAACTCGATTACAAGACAGAACTGGCGGTGGGGGGGATAAACCATTAGAAACCACCACCATGATTCAATCACCTCCCATCAGGCCACACCTCCAACACTCGGGATCACAGTTCAACATGAGATTTGGGTGGGGACACAGGGTCAAACCAAATCAGTGTATTAGTACATACTTTCCTCCCTCAATGTGGTATGTTTTTTGTTTGTAATACTCTTTATATCATTTATTTCCAAATACATTATTTTTTAGGTTTTTTCCCCTCATTCTTGTTGATTTAACATATTAATTTGTTGACCTGCTTTCAAAAGTCATACCTGTATATGAAGATTTACTTATAAACATCTCATTCTTTTCTTTAGTTTTCCTATCCTATTTCCTTCATCCCTCATAGGTAAAAAATTTCATTGTTCTATGCTTAATTCATTGTACATACGTGTGTTTTGCAAAAGTAAGCAGATACATATATGTTTTCCTATTGCCCCATATTTCTTACACAAAACACAATGTATTACATAAACTCTTTTGCACTTTGATTTTTCTAACTTAACGAACTATCTTGAAAATAACTCCACATATGTTTATAAAGATCTTTCCTGTTCTTTTTTTCCCCACTGCATAGTACTCCATTGGGTGTATGTATCAATATCGAACCAGTTTCCAATATTGGGCATGTAGGTAATTGACAATAATTTGCAATGACAAATAATGAATAACCTATGCTTTTGTATTTTTATATTGTTGTAGATGTATGTTCAGGGTAGGTCTATAGAAGAGAGATTGCTGAATTCGCTGAAGGGTAAATGCGTGTGTAGTTTTGTTACATATTGCTAAATTCCACTCAACTTGGTTTACCATTTCATATGTCTCCCCGTGCTGTATGACTGAGGGAGAGTCTATTTCCCCCACAGTTTTGTCCGAAAGATATCATTAAACTTTGAATTTCTGCCTGATAGGTGAAAAATTGTATATCAGTGAGATTTTATTTTGTGTATATTATTATGAACAAAGTTGAATATATTTTCATAGGTTTAAAGGACATTTTTGTATGTTTTGTTGTGTTTTAATTGTTTATGTCTTCTCCTATTTTTCTGTAGAGTTTTGGTCTTCATTTTCCCCTCTCAATTTTCAACAGTTTCTTAGAGATATTACCTACATATTGCAAATATTTACAACATATTTGTCATTTGTCTTTTGACTTCATTTATGATGTATTTTTGTCATTCAAAACATTTTTAATGTAGTCAACTTTATCAGTCTTTGATGTCATTGCATTTGGATTTGGAGTCCTAGTTTGCCTTCTCCTACATCCATATGATAGAGGAAGTAACTCCTGCTTTCTTCTTCCTTTTTTTTTTTTTTCGTGACGGAGTCTTGCTCTGTCACCCAGGCTGGAGCGCAGTGGCACAATCTTGGCTCACTGCAACCTCCGCCTCCTGGGTTCAAGCAATTCTCCTGCCTCAGGCTCCAGAGTAGCTGGGATTACAGGTGCCCGCCACCATACCTGGCTAATTTTTGTATCTTTGTTAGAGACGGGGTTTCACCATGTTGGCCAGGCTAGTCTCAAACTCCTGACCCCATGATCTGGCCGCCTCAGCCTCCCAAAATGTTGGGATTACAGGCGTGAGCGACCATGCCCGGCCCCTGCTTTCTTCTAGTACTTTCATGGTTTTGTTTCTTATATTTAGAGCTCTGATCTTCATGTGTACGTGTGTGTGCCTCTGTGTGTGTGTGTGGATGTGTGTGTGAATGTGTGTGTGTTTGGTGTAAGGAATGGATCTAATTTCATCTTTCTCCAAATGGCTACCAGTTGTCTCAATACCATGTATTTGAAAAATCCACCTTTGCTCTAGTAATTTGAAATGTTCCGTTTATCACACTCTAAGTTTCCATATGCAGTTAAGATCTAGACTTTTATTCCACTCCCATTGGTCTGTTTATCTATTTATATGCCAATACCACACTACTTTAATTACAGAGGTTTTGTAGTATGTTTTACAACCTAAGAAGGCTAATCACTTTCACAGTTCCTCCTTTTCAGAGCTTCCTTAGCTATTCTTGCTTATTTATTTTTCTATAAGAATGTTGTTACCACTTGCCTACCTCCAGAAAAATAAAAGCTTATTTTAAAAACTATGATTGCATTATATTTATAACTAAACTCAGGGAGAACTCACATCATTATGATGTTGAAATGTCCTATTCAAGAACAAGGAAGGTCTTTTGCTTAGGAATTCATTAAAATTTGTATTAGAATTTTAAATTAATTAGAACTCTAAGTCCAGTTGAATTAACATGGTATGATTAAACCCAAGGGTATCATATTAGAGGAATTATGATCACCATGTGGACACATATGCACATCATATTCTCTCCCAAATGCAAGTTTACAGAATACACACAAACTCTAATGTATTTCCTTTGAACAGGATCTTGTAGAAGAACTTAAAATTGCCCATTGAGCTATAAACATTTAACTTTCCTTCCAAAATGAAATAAAAATAACACAGGAGGCATGACCTTTTGCAAAATATGTGATTTGAAAAGCTCATTAAAAATGCAGGATGTTATTCTGATCCTACAAACATTGACCTCAGATGAAGGAAAGGTTCTTCAAAACAGATAGAAAGATCAGAGCTGAATTGCTGATGACCTAATGCAGAATAGTTTCATTCCTGCATATGGAGGTTAGCAACTCTAAGTTATTATTATATATAAAAACTTGTCATTTGTGTGAGAGAAGTACCTCCTTGCTCACAAAATCTGTTTTTTACTCTTGTGGTATGACTCATGAAAAGAATTTTAGAAAGAGCTTATTTTTGAACTTACCTTTGAAATTATTGTCATTCAATACTGATTCACTATTGTGCTTGTGGCCATTTGATAAACTGCCACATAACCACAGGGATGCTGGGAAGACCAGGTGGGCCTCACTGTCGCCAGGAGACAGAGGTCACCGAGACAGTAAGTTCTTCTACCACGGATCATTAGGCACAAAAACAAGCCATGCATAAAGCTCATTGTTTCAAAGGGCTTGACCACAAAGGAGTGAGCTCTTAAAATGTTGAATGTCTAAACATTAAAATACGATACCAAAAGCCCTGTGACATCCAGAAGGCTGTGGACTTTTGGTTTTGAATTTATGAGCTGTATTCATTTCTCCCCTCAATGTGATTTCCTGGGCAATTGCCTTACCCACTCATTTCTCTCATGAAATGTTACTTGCTATTTGTATTTCTTTCACTTACTCTTTGCTCTTTAGCCCAGTGTTTGAAATGTTGGATTCTATAGTCAGACATATATGGATTGAAACGCTCTCTGCCATGGTCCTGGCTGTGTCCCTGGGTGAAGAACTTAACATTTCTTGTGGCTTCGGTTCCTCTATTGCAAAATTGGGACTATATTGGTAGTGACTTATGGAGTTAATGTGCAGATTAAATTAGATAACATATACAAAGAGTAGTCCAAAGTGTTTGCTATGTTGGCAGTGAAGTCCAATAGATACAGCTGTTATTGTTATTTAATCTTTTGTTTGTTATTTAAAAATTTTTCAGTTACACAAATAATTAGAGAAAATTTAGAAAATTTGAGGAAAACAATAAACAATAATCCTATTCACCAAAACAATCACTTCTGTCATTATTGTATTGCTATTCATTCTTTTTAAAACAATGTTTTTTGAATTCTGTTTTCATCACTTGGCATCTTTACATTGTCCTTTAAAAAAAATTGAGACAGGGTCTTCCTCTGTCATTCAGGCTGGAGTGTGATGGCGTGACCACAGCTCACTGTAACCTCTGACCTCCTGGGCCCAAGTGATCCTTTTGCCTCAGGCTTCCAAGTAGCTGGGACTACAGGTGTGCACTACCACGCCTGGCTAATTTTTCCTTTTTCTTTTTTGTACAGACAGAGTCTCACTATGTTGCCCAGGATAGTCTCAAACTCCTGGGCTCAAGCAATCCTCCCACCTCAGGCTCCCAAAGTGCTGGGATTACAGGTGTGAGCCACCACACCCAGCCTACATTCTACATTTTATGCTACAAAACAGTCTTTGTAATTATTTTTAATGACTACATGATAATTTTATTAAGAAGGTGGACACTAATTTACTTGTTGGCTGATATACTAATGAATATTTTGGTGATTTTAATTTTTTTCTGTTAGTAATATTTCTGTGCAATGATAAGTATATTACATAGATTTATTCCTCTATAATTGTATTTTTCTCTGGGATATACTTATAGAATTGAAATTATTGAGTCAAGGATAGACACTTTTCATGGCTCTTAACACATATTATAAATCATTTTACTAAAAGTATTATTTCAGTTTGCCATGTCAGCAGCAAAAGTTAATTTGGAATAGTTTTTTTTAATGATGAAAGGATTTTTTTGTTTCTTAAATGTTTGCAATAATTTAATACTGAAGGCATTGTGGCTTGAAATATTCTATTGCGCTTAGCCCTCTGATAACATTTCTTATTTTTCTCCTGGTTATTTGCTTAGTCTGCTGGAGCACAGATCCCTGGCTGGGGCCCAGTATCCATTCTTCTCTTCTCCTTGGCAGTAGAATTTTGGATGTTTAGCTTACATATAGCCAATGAATTAAGACTACACTTTCCAGCTTCCTTTGCAGCTATGTGTAGCGATGTGAATCAGTATTGGTGAATGAAGAGTGTATTCGTATCTAGTAATAATATTATCACAATAGCAGCTTAAACAAAACCTATTCATTATCTCCACTTCTGTGGGTCAAGATTCTGGACTTACATAACTATTCTCTGCTTCAGCCTCTGTCTTAAAGCTGCAATCAAGGTGGCAGTTAGGTCTGGGGTCTCATCTGAGGTTGGACTGGGGAAGAATCCACTTTCAAGCTCAGATGGTTGTTGGCAGGATTCAGTTCCTTGTGAACTGTCAGATTGAGGGTCTCTGACCTTTGCTAGATGCTGACTAGAAGCTATGCTTGGTTCCTTGTTACCTGGGCTTCTTCATATATGTCAGCTAAGGTCATCTAAGCCAGCAAGGGAGAGAATTGTCACATCTCATCACCTTTAGCAGATCCTTTGTTAGAAACCAATCACAGGTCCTGCCCACACTACAGGGGACAGGATTACAGAAAGGTATTTGGGATATTTGAGAACCATCTTTGAGTCTGTCTACCACAGGGTGGATGCAAAAGTGATATTCGTAACTTCTGGATATCATCTTTAGAAGAAGAATTTGTGCCTTTTTTCTTACTTGCTAAAATAAAAAGGTGATGGCTGAAGACTCCCCAGCCATTTTGTGTCATGAGGTGGGAACCTCTTGCTGAGGATGGCAGAGCAACAAAATAACAGAGTTTAGGAGTCCCACAGTAGCTGGACTAAACTTCACTGTTATTTTGGATTTTCTGTCATTTGAAGCCAAAATGAATCCTAATGGATAGAGAATTTATTGTGCCAGTTTTAATCATTTTATATGTTTAGAAAATTATTCTAGTGAGATTTTGTCAAGTATTATTATGTACTTTTAAATTACCAGCTTATATTTTAAAATCTTGGCATCTGATATAGTACTATATTAATTATCTTTTTTGTTCATTACATTTTGTCTGACGTTTATTAATTATACAATTATTTTCAATGACCCAGCATGTGGTTTATTCTTTTTTCTTTTTTTTTTTTTTTTTCTGAGATGGAGTCTTCCTCTGGAGTGCAGTGGTGCGATCTTGGCTCACTGCAAGCTCCACCTCCGGGGTTCACGCCATTATCCTGCCTCAGCCTCCCGAGTAGCTGGGACTACAGGCGCCCGACACCATGCCCAGCTAAATTTTTTTTTGTATTTTTAGTAGAGACGGGGTTCACCATGTAGCCAGGATGGTCTCGATCTCCTGACCTCGTGATCCACCCCTCCTTTGCCTCCCAAAGCACTGGGATTACAGGTGTGACCTACCGCGCCCGGCTGCATGTGGTTTATTTTCTAATGTGTGTTTGAATGAATGCAATATAGTACAAAGAGCAGACTGAAGTGGATAGTGGAATTAGAGGAATGTATGAAGTCATACTGACTTGAGCTCAAATTTCTTTCACAACTTACGAGCTATGAGGCCTCAGACAAGCTCCCCAACCTTGCTGAGACTAGTATTCTCATCTGCAAAATGGAATAGTAGTAATACCATATTTGAAATCTTGTAGGGATTAGAGAATGCATATAAGAGGACTATAAACATATTAGGCACTCATTATAAGAAAGTTATTATTATTTCTTCTTTTAATTATTTCCTTCCTTGGGACTCTTTTCTCCCCTGTAATTTTATCCTTATAGCTTAGCATGCTTTTTCTTTTTTTAATTAAACAATTAAAGTTTATGAATTTGTTTCTCAATCCTGCTTAGCCTCATTTCATGCTTTGATAAGTACTCATTATTTTCTAAATGACGTATTACAGCCATTTCTCAGTATCTGAATGATATTGGTTCCAGGAGCCCACTGCAGATGCCAAAATTTGTGGATGCTCAAGTCCCTGATATAAAATGGTATAGTATTATATACTACCTACATATATTCTCCCATATGCTTTTTTTTTTTTTTTTTTTGAGACAGTGTCTCACTCTGTCAACCAGGCTGCAATACAGTGGCACGATCTCAGTTCACTGCAACCTTCTCCTCCCAGGTTCAAGCAATTCTCCTGCCTCAGCCTCCTGAGTAGCTGGGATTCCAGGTGCGTGCCATCATGCTCTGCTAGGTTTTTTTGTATTTTTAATACAGAAAGAGTTTCACCATGTTGGCCAGGCTGGGCTCGAACTCCTGACCTCAGGTGATCTGCCCGCCTTGGCCTCCCAAAATGCTAGGATTACAGGCATGAGCTACCGCGCCTGGCCCCATATACTTCAAATCGTTTCTAGATTACTTATAATACCCAGCACAATGTAAATGGTTATTATATTGTTTAGGGAATAATGATAAGAAAAAAAGTCTATACATGTTAGTTATAGGCCTAACTACATAGTATAAATCAGCAACAACATAAACTTTCCTGGAATTTTTTCTGAATATTTTTGATTTACAGTTGGTCGAATCTGCAGATGTGGAACCCATGGATAGCGAGGGCTGACTGTTCTCTATTATTGATCTCCTCCTTTGTCTAGTTATTAGAATACTTCTTTATTTTTTTAGATGAAGTCTCATTCTTGTCAACTAGGCTGGAGTGCAATGGCGCAATCTTGGCTCACTGCAAACTCTGCCTCCCAGGTTCAAGCAATTCTCCTGCCTCAGCCTCCCGAGTAGCTGGGATTACAGTTGCGTGCCCCCAGGCTCAACTAATTTTTGTATTTTTAGTAGAGACGGGGTTGCACCATGTGGGCCAGGCTTGTCTCGAACTCCTGACCTCAGGTGATCCACCCGACTCGGCCTCCCAAAGTGCTGGGATTACAGGCTTGAGCCACTATGCCTGGCCTAGAATACTTCTAAAAAAATTCCAAATATTTAGGGGTAATTTGGGTTATAATTTAAATAAACTACTTTTAGTTTTATTGCATTGTGATTAGGGAATGTGGCCTACCCAATTTCTGTTTTTGTGAATTTATTAAGATTTTCTTTATTTCTGACTACATGATTCATAGTTGGTAAATGTTCTATGGAGCTCTCAGAAAGAGAAGATTTCCTTTTTTTTTTTTTTTTGAGACAGAGTCTCGCTCTGTCGCCCAGGCTGGAGTGTAGTGGCACGATCTCGGCTCACTGCAAACTCTGCCCCCTGGGTTCATGCTATTCTCTTGCCTCAGCCTCCCGAGTGGCTGGGACTACAGGCGCCCGCCACCATGCCCAGCTAATTTTTTGTATTTTTAGTAGAGATGGGGTTTCACCATGTTAGCCAGGATGGTCTTGATCTCCTGACCTCATGATCCGCCCACCTTGGCCTCCCAAAGCGCTGGGATTACAGGTGTGAGCCACTGCGCCCGGCCAAGAAGATTTATTTTCTGTAGAATATAGTAGTATCAGGGGCCTCAGCTAGATCGATATTCAGGTTCAATGATGCCGGAGTGCGAGTTGGACAACCTCCTGGGAAACCAGCCATAGGCCAGATGTGGCAAGAAGCCATGTAAGCGGCTGGGCGCTGTGCCTCACACCTGTAATCCCAGCACTTTGGGAGGCCAAGGCGGGCAGATCACCTGAGGTCAGGAGTTCGAGACCAGCCTGACCAGTATGATGAAACCCCATCTGTACTAAAAATACAAAAATTAGTCGGGCATGGTGGTGGGCACCTGTAATCCCAGCTACTTGGGAGGCTGAGACAGAAGAATCACTTGAACCTGGGAGGCAGAGGTTGCAGTAAGCCGAGACCGAGATCACGCCACTGCACTCCAGCCTGGGCAACAAGAGCGAAACTCTGTCTCATAAAAAAAAAAAAAAAAAAAGAAAAAAAAAAAAAAGAAACCATGTGGGCAACAACTCAAAATCTGTCCAAACTGCGATTGAAGCAGATACAGGCACAGTTAGTGAACTAGGATGCTGGGGAGTCCATTCGGATTCCTGGGTGGAATTAGACAGTTAAGCAATAAATTGGCTGGGGAACTGGTCTTTAGAGCAAGGCTGATGTGCCCTGGGAGCTTCCTCCTTAGCTCCGGGATCTAGGTAGCAGAAGTGATAAAATTGTCCCCATTGCCTAGGAGATGCTGCTGCTTTCTTTCCTCGTCTCTCCCCACCAGGAAGAGAAGCTCAGGGGTGGCCCCCTACTACAACAGGTGGATACGGTAGTTACAGAAATCAGTGACGTTATAGGAGAACACTGGCATGAATTGTATGCCAGGCAAGTCCTCTCTGCTGTCAGTGGAGAGGCCTGAGTAATGGCCCTTGGCAGAGGAAGGCAAGGGCAGATGACGGGAGTCTGCTGCTGCGGCAATCAGAGCTGATGTACATTGGGCATCCACACTGGAGCAGACACTGTTACAGGGCTTTCTATGCATTATCACAGACAGCTGTTCCATTACCCCATTTTACTCATGAGGAAAGTGAGGTTCAGAGAAACAAAATATTTCCTTTTATTAAGTGAACAGAAGAGTCAAGAAGTGAACCTGTTTGTGTGATTCCAGTGCTTTACCCTTTATGCTAGATGGCTTTTTTCCCCAAAGATCCAGTGACCAGCTATTAAAGGACCACATCCAAGATCCTAGCCTTGGCAAGGTTATAATAGATACATATAAATACAGATTACTTTTTAAAATTATATTGCTCAAATATATTATCAAGCTTGAGGGGCATCTGTTTGATCTGTCAGAGACTGAAATGGCTCATGAAAACTGTATTTCTGCAGTATCTTTTTCATTCTAATGGTTTTAGCTCTAGATCTTTTGTTGCTGCTGTCGTTGATATGTGGCAGTTTGCCATTGTTACGACTTCCATTTTTTTCTTGCATGTTTATAGAAGTACTGCTTTACATGCTGATTATACAACTCATATTGAAAGTACACATGCATTCACATACACTTCCAAAGGTTTTTCAGCACTCTACCACCCCTGTAGTTCCTGGGCGATCCATCACAGTTGCATAGATTCTTGCTTAACTGTGATATGATCATGGTACGGTGATCCTAAGCCATCTTATAATCTATATCAAAAGCATCTTATGTCGATATTTTCTCTTCCCAGATCCAAAAGTGAAAGGATTCATATTTCTCTACACTACCTCTGCTATGTCTTAAAATGCAGATACTTATTCAATGTCTCTAAATGCCTCATTGGTCCACAGATTAATTTTTAATGATTTAAACATACTCTTTTTTTTTTTTTTTTGAGACAGAGTCTCGCTCTGTCACCCAAGCTGGAATGCAGTGGCACGATCTTGGCTCACTGCAAGCTCCGCCTCCTGAGTTCACGCTATTAACCTGCCTCAGCCTCCTGAGTAGCTGGGACTACAGGCGCCCATCACCACGCTCAGCTAAATTTTTTTGTATTTTTAGTAGAGATGGGGTTTCACTGTGTTAGCCAGGATGGTCTCGATCGCCTGACCTCGTGATTTGCCCTCCTCGGCCTCCCAAAGTGTTGGGATTACAGGCGTGAACTACTGTGCCCGGCCCAAACAAACTTTTCAGTAGTTCCTGGTTAAGTAAATTATCACTTTTTTGCAATAAAGAGACCATTGGGTCATTTTGTGTGTGGACATTCCAGAGGATGTTCAAGGGTGTCCCAGATCCAGATGTAGTTTTATATTCCCTAAAACATGCATACTAAAATGTATTTATCACCTTCAGACATATAATGATGGAGAATCTTTGAATACCTGGTACAATGCTCAGAAAAAAAAAAAACAATCCTGCTAAGCGACTGCACAAGTTAAAATGTCTAAAGCACCACACCAGCTTCCAAAAGGCAATTGGATGATAATCCACAAAGTCTGTTATTGTTATTGCATGATCATCTTCATTTTCCAAGAAGCTTTCAAGTCCCTTCTACACTAAGACTAATATATGAAACAGTGATTGAATCTGGATTTGGACAGTGTCATTCTGATCTTAAAGAATCTGAAGCTCCTTGTAAAGTAGCTGGCTCTCTGTCTGCAGGAATGACCTTCTGTCCTCCAGTGCCTCCCTTATCCAAGATGCCATAAGTATAACACTTCTGGTCATTGTAACTATTGGACTTTGTGACATAAGTTGTTGATTTATTAGTCAGCAGGGATTTGCATACTTTGGGCACATGAATTTTCCTGTGGTTTAGATTTGTTATTTTTAGATAAATATCCCCTTGAACTGAGGTAAGATGTATGAAGGCAAGAGGCTGATGCTGAGATGCAAGATTGCCTTGTCTGACTTGAAAAGAGGATGCAAAATATGCATTTTCTGTAGACTGGCTTGACTTCAAAAATTGTGTTTCAGGTCATTTAAAATTTCTTATTTCAAAATTTAGAAAAGGTAAGAACAGATTGCCACAAAACATGGAGCACTGAGATATGAATTGCCTGCTGTCCAGCCCGTCATGACTTCCTCATCATGGATGAGACAATCACATGTTAACATTCTTTTCAACTATTTATTTATTTATTTATTTGAGACAGAGTCTCACTCTGTTGCCCAGACTGTAGTGCAATGGCATGATCTCAGCTCACTGCAACCTCCGCCTCTAGGGTTCAAGTGATTCTCCTGCCTCAGCCTCCTGAGTACCTGGGATTACAGGGGTCCACCACCTTAGCGCCCAGCTAATTTTTGTATTTTTAATAGAGACGAGGTTTCACCGTGTTGGTCAGGCTGGTCTCGAACTCCTGACCTCAGGTTTATTACACGGGTATATTGCATGATGCTGAGGTTTAGGGTATCAATGACCCCATTACCCAGGCAGTGAGCATATTACCCAGTAGTTTTTCAGCCCATGTCCCCCTCCTCCCTCTCCCCAGTAGTCCCCAATATCAGTTGTTCCCATCTTTATGTCCATGTGTGCCCAGAGCTTCACTTCCACTTATAAGTGAGAACATGTAGTATTTGTTTTTCTGTCCCTGCATTAATTTGCTTAGGAAAATAGCCTCCAGCTACATCTGCGTAGCTGCAAAGGGCATGATTTCATTATTTTTTAGGGCTGTGTGGCATTTCTTTCTTTCTTTTTTTTTTTGTTTGAGACAGAGTCTTGCTGTTGCCCAGGCTGGAGTGCATTGGTGCGATCTCGGCTCACTGCAAGCTCCACCTCCCGGGTTCACGCCATCCTCCTACCTCAGCCTCCTGAGTAGCTGGGACTACAGGCACATGCCACCATGCCTGGCTAATTTTTTGTATTTGTAGTAGAGACGGGGTTTCACCGTGTTAGCCAGGATGGTCTTGATCTCCTGACCTTGTGATCTGCTCACCTCGGCCTCCCAAAGGGCTGGGATTACAGGCGTGAGCCACCGCGCCCAGCCAGGGCTGCATAGCATTTCATGGAGTATGTGTACTACATTTCCTTTGTCCAAGCCACCATCAATGGGCACCTAGGTTGATTCTATGTCTTTGCTAGACAATTACACTTTTGATACCAAGAGTGAGCGACTTGAGATGAGAACCTCCATTGCAGAATTCTAGAAGTTATTTGTATTTATTCATGTTGCGGGAAGATGCTACTTCTCATTTCTCAGGTAAGGCAAACTTTGACAAGGATCCTTCTAAGGTAAGGCAGAACTTTCCAGGCTTGTTGAGCTGAGATCAAATTCTTTATTCCCCAAAGTGGGAGGATGCAGCTCCTTCCAACTCATGACAGATATCTTCATCTGTTTAACAGGTAGAGTCAGAACCCTGGGCTCCCACTTAGACAATGAGGTATATATGGTGGATCTTGAGCACCGTTTGCTTGCTTTCTTTGCTGCTCTATTTCCATCAGTGAATGGAATATTCCTTGCAACATCTAGGTTATGTACTAGTAGGGTATCTAAATTAAATGAAGGCAGTGAGTGATTCATGTACATTGAGAGTCTTGCCTAAATGGGCAAGTAGATGACAAGGCTGGAGAAGATCAGAGGCTCTTCCTTGGCCTATCTTCACTTTTTGTATAACTTTTAGATTTAGTAAGTCTCACTGGTCTAGAATAATTAGGACATAGTCTAGATCTTCCATATGCCTTCACCAACGTTGGACTTTTCTTTTTTCTTTTTTTTTTTGAGACAGTCTCACTCTGTTGTCCAGGCTGGAGTACAGTGGTGCGATCTCGGCTCACTGCAAGCTCTGCCTCCCAGATTCAAGCCATTCTCCTGCCTCAGCCTCCCAGCTAGCTGGGACTACAGGCGCCCACCACCACGCCTGGCTAATTTTTTTGTATTTTTAGTAGAAACAGGGTTTCCTCATGTTAGCCAGGATGGTCTTGCTCTCCTGACCTTGTGATCTGTCCTCCTCGGCCTCCCAAAGTGCTGGGATTACAGGCATGAGCCACCACGCCCGGCCAATGTTGGACTTTTCTTACTGGTTAACCTTATCATCCCATGTCTAGTGTAATCAGTGCTTGGTGTGCCACTTGTCAAAGGACTACTCATGTTATTCATCTTCATCACAATCTCTTCACCTAAATCGTTCTCAGCAGACAGTGTTGAAATGCTTGGTATCACCTTCTTCCTCCTCTTCTTATTATTTTATGTATTGTTCACCCTCAGCAACCAAAAGAAAGATGAATAAAATCCTTTTGCAACATCAGTTTTGTTTTTCAAAGGGTTTCACTGAAAAGCTGCTGTTCATATGTTGAAGCCTCTTAGAATTTTGCTCTACAAAATCTCATTTATAGAATTATCAAATTTATAGAATGAAATTACTTCTTTTAACACTTCATTCACCTTTTTCCCCTGCCTGGAATGCCTATTGACATCTGCCTGATAAACTTGTGCTTCAAGGACCATTTAACTATCTTCTCCCAGCAAGCCCTTTAAAGAAACTCCCTTTCCTCTACTCAGCTCTTTTTTTTTTTTTTTTTTCACTCTGTCACCTAGGCTGGAGTACAGTGGCGCCATCTCAGCTCACTGGCTCACTACAACCTCCGCCTCCTGGGTTCAAACCATTCTCCTGCCTCAGCCTCCCAAGTAGCTGGGATTACAAGTGCCTGCCACATGCCTGGCTAATGTTTCTACTTTTAGTAGAGACAGAGTTTCACTGTATTGGCCTGGCTGGTCTCAAACTTCTGACCTCAGGTGATTCGCCTGACTCAGCCTCCCAAAGTGCTGGAATTACAGGCATGAGCCACTGCACCCAGCCGTACTCAGCTCTTCTCTACTGCTATAGAACCTCTGCTTTTGGAAGCCTTTTTTTTCCTCTGTGTTTTAGCATATTTTGTACATATCATTTCTGTGGTACATATAATATTATATCACAGTTGATTATTCCACAGCCCAGATTCAGAACTTCTAGGGACCATGTCTTATTCTCTCTGTCATCATAACCTCGTTCAGAATCTGGTGTACTTAGCATCTGCTCACAGATGTGTGCTGAGTGAGCACATGCCTGTGCAGCATGGGGCTCTTTCACCCTGAGCATGAACTGTGATTTTTTTTACCCTGTGACTGTCTCCAGGTATCTATTTGCATGAGTGCATGATAAGCTTTAAGGAAAAAGACGAGACCAAAGTCAGGCATGGAAGATTGGGAAGACAGTAAGACGTCTGTTCTGTAAGACCTAGGCTTGATCCCTTTTAAGGAGAGGGGCTTTGGCCAATAATGAAAGAGCTGTTTCCTTGAAGATTTTGTAGGACTCTGGACACTGTCAGTGCTACCCTGGAACCCAGAAAGCACTGTGCAGTACAGGCCTGGGGAGAAGGGTGCCTTCCATTTCTCCACCATAACTGTCTGGTTCTGGGGGTGCAAAGATGCATTGAAAGAACTTCATGACAATTTGTTACCTTGAGGTACCAAAATACAGCTTTGCAAACTTGCAGAGACAGTGCTCTCAGAAGAAGAAATCTCATGGATTGCTGCAACACCAAAAATAATGGCAGTGACAAAGGCCGGGCTCTCTTGGAAGTGATCTGCAGGCAGCCAACATTTAAAACAAGGCCAGCCAGGAGGTTGAGGCTGTAGTGAGCTATGATCTTGCCATTGCACTCTAGCCTCAGTGACAAAGCAAGACCTTGCCTCTAAAAAAATAAAATAAAATAAAATAGGCCAGGCGCAGTGGCTAACACCTGTGATCCTAGCACTGTGGGAGGCTGAGGCAGGTGGATCACCTGAGGTCAGGAGTTCAAGACCAGCCTGGCCAACATGGTGAAACCCTGACTCTACTAAAAATACAAAAATTAGCTGGGCATGGTGGCGGGCACCTATAATCCCAGCTACTCAGGAGGCTGAGGCAGGAGAATCGCTGGAATACAGGAGAGGGAGGCTGCAGTGAGCCGAGATGGTACCACTGCACTCCAGCCTGGAAGACAGAGCAAGACTCCATCTCAAAAAACAAACAAACAAAAACAAAAACAAGAAAACCAACAACAACAAAAAAATTGTTTTTAACTTAAAAAGTCAAACATTTTTAAAAAAATTAAAAAGAGACCAGAGGAGAGGACCGTGAGCACACAGGGCCCCTCAGAAACCTCCCAAGACAGATGGGAAGACTTGGGGACAGAGGTTAATGACCAGCCTTCTGCAGGTGGGGTCACCCCACCAGCACCACTGGATTTAAAGGGAACATAACCTAATTTGTACTGTCTGGTGTGGCCTACGAAAGCTTGGGTTACAACTGAATAACAGTTTCATCATTTTGAATAGGGGATCTACATAAGATGCTAAAAACCACATGCTTATTAGAATTATGTTTTGATTAAGTGCCTTTATAGACATGTTAAAACATTGATTAGGTGGCTCAGGGGAGGAGAAAGTTTCCCATTTCCTGAGCTTACCACCATGGAATCAATCATTTGAGTGGGCATTGAACATGGAGTGTTCACCTTGAAAGATGAAAGTCCACAAGAGAAATGTGTTTGACAGGAGGTGGAGGAAAGGGCGGCTGTCTGTCTGCCAGAGACTTCAAAAGGGAATTTACCTTGGTGATTTCACCGCAGTCTAAGGGCTGGCCCTTAGTTTTTCAGGTTCAGAAACTGAGAAAATTGGTTTTGTCAGCACACGGAGGTAAGATCGGTTTATCGGGCTCTCAGTCACACTCACCAAGTTCACAAGAGACGGGTGTGTAAATCAAAATGCCATTTTATTAATTTACGATGACAAGTAAAATCAGCCAAGAGATCCGACACACATCCTGTTTCAAGCACGTTCTCTCCCTGTGGTGCAATCTAGGTGGGAAGTCAAGTGATCATCAGAAGACAGCCTGGAGAGGCTAGAATCAGAGTGAGAAGAGGGCGCCGGCTGCCTGATTGGAAAGTTAACTGAAGCCGATGCTTCACTCTCCACCAAAGGGATAGGAATCTCCAGACAGGTCACCCACTCCCACACAGACCTGGACGTACATGACTCCCTCTTCCTCCTGGACACGGTTTTGTCCTGTGCTGGGCACACCTCTTGTACTAGACATGTTCTTTGTTCTGCAGTGTCAATTCCATGGATTATGTTACAGCCCAGTTCTTGATCTTCTTTGACCTTGCCTCCACCCTGCCTACCAAGTGAAGCCAGGAAATAGACAGCTGTCCCAGAGCGACCCTAACTGAGCTTCAGGGTCCTCAGTGGCTATCATGTTCTGCTGAAGTTAGGAAATGTCATGTGATCACGTGTGATCTGTGTGTAAACCTAACAACCTCCCCACCCCCAACCCGGGCTTCGCCTGCCAATCTTCCAGGCAGGTTGAGTGGTGCAGAGGCTGATGAATTGATAATGATGGGTGATCAATACCTTTATCTCAGAACAGGGGCTGCCTCTTCTCTGTAAACCATTTGCTACCTTAATTCAACCCAGAGTAAGCTGTGGTTGGGAGCTGAATTGATGAGAGCACTGCTCAAGTCCTAGAATTACAGGCTCATTCCCTGCATTGGCACTCAGACATGATACCTGAAATGCTCAGGATGTTAGCTGACATCTTTGTGAAAAGGAAAAAAGTATCCTAAAGGTAACCTCTTTGGTTTGGTTTGTGGGGAAAGAAATCTTCCCTGCCTTCATAGCTTTCAGTGCTGCCCGTTTGTTCTAATGTGTTCTGACTTCCCCAGCTCAGCACTTCCTTAGACACCTCCCTCACCAACAGGATGGCCGTGTCAGCCTCCACTGGGCTTAAATTATATGAATAGACAGCAATGCAGAGAGCTTGTCATGTGCTAGACTCTCTTTGCAGCACTTTACATATTAATTCCTTGAACTTTCATAATAATCCTTTGATGTTTGGCACTATGATTTCCTTCATATTACAGATGAGGAGAGGAGACATGGAAATTAAGTAACTTGCCCAAGGTCACTAATTAATGAGTAGCAGGGCCAGAATCTAACACCGTCAGCCCACCTTCCTATCCACAGTGGTAAGCAGAGCTGAAAGATTTCTGTACATGTATTCAATTCTCCCCGTATTAAATTTTAGCTGATGATGCTAAAGTTGCCATCTGGGTTTCCAGGAATCTGCTTGAAAACTCGGGTATATTGGCCGGGCGTGGTGGTTCATGCCTGTAATCCCAGCACTTTGGGAGGCCAAGGCGGGTGGATCACGAGGTCAGGAGATCAAGACCATCCTGGCTAACATGGTGAAACCCCATCTCTACTGAAAATACAAAAAAAAATAGCTGGCTGTGGTGGCGGGTGCCTGTAGTCCCAGCTACTTGGGAGGCTGAGGCAGGAGAATGGCGTGAACATGGAAGGCGGAGCTTGCAGTGAGCCAAGATGGCGCCACTCTGCTCCAGCCTGGGCAACAGAGAGAGACTCCATCTCAAAAAAAAAAAAAAAAAGAAAGAAAGAAAGAAAGAAAGAAAATCAGGGCATATTAACAACATATATTTGCTTCTGCTGTTTGTCCATTCTTGGATAAAGCATTAATCTCCCTGGAAGTCAGTTTGTTTAAACTCAGGGGAGTAGACTACAGAATGTCTAAGCCCCCTTCTAGTTTTGACTTTCTGAGTTTACTACTGTGGTCACCATTGCCCCACTACTACTACTTTGTATTTGCATGGAGTTTAACATTGTGCATAAAAATGGAGTTTAACAATGTACATAATAATGTACATACCTACATTTTATTTTATCATTAAATGGCCACTGAGCTAAAAAGTAATTTTTATTTACTTATCTATTTCCAGAGATATCTGGTATAGTGCTGTGCATAGTAGGTACTTCTCATTTGCTTACTAACTAACTTGAACTGATTCTCACTATCATCCTGTAAGATGGGCATGGAACATTATTATCTTCACTGTACAGATGAACAAACTAATGATTAGGGGGTTTAATAAGTGACCTAAAATCATAGAGTTCCTTTTAAGCTCTCCTTTATTTCCTTTTATCCATCCCTCACTGGCATGGTAAATGCACCTGTCCTCCTACAGAAACAAATTCTCAAGCAATAAACAACAGTACAGATTTTATTTCCTAGGCAGCTGTCTGCCAGAGAAACAAGAAGATTATGCCTGGCATAATGTGTAACTTTTCTAGCTACTCATTTAACAGAACAAATTGTCCTAAGGTGGTTTTTGTGGAGCTATGAAGGGACTGAATGCTGTGAGTACGTGTCATTTTCAAATTGCATAATTGGCAGCTAAAGATGAACTTGTGATAGCATTTTGTTTACTGAATTAGAACTTCTCAGTGTTGAACAATGATTCATGCAAGATCGCCCAGGAGCTTTGTGCAATAAAAAGATAGCTCAAGTGACTCAGACTTCAACATCTTACAGTGTGTGTATGTGACTCCTTTTTTGTTATGGGGTAAAGTAGTCCAAACTTCTGCAAACCACAAATCTAATAGAGATCAAAACAGCAAGTTAAAAATTGGATCCATACTTTGGTTAAACAGGGTGTTATATAGATTCATTAATGACTTTTGCCACCAAAATTTTTCCAAAGAGATACTCTGCACATGGAGGATAAGAGCACTAAATATCTTAAGATCATCCTGAAGTTTAATTCCCTGCGGTTCTGGTCTCTGGGAACTGTTTAGCTCTTCCAAGCTTCACATTCTCCAAACTTTCAAAGGGATGTCAGCCTCAGATGGGATGATCCTCTGGGAAAACAGAGCTCCATAAATACATCAAGTCTAATTATCAGCATGAAAAATCCTTTCTGAGGATGCCTGGTGGTAGTCAGGATCAGAACACAGGAGGAAAGGAAAGGGCGGAAAGAGATGAGAGATGAAAGAATCATGTTAGCTGGAACGTGGCCCATGGCCCATCCAAACGAAAAGCGTAGACATTTATGTTTGGCTATTAGTTATCTGTGTGCTTCCTCTTCTTCCTTGTGAAATGGCTGGACTCCTCTGCAACTGCTGTGCTTTCTCTCCTTCTTTCTTTTCTCTTCTTTTTTTTTTTTTTTTTTTTTTGAGATGGAGTCTGGCTGTGTCACCCAGGCTGGAGTGCAGTGACGCAATCTCAGCTCACTGCAAGCTGTGACTCCCAGGTTCACGCCATTCTCCTGACTCAGCCTCCCGAGTAGCTGGGATTACAGGCGCCCGCCACCACCCCCGGCTAATTTTTTGTATTTTTAGTAGAGACGAGGTTTCACTGTGTTAGCCAGGATGGTCTCGATCTCCTGACCTCGTGACCGCCTGCCTTGGCCTCCCAAAGTGTTGGGATTACAGGCGTGAGCCACTGTGCCCGGCCAACTGCTGTGCTTTTTCAAAAATGCCTTTGAGGGGCAAGAAATAAATATCTAGACATAGTTTTAATGGGATATTCTTTATCCCATTCACTCACAGAAGTTCCTATGCTCAGCTAATAGATTGTGAGCCACTTGAGGGCAGGGACATTTTGTTTGACATCTCTAGCTCCTTTTTTCTCTGAATTCCTTCTTACTCTCCACGATCAGGTTCATGTTGCTTCTTGAAGGAATCTTCAGCCGAGTTCTAAATAATTTTTTAATTAGAAAATTAGGTGTGGGGAGATCATCTGGGGAGGTTCCAAGATGGCCGAATAGGAACAGCTCCAGTCTACAGCTCCCAGCGTGAGCAACGCAGAAGATGGGTGATTTCTGCATTTCCAACTGAGGTACCAAGTTCATCTCACTGGGGCTCATTGGACAGTGGGGGCAGGACAGTAGGTGCAGCCCACTGAGCGTAAGCCAAAGCAGGGCGAGGCATCGCCTCACGTGGGAAGCTCAAGGGGTCAGGGAATTCCCTTTCCTAGCCAAGGGAAGGGGTGACAGACGGTACCTGGAAAATTGGGTCACTCCCACCCTAATACTACGCTTTTCCAATGGTCTTCACAAACAGTACACCAGGAGATTATATCCCGCACCTGGCTCGGAGGGTCCCACGCCCATGGAACCTCCCTCATTGCTAGCACAGCAGTCTGAGATAGAAATGCCAGGTGGCAGCAAGGCTGGGGGAGGAGCACCCGCCATTGCTGAGGCTTGAGTAGGTAAACAAAGCCTCCAGGAAGCCCAAACTGGGTGGAGCCCACCGCAGCTCAAGGAGGCCTGCCTGCCTCTGTAGACTCCACCTCTGGGGGCAGGGCATAGCCAAACAAAAGGCAGCAGAAACCTCTGCAGACTTAAATGTCCCTGTCTGACAGCTTTGAAGAGAGTAGTGGTTCTCCCAGCATGGAGTTTGAGATCTGAGAACGCACAGACTGCTTTCTCAAGTGGGTCCCTGACCTCCGAGTAGCCCAACTGGGAGGCACTCCCCAGTAGGGGCAGACTGACACCTCACATGGCCAGGTACCCCACTGAGACAAAGCTTCCAGAGGAACCATCAGGCAGAAACATTTGCTATTCAGCAATATTCATTTTTCTGCAGCCTCTGCTGCTGATACCCAGGAAAACAGGGTCTGGAGTGGACCTCCAGCAAACTCCATCAGACCTGCAGCTGAGGATCCTGACTGTTAGAAGGAAAACCAACAAACAGAAAGGACATCCACACCAAAACCCCATCTGTATGTCACCATCATCAAAGACCAAAGGCAGATAAAACCACAATGATAGGGAAAAAACAGAACAGAAAAGCTGAAAATTCTAAAAATCAGAGCACTTCTCCCCCTCCAAAGGAACGCAGCTCCTTGACAGCAACGGAACAAAGCTTCATGGAGAATGACTTTGACGAGTTGAGAGAAGAAGGCTTCAGACGATCAAACTTCTCCAAGCTAAAGGAGGAAGTTCGAACCCAACGCAAAGAAGTTAAAAACCTTGAAAAAAGATTAGACGAATGGCTAACTAGAATAACCAGTGTAGAGAAGTCCTTAAATGACCTGACTGAGCTGAAAAACATGGCACGAGAACTACCTGATGAATACATAAGCTTCGGTAACCGATTTGATCAACTGGAAGAAAGGGTATCAGTGACTGAAGATCAAATGAATGAAATGAAGGGAGAAGAGAAGTTTAGAGAAAAAAGAGTAAAAAGAAATGAACAAAGCCTCCAAAAAATATGAGACTATGTGTAAAGACCAAATCTACGTCTGATTGGTGTACCTGAAAGTGACGGGGAGAATGGAACCAAGTTGGAAAACACTCTGCAGGATAGTATCCAGGAGAACTTCCCCAACCTAGCAAGACAGGCTAATATTCAAATTCAGGAAATACAGAGAACACCACAAAGATACTCCTCGAGAAGAGCAACTCCAAGACACATAATTGTCAAATTCACCAAAGTTGAAATGAGGGAAAAAATGTTAAGGGCAGCCAGAGAGAAAGGTCAGGTTACCCACAAAGGGAAACCCATCAGACTAACAGCTGATCTCTTGGCAGAAACTCTATAAGCCAGAAGACAGTGGGGGCCAATATTCAACATTCTTAAATAAAAGAATTTTCTACCCAGAATTTCATAACCAGCCAGACTAAGCTTCATAGGTCAAGGAGAAATAAAATCCTTTACAGACAAGCAAATGCTGAGAGATTTTGTCACCACCAGGCCTACCCTACAAGAGCTCCTGAAGGAAGCACTAAACATGGAAAGGAACAACCGGTACCAGCCACTGCAAAAACATGCCAAATTGTAAAGACCATCAAGGCTAGGAAGAAACTGCATCAACTAATGAGCAAAATAACCAGCTAACATCATAATGACAGGATCAAATTCACACATAACAATATTAACCTTAAATGTAAATGGGCTAAATGCTCCAATTAAAAGACACAGACTGGCAAATTGGATAAAGAGTCAAGACCCATCAGTGTGCTGTATTCAGGAGACCCATCTCACATGCAGAGACACACATAGGCTCAAAATAAAGGGATGGAGGAAGATCTACCAAGCAAATGGAAAATAAAAAAAGGCAGGGGTTGCAATCCTAGTCTTGGATAAAACAGACTTTAAACCAACCAAGATCAAAAGAGACAAGGCCATTACATAATGGTAAAGGGATCAATTCAACAAGAAGAGCTAACTATCTTAAATATATATGCACCTAATACAGGAGCACCCAGATTCATAAAGCAAGTCCTGAGTGACCTACAAAGAGACTTAGACTCCCACACAATAATAATGGGGGACTTTAACACCCCACTGTCAACATTAGACAGATCAACAAGACAGAAAGTTAACACAGATACCCAGGAATTGAACTCAGCTCTGCACCAAGTGGACCTAACAGACATCTACAGAACTCTCCACCCCATATTAACAGAGTATACATTCTTCTCAGCACCACATCGCACTTATTCCAAAAATGACCACATAGTTGGAAGTAAAGCACTCCTCAGCAAATGTAAAAGAACAGAAATTATAACAAACTGTCTCTCAGACCACAGTGCAATCAAACTAGTACACAGGATTAAGAAACTCACTCAAAACTACTCAACTACATGGAAACTGAACAACCTACTCCTGAATGACTACTAGGTACATAATGAAATGAAGGCAGAAATAAAGATGTTCTTTGAAACCAATGAGAACAAAGACACAACATACCAGAATCTCCGGGACACATTTAAACCAGTGTGTAGAGGGAAATTTATAGCACTAAATGCCCACAAGAGAAAGCAGGAAAGATCTAAAATTGACACCCTAACATCACAATTAAAAGAACTAGAGAAGCAAGAGCAAACACATTCAAAAGCTAGCAGAAGGTAAGAAATAACTAAGATCAGAGCAGAACTGAAGGAGATAGAGACACAAAAAACCCTTCGAAAAAATCAATGAATCCAGGAGCTGGTTTTTTGGAAAGATCAACAAAATTGATAGATTGCTAGCAAGACTAATAAAGAAGAAAAGAGAGAAGAATCAAATAGATGCAATAAAAAATGATAAAGGGCATACCACCACGGATCCCACGGAAATACAAACTACTATCAGAGAATACTATAAACACCTCTATGCAAATAAACTAGAAAATCTAGAAGAAATGGATAATTTCCTGGATACATACACCCTCCCAAGACTAAACCAGGAAGAACTTGAATCCCTGAATAGACCAATAACAGGCTCTGAAATTGAGGCAATAATTAATAGCTTACCAACCAAAACAAGTCCAGGACCAGATGGATTCACAGCTGAATTCTACCAGAGGTACAAGGAGGAGCTGGTACCATTCCTTCTGAAACTATTCCAATCAATAGAAAAAGAGGGAATCCTCCCTAACTCATTTTATGAGGCCAGCCTCATCCTGATACCAAAGCCTGGCAGAGACACAACAAAAAAAGAGAATTTTAGACCAATATCCCTGATGAACATCGATGCAAAAATCCTCAATAAAATACTGGCAAACCAAATCCAGCAGCACATCAAAAAGCTTATCCACCATGATAAAGTGGGCTTCATCCCTGGGATGCAAGCCTGCTTCAACATATGCAAATCAATAAACATAATCCAGCATATAAACAGAACCAAAGACAAAAACCACATGATTATCTCAATAGATACAGAAAAGGCCTTTGACAAAATTCAACAACCTTCATGCTACAAACTCTCAATAAATTCAGTATTGATGGGACGTATCTCAAAATAATAGGAGCTATTTATGACAAACCCACAGCCAATATCATACTGAATGGGCAAAAACTGGAAACATTCTCTTTGAAAACTGGCAGAAGACATTGATGCCCTCTCTCACCACTCCTATTCAACATAGTGTTGGAAGTTCTGGCCAGGGCAATCAGGCAGGAGAAAGAAATAAAGGCATTCAATTAGGAAAAGAGGAAGTCAAATTGTCCCTGTTTGCAGATGACATGACTGTATATTTAGATAACCCCATCGTCTCAGCCCAAAATCTCCTTAAGCTGATAAGCAACTTCAGCAGTCTCAGGATACAAAATCAATGTGCAAAAATCACAAGCATTCTTATACACCAATAACAGACAAATAGAGAGCCAAATCATGAGTGAACTCCCATTCACAATTGCTTCAAAGAGAATAAAATACCTAGGAATCCAACTTACAAGGAATGTGAAGGACCTCTTCAAGGAGAACTACAAACCACTGCTCAACCGAATAAAAGAGGATGCAAACAAATGGAAGAACATTCCATGCTCATGCGTAGGAAGAATCAATATCTTGAAAATGGCCATACTGCACAAGGTAATTTATAGATTCAATGCCATCCCCATCAAGCTACCAATGACTTTCTTCACAGAATTGGAAACAACTACTTTAAAGTTCATATGGAACCAAAACAGAGCCCACATTTCCAACAGAATCCTAAGCCAAAAGAACAAAGCTGGAGGCATCACGCTACCTGACTTCAAACTATATACAAGGCTATAGTAAGCAAAACAGCATGGTACTGGTACCAAAACAGAGATATAGACCAATGGAACAGAACAGAGCCCTCAGAAATAATACCACGTATCTACAACCATCTGATCTTTGACAAACCTGAGAAAAACAAGAAATGGGGAAATGATTCCCTATTTAATAAATGGTGCTGGGAAAACTGGCTAGCCATATGGAGAAAGCTGAAACTGGATCCCTTCCTTATACCTTAGACAAAAATTAATTCAAGATGGATTAAAGACTTACATATTAGACCTAAAACCATAAAAACCCTAGAAGAAAACCTAGGCAATACCATTCAGGACATAGGCATGGGCAAGGACTTCATGTCTAAAACACCAAAAGCAACGGCAACAAAAGCCAAAATTGACAAATGGGATCTAATTAAACTAAAGAGCTTCTGCACAGCAAAAGAAATTACCATCAGAATGAACAGGCAACATACAGAATGGGAGAAAATTTTTGCAATCTACTCATCTGAGAAAGGGCTAATATCAAGAATCTACAAAGAACTCAAACAAATTTACAAGAAAAAAACAAACAACCTCATCAAAAAGTGGGCAAAGGATATGAACAGACACTTCTCAAAAGCAGACATTTATGCAGCCAACAGACACATGAAAAAATGCTCATCATCACTGGCCATCAGAGAAAGGCAAATCAAAACCACAATGAGATACCATCTCACACCAGTTAGAATGGCGATCATTAAAAAGTCAGGAAACAACAGGTGTTGGAGAGGATGTGGAGAAATAGGAACACTTTTACACTGTTGGTGGGACTGTAAACTAGTTCAACCATTATGGAAGACAGTGTGGCGCTTCCTCAAGGATCTAGAACTAGAAATATCATTTGACCCAGCCATCTCATTACTGAATATATACCCAAAGGATTATAAACCATGCTGCTATAAAGGCACATGCACACGTATGTTTATTGCGGCACTATTCACTATAGCAAAGACTTGGAACCAACCCAAATGTCCATCAACGATAGACTGGATTAAGAAAATCTGGCACATATACACGATGGAATACTATACAGCCATAAAGAAGGATGAGTTCATGTCCTTTGTAGGGACATGGATGAAGCTGGAAACCATCATTCTCAGCAAACTATTGCAAGAACAAAAAACCAAACACCATATGTTCTCACTCCTAGGTGGGAATTTAACAATGAGAACACTTGGACACAGGAAGGGGAACATCACACACTGGGGCCTGTTGTGGGGTGGGAGAAGCGGGGAGGGAAAGCATTAGAAGATATACCTAATGTAAATGACGAGTTAATGGGTGCAGCACACCAACCAACATGGCACATATATACATATGTAACAAACCTGCACGTTGTGCACATGTACCCTAAAACTTAAAGTATAATAAAATAAAAATAAAAATAAGGTGTCAGTCAGGTGCAGTGGCCCATGCATACAATCCCAGTACTTTGAGAGGCTGAGGCAGGACGACTGCTTGAGCCCAGGAGTTCGAGACCAGGCTGGGCAACATAGGGAGACCCCGTCTCTACAAAATAGAAAATTAATGGGCAGGGTGGCCCTCACCTATAATCCCAGCTACTCAAGAGGCTGAGATGGGAGGAGATCACTTGAGCCTGGGAGGTTGAGGCTGCAGTGAGCCATGATTGCATTACTGCACTCCAGCTTGGGTGAAAGAGTGAAATCCCATCTCACAGAAAAAAAAGAAGAAGAAAGAAAATAATGTAATAATATGTCCTCCACAAATAACATTTCAGTTCACATGTTCAAGAGCTGCTGAAGGGTAATAAAACTAGGTATTTTATGGCTTTTGTTGCTATTGTGGGTTAGTTTTTCCCTTCACATTGTATCTGCTAATTAGTTATTTCTTATAGGAATGCTTATTATTTATTTATTTTTTTTTTATTTTTTTATTTATTTATTATTTTTGAGACAGGGTCTTGTTCTATCCCCCAGGCTACATTGCAGTGGCATGATCACTGCTCACTCCAGCCTCAGCCTCCTGGGCTCAGGTGATCCTCCCACTTCCGGCTCTCAAGTAGCTGGGACTAAAGGTGTGTGACGCCATGCCCAGCTAGTTTTTGTATTTTTAGTAGAGACAGGGTTTGCCATGTTGCCCAGGCTGGTCTTGAACTTCTGAGCTCAAGCAATCCATCCACCTTGGCCTCCCAAAGTGCTGGTACTACAAGTGTGAAACACCGCGCCCAGCCTCTTGTAGGAATACTTACTGCATTGATTAGGTATTGCTGCAAAAATGCCTCACAACAAACCACCCCAAAGCATAGTGGATTATAACAACAATCTTGTATTCTCATGGCCTGTGGGTCACATGGAGGCCTGCTTTAAGCTGCAGGCCCATCTGGCTGAGGAAGTTCCTGCTCCGTGGGTCTTCGTCCTTGGGCCTGGGCTGAAGATCAACAGTTCCCCCAGAGGAGCTCTTTTCCTGGTAATGGCACAAGTACAAGAGGCCAAGCAGAAAAATCAAATGCCTTTTAGAGCCTGTTGTGGGTTGAACTGTGTGCCCCAAAAAGATAGGTTGAAGTCCTAATCTCTGCCCACCTCCTACCTGTGACTGTCACCTAATTTGGAATAGGGTCTTTGCAGATGTAATTAAGTTAGGGTGAAGTCATACTAGGGGTGGATCCAAATCCAGTGACTGGTGTCCTTATAAAACGAGGGAAATGTGGGCACAGACACGCAGGGAGAATGTCATGGGACAGTGAAAGCAGATGTTACAGATACACTGACAACCAAGGAGCACCATTGCCTGCAGCCACCAGAAGCCAGGAGGCAAATGTGGAACAGTCTCTCTCTGAGCCTGCAAGAAGAAACCAACCCTAGCAAAGGCTTTATTTTGGATTTCTGGCCTCCAAAACCACCATGAGAGAATATGTTTCTGGTTTTTTTGTTTCTGTGTTTTATTTTTGAGATGGAGTTTCCCTCCTTTTGCCCAGGCTGGAGTGCAATGGCACGATCTTAGCTCACTGCAACCTCCACCTCGCCGGATCAAGCGATTCTCCTGCCTCAGCCCTCCTGAGCAGCTGGGATTACAGGTGCCCACCACCAACCGGGCTAATTTTTTTTTTTTTTTTTTTTTTGTATTTTTAGTAGAGGCGGGGCTTCACTGCGTTGGCCAGGCTGGTCTCGAACTCCTGACCTCAGATGATCCACTCACGTCAGCCTCCAGAATTGCTGGGACTACAGGCATGAGCCACTGCGCCGGCCCATTTATGTTGTTTTAAGCCACTAAATGTGTAGTGATTTGTGATGGCAGTCCCGGGAAACTAACACAGGATCTAAGCCATCACTTCTACCCACATTTCATTGGCCAAGCAAGACACATGGCTAAGCCCCAAATCAAGGCACAGAAAGAACATACTGAAGAAAATATTTTTTAAAAAATAAAAAATAATAATAAGAAAGAAAGAACATGCTGAACTATTATGAGGCACATGGATATAGAGAGGGGTGCAAAACTGGGGATAGTACTTTGATCCACCATACAAAAGATTCAGATTGGTGTTCTGAGGCATCTTTAGGCTGGACAGTAGAATCTAATGGCCAGTTACCTGGGTCTGATATTAAGAGAGAGTTGAGCTTGAATCCTTGTTCTAACACTTCCCAGCTGCATCATCTCAGGCAGATTATTTAACCTTCGAGCATCAGCTTATTTGTAAAATAAAAATAATACCTATCTTACAGGGCTCTTATTAATATTGATAGAGGAGTTAAAAAGGAATTATTTAGGCAGATAGTGAGGGTAAGGAAGTCCTCAGTAAGGTTTTCCTTTTAATGAAAAGCAGCCCCCCACATCATTTTCTTTTCTAACAAAGAGCAGCCTGTAAAATCAAGCTGCAGACATAGACAAGCAAGCTGGAAGCTTGCATGGGTGAAAGCTGACAGCTGTGCCACGAGGAAAAGGCTGCCTGGGACTACGGATGTTCAAAATGGCGGCTCCACCTTCCCTTCTCCTTTACAGCCACGTGTACCACGTGTACAGTAGGGAGCAGACAACATGGCCTCAGCCAGGCAAAGACTCCATTTGCACAATAAGATTAGGATGGGGTGGCCAGCTTCCTCTTGTGCTATGTCAACCTCACACTTCTTCCAACCAATCTGTGAGCCCTATGTAAATCAGATACCACCTCCTCAAGCCTGTCTATAAAATCCAGTGCACTGAGCCACAGGCCAGAGGTCCCACTCAGGCACCCCTGTCTCTCTCACAGAAGAGAGAGCTCTTCTCCTTTCTCTATCTTATGCCTATTAAACCTCTGCTCCTAAACCTACTTCTTGTGTCTGCATCCTTGATTCCCTTGGTGTGAGATGATGAACTCCAGGTATTTATCCCAGACAACGATGCCACTTCAATATTACATGAATTTATATTTGTGGAGTGTTTATTTCAGTTGTGAACATACAATAGGGGCCAAAAAATGCTACCTCTTACCATGATTATTGCTACAATAATACAGCAGCAAAGGACTTAGAAATATAGGTAGTATTTTTCTACTGGGACTTTAGAGGTGAGAGGAAAACTGGCTTTGCCAAAGGGAATATTTAAATGTTGATTTATGAAGCACAGTTTAAGATATGTGAATGATCCATTGGGTGGGCCTGGCTTGCATCTCATGAAGAAAAGGAAGAGCTTATTTGCCTGGAGAATACCTAGTGAGTTTCAGAGGTCTTAAAACTAAATATAAAGGAGGGTGAGATCAAGTTCCCAACTACAGAAGAATCAGGATGGGGGCTTTTCAGAAAATTCGCATGGGAAAACATTGAAGGAGGAAGGTGGCAAGGCACAAACAAGACTTGAAGCTTTGCCGTGTAAATGCCGACATATAGAGCCTTGAGGTTAAGTGGTTATAACATTAAAATATAGTCTCAGGAAGTGATTGCCTCAACCTATAAGATGGAAATCGGGATTTTATTTTATTTTATTTTGTTTTTTGAGACAGAGTCTTGCTCTGTCCCCCACGCTGGAGTACAATGGCGCAATCTTGGCTCACTGCAACCTCTGCCTCCCGGGCTCAAGCGTTTCTCTTGCCTCAGCCTCCCAAGTAGCTGGGATTACAGGCATGTGCCACCGCATCCAGCTCATTTTTGTATTTTTTAGAAGAGACGGCATTTCACCATGTTGCCCAGGCTGGTCTTGAACTCCTGACCTCAGGTGATCCACCTGCCTCGGCCTCCCAAAGTGCTGGGATTACAGGCATGAGCCACTGCACCCAGCCGGAACTCAGGATTTTAGTATGGGTGTGGGATGAATGTGCCCTTTTAGGAGGAGCCAGCTTGTAAGAGGGAGACATGGTGTGGCCCTAGGCACTGAGAAATGTTTACCTGCTAGGGAAGCTGCAAGTCTAAGGGAATTTGAGAGAACCTATGGGCAGAGGTCAAAGAAGAGCAACTCAGGACATGTTACTACTGGAGTTTTCTGTATGTTTCATAATTAGATGAAACACAGGGGCAATATCTGCTTTTAGCAGATGCCAGAAAAATAAAGATAACAGTGGAAATGTGTGGTGGAATGGGGAGAACCTCATACTTCATCACATTTAATCCTTGCAGCAACCTTATGGAGTTTGTACCTGGTAACCTTTTAATCTTCATCTTACAGGTGAGGAAACTGAGGCAATAAAAGGCTAAGTTAATTGTTGGAAGTCACACAGAAGTGGGAGAAGGGACTTCAGAGTGTGTGCTCTTCACCGAGTCTTGTTTCTGCCACGCTACCTTCCTCTCTCAGTGTTTTTCCATAGGAATTTCCTGAAAAGCCCCCATCCTTATTCCTCTGTAGTTGGGAACTTTACCTCACCCTCCTTTGTATTCTTTTTCTGTTTTAATTTGTTTTTTTTTTTTTTCAAGACAGTGTCTCCCTCTGTCACCCAGGCTGGAATGTAATGGTGGTGATCCCGGCTCACTGCAGCCTCCACCTCCCAGGTTCAGTCGATCCTCCTGCCTCAGCCTCCCTAGTAGCTGGGACCACAGGTGCACACCACCATGCCCAGCTACTTTTTGTATTTTAGTAGAGATGGGATTTCACCATGTTGGCCAGGCTGGTCTCCAACTCCTGGGCTCAAGTAATCTACCCACCTTGACCTCCCAAAGTGCTAGGATTACAGGCATGAGCCACCATTCCCGGCCTCACCTTTCTTTATATTCTGCTCCCACTGCCTAAAAGTGGATGGATTACTTCTATCTTTATGAGCATGGGACATTTTTGCAAGAAGGTGACCCTGAGACTGAAGTGGATGGTGATCGGAGCCAGCTGCTTGGTGCTGAAGGGCCAAGAAACCTGGGCTCAAGTGTCCTGTGATCAAGAATTAGGACATGAGCCAGAAGGCACATAAACAATCTATGCTTTTACCAGTTTGCAAGCAAAGTCACACCTTTGTTCAAGGAATGATAACTGCCTTCTTATTACATGTACTGACTTCATTTCCTGAACCGATTATGCAATTTTGCACCTTTGAGCCTTTGAAGAGGCTGTTTCACTGCTTGGAAATCCATTTCTTCTCTCTTCCACCTGATAGACTTCTACTCTTCCTTCAAGGGTCAGCCCGAGTGGCATCCTTTTGAAGTTTCTTCTGTCTCCCTGACCAGCTGTGAGCCCTCTAGGGCCAAGACAGTGGCTTCCTAACCTGGTCTGGGCACTTTAACACTAGCACAGGACTTGGCACAAGGTAAGTGTCAATACATGTTGAATTGCTGTACACACAAATATGAGTCCGTATGGAAGTCACCAGAAAATAATCAAAATGTAATAAGCAGAACACTGGGCTATTTGTCTAGTGTTTTGGAAGAATGCTATTGCTTATTCTAACTGAAAAGCAAAAGTTAAAGATGCATGCAACCTATTTTCTTTTGAAGGAAAATTTGTCTTGCTGCTTTTTTGCAACTAAGTAAAATATGCTTGTAAAACAATCTGTTCTGAGAATGGCAAATGTTTCAGGAAAATTTCAGGGGAATAAGTTCACTGTGATTTCATTACCTGACTTTCTTTAGATGACTGAAAAGACAAAATACGATAGAGATGAGGGGAATGGCTCCAAATATTATAGAGGAAAGCAGAATAAGCGAGCAGGAATTTGTCATTAACAAAGATTTATGCAAATCTCAAGAGCACCTTAAAAGTTAATCTTAAAAAATTCCCTTCAGTATGAGCAGATTATGATTAAGAAAATCATTCTGGCTAAATCCATGGAAAAATAAATTTTATTACATAATTTAAAGGAAAATAATATACACTTGTAATAGTGGTTTAGGATTTATTGTTTTAGGTAAAATCCTGCCAAAAATGTTTTTCATTGATATATCTTGCCTATGTGTTTTCTAGGTTATTTGTGAAAGTCCTTATTTCAGCTAAAATATGTTAGCTGTAATAAATCAATCAAAAATATTTTTCAAGCAAAATATTTTTTTTTTTTTTTTAGGAAAAACACCTGTTCTTTTTGGAAGATGAGCCAATTAAATGTTGGGTTGTCAGTCATAGACTAGGAAATGATGAGATCTAAATATACAGTTGCTTAGGTAGGTATAGAACAAAAGCAATTATCACATATAAATCTTATTACTTGATTGAGACCCTTGCTCTAATCAACTAAGAAGAAAATAAATCACCACATCTGGAGATGTGAATTTTACATATTGATCTATTTCATACTTCCTGCATAGGGTATGAAAAGAATGAACAGGCCAGGCGGCCGGTGGCTCACACCTGTAATCCCAGCACTTTGGGAGGCCGAGGTGGGCAGATCATGAGGTCAGGAGATAGAGACCGTCCTGGCTAACACAGTGAAACCCCGTCTGTACTAAAAATACAAAACATTAGCCTGGCGTGGTGGCGGGCGCCTGTAGTCCCAGCTACTCGGGAGGCTGAGACAGGAGAATGTCATGAACCTGGGAGGTGGAGCTGGTAGTGAGCCAAGATTGCACCACTGCACTCCAGCCAGGGTGACAGAGCAAGACTCTGTCTCAAAAAAAAAAAAAAAAAAAAAGAGAAGTAAATGCTCTAAAGTCTTACAACTGTGGTAGCATTCAGTTTTCTTACACCTGTTTGGCCAGTGGGAGGGAGTGATACCAGTCTTTTACTCCCACTGCCCGCAAGTTCTGGGTTCTTGTCCATGTCCATCAAAAAGGCACACAGACACCGGAGGATGAGTAAGGCAGAGTTGGATTTATTAAGGGACAGAAAAGCTCTAAGCAGAGAGAGGGAACCCGAAGGAGGGTTGCCAGCTATCAGGCTGAATCTAGGGTCTTTATGGACTGGAAAGGGGAGGAGTGTGCTGATTGGTTTGCAGGCCGTCTTGGAGAAAGCACCACTCAGAAAGAGGTATGACAGTGTAAAGAACCAACTGAAGACAGAGGTGAAGGCTTGGCCTGGGACTTTGGCCCAGAACCAACCAGGGGCTGAAGTGAAAGCTCGGCTGGAGACTTTGGACCCAGACCAATTAGGGGCTGAAGTGATGATTCACCCTATGTAAATGGAGACTCAGCCCATGGCCAATCACAGAAAGATAGGCATATGTAAAATAGGTGAAAAGTAAGAGCCAAAAAGGAGTGGAATTTGGTCATCTGGTATCACAGAGTTGGTGTTTTCATCCAAGGATGCGGGCTCTTTCTTATCTAAGGCCTGCAGTTTAATTTCCAGGCTATTCTCTGCTTGAAGGAGTTTTACCAAGGACCCATCCTAACTGCCTGCCTGACTGGTTTCTTCCTTCCCTCCCTCTCAGGAGAGCTGGAATTAGGACCTAGGTTGGACCCTGGAGTTCTTCTTGCATGTGAACACGACATTACTGTATGCTACTTCCCATTTAAATTGCTCCTGCAAAAATCCCACCAGTCAATCTAGGCCATGTTTGAATGCTTTCATGACATTAGTGACTCTATAAGATCAGAGATGGTGTGATTTTTTTCCTGATAACTATCTTCAAGATATTGCACATAGCCTTGCTAGCTGTTCATTACTTGTGGCTGCTTGTATTTTTTATGTTTGTTGTTTTGGGGGTTTTTTTGAGACTGGGTCTCACTCTGTTATCCAGGTTGGAGTGCAGTGATGTATCATAGCTCACTGCAGCCTTGACCTCCCAGGCTCAAACAATCCTCCTGCCTCAGCCTCCCAATAGCTAGGACTATGGGCATGCACCGCCATATCTGGATAATTCTTACATTTTTTGTAGAGATGGGGTCCCTCTATTTCCCCGGGCTGGTCTCGAACTCCTGGCCCCAAGTGATCCTCCCACCTGTGCCTCTGTAATCCTGTTGGGATTATAAGCAAGAGCAACCATGCCCAACCAAGCACAAGCACATTTGTTAAATGAACAAACTCTCCTAATAGGACTTGGGTATATCAAACGTTGATGTGTATGGAACTTGAGCAAATCCATATAACTATATTAGTCTTCTGCTCCATTAAGAAGCACAGCTTTTAACAGATGAGAAACACAGAAGCCTAAAAGGATTGAAGGAATTAACCAGATGTGTATAGCAGCCAGTGGCTTATACCAGGTCGCTTCTCTCTCAGGACTATGCTTGATGCCAAAAACACACTCTGTCTCCTTGGTCTCTGATTTTCTGTCTCTCCATCCCTATTTCCCTTTCCATCTCCTGCTTCATCTTTCTCCCTTGTAAGACAGAGGCAGAGACTATACCATTTTGCATACCTTAACTATCTTTAAATTCCCAGAACTTAGGCAGCTTTATTTTATTTTTTTGAGACAGAGTCTTGCTCTGTGGCCCAGGCTGGAGTGCAGTGGCGTGATGTCAGTTCACTGTAACCTCCGCCTCCAGGATTCAAGTGATTCCCCTGCCTCAGCCTCCTGAGTAGGTGGGATTACATGTGTGCACCACCATGCCTGGCTAATTTTTGTATTTTTAGTAGAGGCAGAGTTTCACCATGTTTACCAGGCTGGTCTCAAACTCCTGACCTCAAGTGATCCTCCCACCTTGGCCTCCCAGAGTGCTGGGAGTACAGGCGTGAGCCACCACACCCGGCCCCTAGGGGGCTTTTAAAAATACTTGTTAAGTAAATGAATGAGTCATTAACTAAAACATATATTTTGACCTCAAACACCATCATTCTTTCCTTTTGTGGACCTGAGACCACTTTCTGCGATATAAATGGTTTCTTTAAGCCATACTTTTGTGAAACAGCATGGAGAAGCTGCAGGAAAAAACCAACAAAAAAAAACTTACCTGACGTAATTTGATGACCTGCTCAAGTCTGTAGTTACTTATTTTTTAATCACTGAGAAATTGTACCTGTGTTAGCTGATTTGCTTCCTCGTCTCATTGATTAGTATAGCTGAGTGTAATGTTCAGTACTCTGATCTTACATTAGCCTTCCAGAGAACCTCTGAAGCAATCAGGACCAATGCACAGATGGAGTGGGACTACATCGAATTCCACCTTTTCTGAAAGCCACTGACAGTCCCCCACACGTGGCTCTTTGTGTTCTCGGACATAAAGAAACAGATTTTTTTCCCCCTACAAATCACAAAGCTTCCATTTTGTAAAAATGCAGGTCATGTACGATAGCAGGTGCAGAATTGCCAATGGAATTCCAGCTCTAAGGACCATATTGCAGCTCTTTCATGCTTATAAATGTGCTTCCTTGCTCTTTAGGGAGATTTCAAGAATAAATTTGGGAAATATTAAAAGGCCAGCACCTTGTGCTCATCTGTAATCGAGCTAATATGTGGGCTTTCTTTGGATGAGCTTCTTCTTGTTTTGGGAATGAGGTGGTTAAGGTACCTTTAATGATTCCTGCCAGGTTTTGTCTGAAAGAAAAGTATTTTTGCAGGCAGCATTAGACATCTGCTGTGAGCTAGCAATGCCAACATTAGCAGTAGGAATGAAGAAAGCCTCTCAATACTTCGAACAAACTCAAGTTTGTTGGGGAGAGACTTTTCAGAGACACTATCTTCCCACCCTACCTGCCTACAAAAGAAATCTGTGCCTGCAGGCTGCTCACACATGCACAAGTCAATGTCATCACAGGCCGTTTCCGTCTAACATGAAGAGCTTCCAAAGACAAGGAAGCTCAGCGTCTGCTCTTAGTGCCTGTTTTATGTTGCACCATAAGCAAGCAAGTAAATAAATGGAGGATAACCACCCCTCCCATTCTGAAAGTATAGCAGGAAGAGTATAGCAGGAAGAGCACAGGGCAGACAAACCTAAGAACCTGCGTCACCCAGTGCTATTTGGGAAAGTGACGAAGGTGAAAAAAGGTGAGGTGAGGCACTCACATGGTCACAGTAAGACAGCCTGGGCTGTAATGCGTTCATTTGTCAATTCTTGCAGCCCTCATTATGTTCGCCTCATTTGGCTGTAGGAGTTTCGGGGGACTTGCCCCGAAAATCACGTAGGTTCTTTTCTATTTTCCTAAGCGTCGGCTGGCTTGAGAAATAAAGGGACAGAGTACAAAAGACAGAAGTTTTAAAGCTGGGCATCTGGAGGAGACATCACATGTTGGTAGGATCTGTGATGCCTCACAAGCCATAAAAACCAGCAAGTTTTTATTAGGGAGTTTCAAAAGGGGAGGGAGTATATGAATAGGTGTGGGTGACAGACATCAAGTACTTCACAGGGTAATAGAATATCACAAGGCAAGTGGAGACAGGGCGAGATCACAGGGCCACAGGACCGAGGCAAAATTAAAATTGCTAATGAAGTTTTGGGCACCACTGTCATTGATAACATCTTATCAGGAGACAGGGCTTTGAGATCAACCGGTCTGACCAAAATTTATTAGGCGGGAATCTCCTCTTCCTAATAAGCCTGGGAGCGCTATGGGAGACTGGAGTTTATTTCACCCCTGCAGTCTCAACCATAAGAGACAGGTACGCCCTGGGGGGCCAGTTCAGCGACCTACCCCTAGGTGCGCATTCTCTTTCTCAGGGATATATCATGCTGAGAAAAAGAATTCAGCAATATTTCTCCCATTCGCTTTTGAAAGAAGAGAAATATGGCTCTGTTCTGCCCGGCTCACCGGCAATCAGAGTTTAAGGTTATCTCTCTTGTTCCCTGAACAATTGCTGTTATACTGTTCTTTTTTCAGGGTGCCCACATTTCATATTGCTCAAACACACATGTTGTACAATTTGTGTAGTTAACGCAATTATTACAGGGTCCTGAGACGATATACATCCTTCTCAACTGACAGGATTAAGAGATTAAATTAAAGACAGGCATAGGAAATCACAAGAGTATTGATTGCGGAAGTGATAAGTGTCCATGAAATTTTTACAATTTATGTTTAGAGATTGCAGTAAAGCCAGGCATAAGAAATTACAAAAGTATTACTTTGGGGAACTAATAAATGTCCATAAAATCTTCACAATCCACATTCTTCTGCCATGGCTTCAGCTGGTCCCTCCGTTTGGGGTCCCTGACTTCCCGCAACATAGGAGGGTTGGGGTCTCTGTTTTCTACAACTTTTCTAGGTAATTCTGACTCTTAAGAAGATTTTCTAGGTCATGGTGATAACGGTCCATTTTTCTTCATAGTCCAGAAGGCTGCACCTTCTTTCTCTTGTCCACATCCCAAGAGGAGGCAGAAGTGCCATTGCCCAAGCTGGGGAAGAGGAAGCCACACCTGCACAGAACTTAATGGTTTAAAAGTGCTTCCCAGCCAGGCGCGGTGGCTCACGCTCATAATCCTAACACTTTGGGAGGCCAAGGTGGATGGATCACTCGAGGCCAGGAGTTTGAGACCAGCCTGGTCAACATGGCAAAACCCTGTCTCTACTAAAAATACAAAAACTAGCCGGGTGTGATGGCACACCCCTGTAATTCTGTCTACTCAGGAGGCTGAGGCAGAAGAATTGCTTGAACCTGGGAGGCAGAGTTTGCAGTGAGCTGAGATTGCACTACTGCACTCCAGCTTGGGTGACAGAGTGAGACTCTGTCTCAAAAAAAAAAACAAAAAACAAAGTGCTTCCCCACTTTCTGATTTTGCTCTCTTCATAACCATGTGAGAGACTCACTATGGGAAGTATCCTTTTTTTATGGATGAAGACACAGAAGAGCAGACGGCTGGATGACTCTGCTGGGGCCTCAGGGCTCATAAGTGGCAGAGGCAGAGGTGGCTTGAATCCAGGTGTCCCCACTCAGCAATTCTAGTAAGCATGTTCTCTAAAAGCAGTGTCTACTCACCAGGTTTCCTTTGCTTCTTTTTAGGGTGACATGTTGGCGGTTAGGACAATGGACAGGCCAGAGATTGTGGTCAAAAGATGTCTCCTGTTCTGTGCGTGCACTCCATAGCTTCCCAAGAGCCACCCCCTTCACCCAGAAGGTTCCCAGGCCTGCTGTCTGGTTTTGGAAACTGGTTATACCTCAGCTTCCAAGCAAATACTCTTCTCTTTTTATCTTGCCTATAGCATTACTGCAGTGCCCACCTTCACTAATATCACTCCAAGTCTCTCAGATACAGGGTAGGTCTTTATTTCTTGACATAACATTTTACTTTCATTAAATTATTATGAGCTCATTGGCTTTTTAAATTTTTATTTTTATTTCAAGAGTTTTTGGGATACAGGTGCTTTTTGGTTACATGGATAAATTCTTCAGTGATGATTCTGAGATTTTAGTGAACCTGTCTCCGAGCAGTGTACACTCTACTCAATGAGTAGTTTTCTATCCCTCACCATCCCACCCCACCCTTCCCCTCTGAGTCACCAAAGTCCATTGTATCATTCTTATGCCTTTACATCATCATAGCTTAGCTCCCACTTATAAGTGAGAACATAACGGTATTTGGTTTTCCATTTCTGAATTACTTCACTTAGAAAAATGGTCTCCAGCCCCATCCAAGTTGCTGCAAAAGACATTATTTCATTCCATTTTAGAGCTCTTTTTTTTTTTTTTTGACAGATTCTCACTCTGTCCCCAGGCTGGAGTGCAGTGGTGCGATCTTGGCTCACTGCAACCTCTGCCTCCCAGGTTCAAGTGATTCTCCTGCCTCAGCCTCCCTAGTAGCTGGGACTACAGCTGTGCACCACCATGCCCAGCAAATTTTTGTATTTTTTAGTGGAGACAGGGTTTCACCATGTTGGCCAGGGTGGTATTGATCTCTTGACCTCGTGATCCACCCACCTCAGCCTCCCAAAGTGCTGGGATTACAGGCGTGAGCCACCTCATGCAGTTGAGCTCACTGGTTTTAAAGAAATCATACACAACTAAAACGTTCATCTTAGGGGTTGGCATCAGTTTCTTTTCCCACCCCTTTTCACCTCCAGTTTTCTTTCCTAGAAACAAGCCCTTTCAGATGTGAAGGACCTCTTCAAGGAGAACTACAAACCACTGCTCAACAAAATAAAAGAAGACACAGACAAATGGAAGAACATTCCATGCTCATGCATAGGAAGAATCAATATCATGAAAATGGCCATACTGCCCAAGGTAATTTATAGATTCAATGCCATCCCCATCAAGCTACCAATGGCTTTCTTCACAGAATTGGAAAAAACTACTTTAAAGTTCATATGGAACCAAAAAAGGGCCCGCATTGCCAAGACAATCCTAAGCCTAAAGAACAAAGCTGGAAGCATCACACTACCTGACTTCAAACTATATACAAGGCTATAGTAACCAAAACAGCATGGTACTCGTACCAAAACAGAGATATAGACCAATGGAACAGAACAGAGCCCTCAGAAATAATACCACGCATCTACAACCATCTGATCTTTGACAAACCTGACAAAAACAAGAAATGGGGAAAGGATTTCCTATTTAATAAATGGTGCTGGGAAAACTGGCTAGCCATATGGAGAAAGCTGAAACTGGATCCCTTCCTTATACCTTAGACAAAAATTAATTCAAGATGGATTAAAGACTTAAATATTAGACCTAAAACCATAAAAACCCTAGAAGAAAACCTAGGCAATACCATTCAGGGCATAGGCATGGGCAAGGACTTCATGTCTAAAACACCAAAAGCAATGGCAACAAAAGCCAAAATTGACAAATGGGATCTAATTAAACTAAAGACCTGCACAGTAAAAGAAACTACCATCAGAGTGAACAGGCAAACTACAGAATGGGAGAAAATTTTTGCAATCTACTCATCTGACAAAGGGCTAATATCCAGAATCTACAAAGAACTCAAACAAATTTACAAGAAAAAAACAAACAACCTTATCAAAAAGTGAGTGAAGGATATGAACAGACACTTCTCAAAAGCAGACATTTATGCAGCCAAAAGACACACAAAAAAATGCTCATCATCACTGGTCATCAGAGAAAGGCAAATCAAAACCACAATGAGATACCATCTCACACCAGTTAGAATGGCGATCATTAAAAAGTCAGGAAACAACAGGTGTTGGAGAGGATGTGGAGAAATAGGAACACTTTTACACTGTTGGTGGGACTGTAAACTAGTTCAACCATTATGGAAGACAGTGCGGTGCTTCCTCATGGATCTGGAACTAGAAATACCATTTGACCCAACAGTCCCATTACTGGATATATACCCAAAGGATTATAAATCATGCTGCTATAAAGACACATGCACACATATGTTTATTGTGGCACTATTCACAATAGCAAAGATTTGGAACCAACCCAAATGTCCATCAATGATAGACTGGATTAAGAAAATGTGACACATATACACCATGGAATACTATGCAGCCATAAAAAAGGATGAGTTCATGTCCTTTGTAGGGACATGGATGAAGCTGGAAGCCATCATTCTCAGCAAACTATTGCAAGGACAGAAAACCAAACACCACGTTTTCACTCATAGGTGGGAATTGAACAATGAGAACACATGAACACAGGAAGGGGAACATCACACATCGGGGAATGTTGTGGGGTGGGGGGAGGGGGGAGGGATAGCATTAGGAGATATACCTAATGTAAATGACGAGTTAATGGGTGCAGCACACCAACATGGGACATGTATACATATGTAACAAACCTGCACATTGTGCACATGTACCCTAGAACTTAAAGTACAATAATAAAGAAAAAAAAAGAAACAAGGCCTTTCAACAATTTTAGGTAATTCTTCTGATATTTGTCTCCGTATTTTCTACATAATATGCATGTTCTGCTATTTATGCATCAGTTTTAGATGGTGTTCACTGACTCTGTTAAGGGATGTAGGTTTTTAGCTCTTGTATCTCTACCTGTTTGCCTTTCCTTTGCTCCAATATGGCTATACCCCAATTTTTTTTTTTTTTTTTTTTTGAGATGGAGTCTCGCTCTGTCACCCAGGCTGGAGTACAGTTGCGCTATCTCGGCTTCCTGGGCGATCTCGGCTTCCTGCAAGCTCTGCCTCCCGGGTTCATGCTATTCTCTTGTCTCAGCCTCCTGAGTAGCTGGAACTGCAGGTCCTCACCACCACGCCCAGCTAATTTTCTGTATTTTTAGTAGAGACAGGGTTTCACCGTGTTAGCCAGTGAGGTCTCGATCTCCTAACCTCATGATCTACCAACCTCATGATGTGGCCTCCCAAAGTGCTGGGATTACAGGCGTGAGCCACTGTGCCTGGCCATCCAACTTTTAAATATTAATTTATTTTAATTAATTTAAATTATTGATGTTTTTACATTATATAAAATTTATTGCTGATCCAAATATTGTGATTCATTTTTGTATTAGTTATTTATTGCTGCAAAACTAATTACATCAAAACTTAGCAACTTAAAACAATAATTAACCTTTATTATCTCACACAGTCTGTGGGTCTTGAATTTGAGAATAGCTTAGTTGTGTAGTTCTGGTTTGGGAGTCTCTCAGGAGATTTCAGTCAAGATGTCAATCCCACACCAAGAGGTGGAATCAACCTAAGTGTCTATCAGCAGATGAATGGCTAAAGAAGATGTGGCATATATACACAATGACATATTAGCCATAAAAAATAATCTGGTAATTTGCAACAACATAGATGGAATTGGAGGACATTATGTCAAGTGAAATGAGCCAGGCACAGAAAGACAAATATCATGTGTTCTCACTAATATGTGGAAGCTATAAAAAAAAAATTGAACTAATGGAAACAGAGAATAGAATGATGGTTACCAGAGGCTGGGAAGGGTTGGTTACCAGAGGCTGGGAAAGGTAGTGGAGAGGAGGGCTAAACAGGGGATGATTGATGGGTACAAAAAATACAATCAGACAGAAAGAATAAGATCTAGTTTTCAGTAGCACAATAGGGCAACTATAGTTAAGAAAGATTTATTTTGTATTTCAAATTAATTAAAAGAGTGAGATTGGGATGTTCCTAGCACAAAGAAATGATAAGTGCTTGAGGTGATGGATACCCTAATCACCCCAGTTTGATCATTACATGTCGTAGGCTTGTATCAATGTCACAAGTACCCTATAAATATGTATAACTTGTGCATCTACAGCAATTACAAATGAACTATTTTAAAAAGAAAAAATATCAATCCCAATAATTTATATCTCTCACACATGCAAAGTTCACTCACCTGCCTCCTAAGGTCCCCCAAAGTCTTACCCCATTACAGCATCAGCCAGAAGTCCAGTATGTCATTCTCTAAATTGGGTCCAGGGGAAAATAAAGCTTCTCAGGGGTGGTTCTTTAATAATAGCTCTTCAAACACAGTTCCTCTTAATTGGAAGACCTGTGAATTAAAGAGAGAATTTGTCTGCAGCCACACACCCAACACACATTGGTGAAACAGGAATATGAAAACTGCTAGAACCCTCCCAGTAAAAAGGAAGAAATGAGAAAACATACAGGAGACAGTGGGCCATAGCAATTCTTAAATCAAGCACGATGCAGTTGACAGTTTCTTAGTTAAGACTCAAGACCTGGGCAGGACTTTTAATGGCTCTTGGCTATGCCCACTGAACATTTGTTTCCACTTTCAGAATCATTCTTTCATTTCCATCAAAGGTAGCCCATGTATACAGCTGAGATGTTTTCTCAGCCTGCTTTCTGCCTGTAGAAGTTTGGGGACCCTAAGTCCTCTTTATAATTTGTTCTCTTTCTATTCCTTTTAGTTCAAGCTGGAGGTATTTTAGCCAACACAATTCTTATAAAATCGTTATATATCTCCCATGAATCTTATTGGGGTTTATGCCATTAGACAAAAGCCATATCCAGGAATTTCTTTGATATAAACCTTCTCTACTTTGGGCTTTTGCTGAGATGAGGAAAGGACAATGCCCTTAGCCTTCTTAGAAGCCTTGTCTGACTAACAGTGGCTTGAGGGCTGGGCACGGTGGCTCACACCTGTAATCCCAGCACCTTGGGAGGCTGAGGCAGGCAGATTACCTGAGGTCAGGAGTTCGAGACCAGCCTGGCCAACATGGTGAAACCTCGTCTCTACTAAAAATAAAAAATTAGCTGGGTGTGGTGGCACACGCCTGTAATCTCAGTTACTTGGGAGGCTGAGGCAGGAGAATTGCTTGAGCCCAGGAGACAGAGGTTGCAGTGAGCCGAGATCGTGCCACTACACTCCAGCCTAGGCGACAGAGTGAGACTGTGTCTCAAAAAACAACAACAATAAAAATAAAAACAGTGGCCTGAGACATTGCTTTAGATATATTTGAAGTTCTAACAGTTGTTTTTGTTACAACCAGACCCTCAGCTTCATCTTTATATCATGTTTTCCTGACACTTCAGTGGATTTTATCTTTGTATAGATGCCATTTCTTAATTTTAGGATCATTTGCCACCTAGAGATGCTGGGAATTTTCAAACTATCAAGTTCCATCTTTGTTTTGCTTAAGAGTCTTTCTGTGGCCTCTCTATGCTCACATTTTATTTTTATCAGAAAAAGGAAACCATGTGGTACCATCCACATTCTGCCAGGAAACCTCCTCAGCTAGATTACCTACCTCATTAGGTAGTTTTTAATTTTTCCATGTTAGGACAGGCAAAAGTATTGCTAAACTTTCTGCTGTTTTATAACAAGGATTCTCGTTTCTCCATTTTAAAATAACATTTCCCCTACTTTTTTTTTTTGTTCTCAAAGGCCATCAGGCTTCTACTAACAATATCTGTAATATTCTTTAGGCTTTCATTAACACTACCCTCAAAGTCCTTCCAGCTCTTAACCAATACTCAGTCTAGATTTACACCCACATTTTTAGTTTTTTGTCATGACTTGCTCAACTTCCAGGTACCGAAGCCTTCATACTCAAAATGAACTCCAAAACTTAGCACCTTAAAACAATATTACACATTGTACATAGTTTCTGTGTGTCAGGAATTCAGGAGTGATGTAAGCTGGTGGTTCTGGTTTGGGGGTCTCTCATGAACTTACTGTCAAGGTGTTGACTGGGGACTGAAGTCACTTGAAGGCTTGACTGTGTAGAGTATCTTCCAAGGTGGCTCAGTCCAATGGTTGGCAAGGTATGCTGGTGTTGGCTGGGTCCTGGCCCTAAGGATGCTTGAGTGTTATTGTTAATTGTATCATGAGAGCTGGCTTCTTCCAGGGCAATTGATTTAAGAGAGCAAGCTGAAAGCCCCAATTTCTCTTTATAACCTAGCTTTAAAACTCACATGCCACCATTTCTGCAAAATCCTAGTTGTTACATGGTCAGCCCTACTGAATATGGGAGGAGATTATACAAGGATATGAAAACCAGGATGCAGGATCATCAGGGACTATCTCAGAAGCTGGCTGTTAGTATCTTTTCTCATTATTTTTTCCTATAATTAATAATTACCTGATTTGTTTATCTGATTAGCTTTACATGTCTTAATCTTTATTTTTTCTCTAAGGCTTCATCATCTTTCAAATACCTGGGAATTATTTTTGCACAGCTTGAAATGTATTAGATTATTTCTGCTTCCATTGTTTTCTTATGAACATTATCCTTCATGTCCTCCATCTTTTTTTTTTTTTTTTTTTTTGGTGGACGGTGGGGGATGGAGTCTCACTCCGCTGCCCAGGCTGGAGTGCAGTGGTGCCATCCTGACCCACTGCAGCCTCCACCTCCTGGGTTCAAGTGATTCTCCCACTGCAGCCTCCTGAGTAGCTGGGACTACAGGCACCCGCCACCATGCCTTGGCTAACTTTTGTATTTTTAACAGAGATGGAGTTTCACCATGGTGGCCAGGCTGGTCTGGAACTCTTGACCTCAAGCGGTCCCCCGGCCTCGGCCTCCCAAAGTGCTGGGATTACAGGCATGAGCCACCATGCCCAGCCGTATTTCTCCATCTTTCTGCTCCGTCCAGGCTCATTCCTTCCTAAGCTTGATGCACAGTTGCGATCCCAGGACTTCCCTTCACTGCAATTCTGTATTACAACTCTTGTTTACTGGATCCCACATTTTCCTCTTTGTTGGTTTTCTTGTTTATTTTTGCCAAAGCACAGGCTACCCGGAGTTTGAAGAACAGTATGTGGGAGAAGAAGTTTGTGAGTTCTGTGTTTGAAATGTCTTATTCCACCCTCACTTGTTCCTTGGCTGTCTTCGCACTCGTACCGGGTGCAGTTTGTCAAACTGTAGTCTCCTCTGTAAGGTATCAAGGAGCATATGGGTTTTATTTTTGTTTTTCCATTGGTAAACTCTCAATTTTCATTGTGCAGAGATCATTCCTCTGGAGCCGATTAGTTTCTCCAAAGAAGAATCTTTCATTCTCTTCCCTGGGGTGGGAGGGATGTGCCCGTGACTGCTGCCTTCCAGGAGCAGGGCCGAGGTGGAGGGCTGGGGGCCTCACAGTTCAGCAGCAGGCAGGCCTTGTAACACCCTGAACTGCGGCATGAGGCCTCCTGTGTCTTCAGCTGCTCCCCTAATCTTCAGTTCAATTTCTCCAGAAAACAAAACAAATATTTCCCATTGCTTATGGGAGAGTGAGCTGAGGGGTGGTTACCTGACTCTTCAGAGTGGGCTGGATCCTGCTGGTTCAGCAGCTCAGCATGGAGCCTTCCAAAGGCCTCACCTGTTTATCATCACCCACCTCCATCTGAACTCCTTTACAATCTACCTTTCCAGTCAGAGCTAAATCAATCCCCCACCTGCTTTCTGTATCCTCATCCCACCCCTTTATATAAATATCTTAGCTTCTGTTTTTTTCACTTTTCCAGGGTCATTCTCTTTGACCGTGGGTAAATACCTTTCAAAAAATTGATTTACTGTTTATTTATTTTGAAATAGGATCTCCTTCTGTCACCCAGGCTGGAGTGCAATGGTATGATCACAACTCACTGCAGCCTTGACCTTTGGGGCTTAGGCGATCCTCCCACCTCAGCCTCCTGAGTAGCTGGGATTACAGGCGTGTGCAACTATGCCTAGCTGATGTTTTAAAAAAGAAATTTTGTCAAAACAGGGTCTTGCAGTACAGCCAAGGCTGGTCTCAAACCCCTGGGCTGAAGTGATCCTCCTGCCTCAGTTTCCCAAAGTGCTAGGATTACAGACATGAGCCACTGCGCCTGGCTGCTGTGTTTTAAATTGGCATTTTGGAACAAAAGAAAAGAAAAAAAACATGTGTGATCATTTCTTTATGCATCACTGTAAGTACAGGTAATGGTTTTCAATTTGTGAAACAACAACGTAACACAAAAACTCAAACCAAAGAAAGTCGACCTATAACCACTCCAGATAGGGAGCAAAAACCTACTAATGTTGCCCAAGTGAGGCTGGCTCTTACAGCCCCTGTATTCTGCAAGATGGATTTTTATACCTTCCCTGAACAGGAAAGTTCCATCCCTTTTCCAGCACCCAGCCTGCTCTCAAGCATCTGTAGCTAGCGCTGCCGATACAGACCTCCCAACCAAAGAAAGCAGATGGCTTGCAGGCACTGATTAATTACCATTCTTCCTCCGCTTAGGTTTCCAGCTGTGGTTTACTTTCTCCTTCCTGGCACGGAGGCATGTCTTCTGGTTTCTTTGCTTCCCAGCAAAATGTCAGGAGCAGTCCTGTCTTTTACTAAGTCTCTTCCAGTCACCAGCTCCACATTGCTGGTGATCAGCATTGCTTTTTGGCTTATCTCAAAGCTACTATGTGGCAATAACTTTCATCTGTGACGGAATAAAACAAATCCGCCCTCGTCTGTTTCCTTGACCTCCGATTGCATGATGGAGCAAACAGGAAGCAGAAAGTCAAATGAAAGGAAACCTCCATAGGTCAAATAAATCTTTCTGTCTGTCTTCTGGAGCTGGACCCATGACAGAAATCACCTCTGGGGTTTAGCTCCCTGTTCAGCCTGATTTTAAGTTACAGGGCACATCCCAAACCAAAATGGGGTTATGAATAATGAAGCATTGGAGTCTGGCATATGGCTGGCCACATTTGTTAGCATGGAAGTAATCCATCTTGCCACATGATTTTGGGGATTTAGCAGGCTCTCCTAATCACCTGTTTTCTCTAAGCAGGGGTTCTGAAACAGAAATGTGTTGTACATAAGGATCGCCCTGGAAACTTTGACATAAGACATATGTCCAGACTCTACCCCGGGAGGTTATTCAAGGCAAGGCATTTGTGTTTTGAAAACAGCTCTTGGCCAGGCACGGTGGTTCATGCCTATAATCCCAGCACTTTGGGAGGCCGAAGTGGGCGGATCATGAGGTCAGGAGATCGAGACCATCCTAGCTAACACGTTGAAACCCCGTCTCTACTAAAAATACAAAAAAAAAAAAATTAGCCGGGCGTGGTGGCGGGCGCCTGTAGTCCCAGCTACTTGGGAGGCTGAGGCAGGAGAATGGCATGAACCTTGCAGTGAGCCAAGATCGCACCACTGCACTCCAGCCTAGGCAACAGAATGAGACTCTGCCTCAAAAGAAAAGAAAAGAAAAGAAAAGAAAAGAAAAGAAAAGAAAAGAAAAGGAAAGAAAAGAAAAGAAAAATGAAAACAGCTCTCTTGGTGATTTTGGTTAAGAAGCACTGTTCTAAAGAAATACCTAATGTGAAAGAGGCAACACAGTATAATGATTATTAAAAAATAAAAACTCTGGATGATTAGGTGTAGGCCCGGGGCCTGGCTAAGTTGTTTTCTCTCATTAGTCAGGAGACCATATAATACATCATCCACATTAGGACATATTTGAAAGGAAAAGAGGGAGCTATTAATAATCGTGTCAGGACAAGATGCATACATTGAGGCCGTGTGGACACACCAGTCACCGTACTCATTAGTCAAATGCGAGATTGAAGTAGAGAACTCTGAGGTCCCTTTCAGACTGATGATTGTGTAATTTATGACAACTGGGACAAGTCCATGCAGGACAGAGTCTCATTCTAAGTGCAAGCAAGACAGAGCTGTTGAGGCGTCATCTACACTCAGGAGGGCTGAGATGGGCAGCATCCACACCTCAGAGGCTGAGACCCGATGGCACGTGAGGCTTAGGGGCCAGGCAGATCAAGCTAATAGGAGGAAGTGACCCTTCTAGGGCAGAGGCCCCAGAAAGCATGGGTCAGGAGGGGCAGATTCGCAATCAGTGTTGATCAGAGGCAGCTGCTATTGCCATCAGAACCCCCAAGGTGTTATTTGAGGTCTACTGACTTTTACACATGCTTCTGGGTCATATTCAGTGTGATACTCTTAGACATTTACACACATTTCTGTATTATCTCCCATACGTGACACAAACAATCTGTACAGCCATCTCCTTGGTGCCTCTGCCATGTGGCACAATTAGGGAAAAGGGTATTTAGGGTAATCTAATGTTCTAGTTAATTATAAATTAGTATATAAATTATACCATAAACGACTGGGTGCGGTGGCTCACACCTGTAATCCCAGCACTTTGGGAGGCCTAGGCGGGTGGATCACCTGAGGTCAGGAGTTGGAGACCAGCCTGACCAACATGGAGAAGCCCCATCTCTATTAAAAATACAAACAATTAGCTGGGCGTGGTGGCGCATGCCTGTAACCCCAGCTACTCCGGAGGCTAAGGCAGGAGAATTGCTTGAACTCAGGAATAGGAGGTTGCAGTGAGCCGAGATCGCACCATTGCACTCACAAATTGTACCATACACAAATGACCAATTTTCTAAAAATCAAAGAGTAACAAAATACCCCAACCCCCACCAAAACTCTGATGGTTTTATCTGCCATGTTTTAGAAAGCACTGCAGTGTCACAATAAAGATCACTGCAGCTGGGAAAGGTCAGCTTAATCTAATCTGTGGTATCGACAAGTTTCCATGAACACGGAAGAGTTAAGTTGGGTGTAGTTTGTTTTTTAGGATTTTTTTTCTACTGTATTTCTTATGTTGGGGCTTATCAAGTGTGAATTAGTGGAAATCTTTAGGGTGGGATATCGGGACAGACGGAGAGGGCATGAGCAGATGACTACTGTTTCAAAGCCAGTATTTTATCATTTCTGAGAGGTGGGCTGAGCTGGCTTGTTTGTGCAGCTTTAGGCATCAGGGGAATGAGCAGAGATTTGAGGAGAGAGGCAAACAGAGACAGAGCAAGAGAAGACAAAGAGAAGGAAGGAAGACCGAGAGACAGAGGGGGGAAAGGAGTGAGGAAAAGAAAGGGGGGAAACAGAGGAGGAGGAGGGAAAAGAGAGACAGAGACAGAGAAAGCATGATAACATAAACAGAGAAGCAAACAGAAAGATGTGGACAGACACCGAGAAGGAGAGACATACATGAATAGTTAGATGTACACACATGAGCGTGCACACACATGAGCATGTCTCTGGGAAAAAGAAAGGTAAGTCCAAGGTTAGAATTTATAGTCAAAACCTTGGAAAGGCTTGTATTGGAACATAGGAAATGGAACAGCTCACACAGTTGCTGAAGCTGTTTTGATGAACACAGTCCAGTTCGTTTCATGTAGATCTAAGCTCACGCTGTTTGGAAGGAAATTGCTCACTGCAGCTATGCTTTAGGGGTGTGATCGGAGGGGCTGGCACTGATGGAAAGCTTCTCCCCACCGCTCTGGGAGGAAGCCGGCAGATTGTGAACAGCTCTGTTCTCACAACTGTGGCAGTGTCGTCTGTTTGTCAGACTCGTGCCCTGAATGCGGCATTTGGGATGTGCAGATGCTTAGCCTGGGATTAGAATTCTCCTGGCTGCAAAATCGTTTTGCTTCTTACTGATTTCTTACCTTTGGCAGAGAATGGCAGCACAGCAAGGAGAAATTGCTATTGTCTGGCTAAGAGTTATTTTCAGAGAGTCTTGGAGAGGCTGTCTGTCCCTGAGGGAATGCAGAAGGTGAAGGAAGCCAAGAGGTAATCATTTGGCTTGACAGGTGACATGGGGTGATGTGGCTGAAGGGCCAGCAGGAGGCTGGGGTCTCCAGGAAGAGCTTTGTAAACAGAAACTTGCTTTCACTTGAAAAATGCTGTGCGTACTTCTCCCTGCACATCAAAAAGGACAAACTGAGCTGCAGAAGGCCTAGGGAAGGGCCAATGCAACAGTCAAGGGCGTGGAGATCGGGGAAGATGGGAAGCATTAGGATCTTCAGTCCAGAGTGGCAGAGGATGAGGATGGAGAGGACAGATCTCTGAAACAAAGGAAGGGAAAGGGTGGAGTGCATGGGCTTGGTCACGAGATTCCTGGATATCAAACCCTTGAAGGTTTAGAAAGGTCATTTTAGAAAAATAAATAAATAAAGCGTGGATTTTTATGGTGAACAGTAAACTTGGGAAAGTTTTAGACAAACTCAATCAACATGATTAGAAATGATAAATGTTGAAAATATTAATACAGGCAGGAAGGGTGTAGACAAATCTCTCTACAGTGCACAAGGCTGGTTTCATCTATTCACATCCCTTGCTAAGGGGATGGTCCTTTCTAGGCTTCTCCTGCCTAACTAGCTTGGCTTCAGTTTGCCCTTCCCGGGCCCCACGACCAACTGGACTAGGCGGGGGCACCTAACCCAAGGGCAGCCAACTCTATCCTATTGCTATTTCTTTTTTTTCCCCACGCAATCCTGCAAGGTGTTGACAGACCACTCTCCCTCAGATACCAGTTTTATCAAACCTTTTCCTGAAACAGCTATACCTCAGACAATCCCAAGACATAAACAAGAGCATCCTCAGTACCTGGGACAGGGCAAGGCTTAACCCTCCTAAGAGTTAACTCTTCATGACACCTACTGTAGGCTGGGAACTCTGCTAAGTGCTTACCTTACATCACATAGCACATTTAATTCTCATAGCTCAATAAGGCAGCAACTATTTTTAATTCCATCTCACAGAGGAGAAAGTCAAATTGAGAAAGATTAATGAACAGCTAGGATTGGAGCTCCAGTCAGTCCAACTCCTGAGCCCAAGCTTTAACTCTATACTTTAGCTCTATGCTGACTCCCAGCAACTCTGACCTCTCTCCTCCACTTGTTTTCCTTTTCTATTCATTCCCATTCTCTCCAATCATCCCTACCCTTTTCTATGTCATCAAGCTTCTGTGACTGGTTGTGAAGCTCCTAAGTGTCATTTAGGGTGCTTTCAGTAAAGTCCATAGAAAACAAACTAAAATAATTTAAATAAAGATGATGAGATTTTTTTCCTTCACATAACAAGAAGCTTAGAGGTAAAGAAAATCCAATGTTTTTCTAGCTAATGACTCAGCATCAATGACAAGGCTCTTTCTATCTTTCTCTTCTACCATCCTTTGCTTGTTGGCTAGCTCCCCTCAGGCTCACAAGATGGCTGCAGCAGCTCTGGACATCACATCCTTAAATCCTAGTTTCAGAGAAAACAAACATGGCTCCTTTCTTGTGCGTTTCCCTTAAATAATGAAGAAATATTTCTCAAAGACCCTAGCAGATTTTTCCTCACATCTCATTGGTCAGGATTCGGTCACATGGCCATGCTAAACCAATCACTGGTAAGAAAGGTGGGATAACTGTTATTTTTAGACCAACTGAAATATATATGACTCGACAAGGGGACCAGTGAACAGAAGAACAGAAATCAGAATTCTGACAACATAACAGAAGGCAGAAGTCCTTGTGAGGTAGGTGACAATAGTTATTTTCTTTTGTTCCCAGCAAACATCTTCTGCTTCAGTCAGCGTCCTTGCACGTGACTCATTCATTCTTGCCTCATTAATTTCTCATACTGTCCTTTCCTTCCTAGACACTTTCTACCCCGTCAATCCCCAAGATGCAGCCCGGGTCTCTTCATAACTGTTTCTCTGACGTTTAATCCTTACTAACTTCCTCTCTGAACTTTCTTATATTTACTGTGAGTGACTTTCTTTCTTTCTTTCTTTCTTTTTTTGAGACGGAGTCTAGCTTTGTTGCCCAGGCTGGAGTGCAGTGGCGCGATCTTGGCTCACTGCAAGCTCCGCCTCCCGGGTTCGCACCATTCTCCTGCCTCAGCCTCCTGAGTAGCTGGGACTACAGGCGCCTGACACCACGCCTGGCTAATTTTTTGTATTTTTAGTAGAGATGGTGCTTCACCGTGTTAGCCAGGATGGTCTCGGTCTCCTGACCTCGTGATCCGCCCGCCTCGGCCCGCCACAGTGCTGGGATTACAGGCGTGAGCCACTGCGCCCGGCCTACTGTGAGTGACTTATAATGTAGCTATTAGCTGTTATGAAATTGTTATCAGGATTTACTGCTGTTTCTCAAAAAATAACACATTTGAGAAACTTGATTGGGATAGAAATTAGGATAGATGACCTTTAAAGAGACTTTCAACTCTCATATCTTATGACTGCACAAGTCTACAATGACTAGTCTCTCTCCTTTCAGACTGTTCACTCATTGAGGACAGGGTCCAAGCCTTTGGGTCTTTATGTGTTCAACAGCATACAACATGGTGACTGATGCATTTTGGGAATTCCGTAAATAATCATTGATTGACTGACTGGTCAATGGATGCTCTAAACACCACTAATTCACTACTCAAGAGATTCTCACTGGCTTTGGGCATGAACTCTCCTAACTAGATTCAAGCAGGTAGTTGATAATTTGTTTTTCTGTCATGGGTGGATCTTAATGTTGGTATGTGCCCTAGAATATAGGTGATTTGCCCAACGACATTTGGACACCTGGTGAAAGGTGGAACACAGACAAGTGAGCAGGTGTACAGAGCGAGAAAAAGAAGGTGTTCTGGAAGTGAGCTCAATAAACACCCACACAGAAACAGCGAGCACAGACCATGACAGAGAGTCATGGGTGACAGCACAGGGAAAGAGCCTTAGGTGATCTAGAATTCACCAGAGAGGGTGGAGCAGATCCCGCTTGAGTGTGACTCCAGGCCAGGAGGGTTAGGCATATTTAATATACTCATGTAGGTAATGTTCCTAAAAACAGAAGATCAAAGGTGTTCAATCCACTTGATTGGTAAAGACATTCAGGAAATAAAGAAAGCATTCCAGTGAGCATGAGATTAAAATATGGGGAAACACCAGTCTGGCATAGATGTCCCCTGCCTGTCTCCTGTAATTCCCAGCATGACCTATCCCAACACCTGGCATGCTTCATAGCAATGGTCTGTTTATGTGTCTGACTTTGCCCATATTGTGAGATCTATGATGGCAGAAGCCTGCGTCGTTCATCAACATATCCCCTGTGTCTCTTGGATGAAGAGACCAAGTATCCACTTGGCTCTAGACAGGATATGTGGTTGTCACTGTGACCTCCGTAGGCTTCATCTGCCCTTCCGGGGCACTTAGCACCCTCCCTGGGACTCCTGTTCTCCTCTGTCCTCAGATACAGAAGCCACCCCATAGGGGATTCGATGTCCTTAGAGAATATGGAAGCCCCATTGCCCAGATGAGGAAACCAAGGCTCAGATCAGGAAAATCAAGGGAAGCAGTGAATCCACAGCACATCTCGAATCTCAGCTGAGACCACCTCTACATCCTCACTCTCGTTGCTAGGCAGCACTGCCTCAGATTTTCAAAGTTTGCTGAAATTCTAAAATAGATCACTTAAATTGGTTTGCTGACTTTTAGCTTTATGGAGGGTGGAACTTAAAGGGGGTGAGTTAATACTTCATCAGTACTCTTACAGATAAGCTTTTATTTCCACAATGACATTGGTGAAGAGACGTAGATAGTAACATGAGTAGTACAGAGGTGAGGGGTAGGGGGAGGCTGACAGAAAAGAGGAGCCCAGTGGACCTGCTGAAGCCATTGTTCCCCTTCACTGCTCATTCAGTTCCGCTCCTTAGTTTGGCGTTTAATGTCCTTCCTGATCTTTGCCTCACCTGCTTTGCTGGCCATGTTTTTCCTAAATAATAATAATAACACAATTAGAATTTTCACATAACTTTCGCATTCACTCTTAATTTGATCCTGCTGATGACTGTATGTATCAAGGAGTAGGAGTTGTCCAGCAGGAAAAATCCGGGGCATGGCAGCCTGTTGACCTTGTTGAGGTCAGTATGAAGCCCTGCCAGAGGCCACCTCTTCTAGGTCTTGTCTGGGGCTCTCCCCCAAAGCGCTGGTCTCCGTACACACCTCATTCACTCATTCTGCATCATTGTCACCACTCAGAATGCACAGCTGGGTGAATCCTTCCTTAACTCCTTGATTTTTAGTTAGAGACAGGGCCCTACTCTGTCACCTAGGCTGGAGTGCAATGGCATGATCACGGCACACTGCAGCCTCAAACTCCTGGGCTCAAGTGAGCCTCCCTTCTCAGTCTCCTAAGTAGCTGGGACTACAGGCACATGTCACCACACTCAGCTAATTTTTATTTTTTTATTTTTTGTGGAGATGGGATCTTGCTCTGTTGCCCAGGCTGGTCTCAAACTCCTGGCCTGAAGTGATCCTGATCCTCCTGCCTCGGTCTCCCAAAGCGCTGGGATTACAGGTGTGAGCCAGTGCACCTGACCCTCTCTCCTCAACTCCAAATTCAAGTCCCACTTACTCCATAAAACCTTCCCTGAACACTCTGGCCCTCTCTAAGTCCCCGCAACTTGAACCTGTCCCAGTGGCCCCACCTTATGATGGGCTGCCTTGGACTACTTGGTGACTATGATGTGTTCATATCTGTCTCTCCTGAGCATGTCGGATACAACATGCCTTGATTTTTTTTTACCCACAGAGCCATTGTCAGTATCAGTTGGTGACTGACAGCTCCCCTAGGGTTGTGACAAGGAACGTGAGTCAGACTGGCATGCACCAAACATGAAGACTCAGTCTGCTTGGTGGAACCCAACTAGCCCCAAAGACCCCCTGCTTGCCTAACGTCTGGCAAAATTACAGCTGAGACTGGGAACTCGAATTTCATTAATGTTTTCTATTAAAAGCACCATTTCCCATTAGTATTTGGAGGGTAATTGATCTCTAGAAGTGCAGCTCAGGGCAGGGCTGAAGGTGTTACCACAAAGGGGGAATGACTTCATAAGTCTCCCACTGAGCTGCCACAAAGCCAAATGAAAATATCTCCAGTTCCCTGGGGACCAGTAAGGCTATTAGATTAGAGCTCAGGTGAAGACTATTTGATGAGTCAGTCTTCAGAGGAAAAGCCACGGTTGTAATAGCATTGGCTTGCCAAAGATAAAACAGCATTTAAAAACCAGGTAATTTTAAAAGCCCCAAATCAAAGGTTGAGATACTTTATAAACTTTGAACAGTGCCAAAAGAAATGCCTGATCGTTTATTACATCTGGAAAAGAGTGTGTTTACAATGAGTAAAGAGGAATTCATGTAATTTTCATATTTTATGACTATCAATTCACTGAAGTAATTATACCCTCATTTACTTATTCTCTCAAAAACGGTATTTTTTAGGATTTTCTCTGTGCCAGGCACTACTCAAAGGTTTGTGATAAACTCTTATGGGACACTATGCTTACATACAAGTAACTCCTGTTCCAGTAGATTGTTCTTATGTAATAAGCAAAAGATATTTCCATTTAACAAAAGAAGAAACAAAATTTCAGACGAACTTGGTGAATTTCCTATGTCACGTCTCAAATAATTAAGAAAGCCTTTGGCTGGGCGCGGTGGCTCACACCTGTAATCCCAGCACTTTGGGAGACTGAGGCGAGTGGATCATGAGGTCAGGAGTTCGAGACCAGCCTGGCCAAGATGGTGAAACCCCGTCTCTACTAAAAAGAAAAAAAAATTAGGCATGGTGGTGGGCGCCTGTAATCCCAGCTACTTGGGAGGCTGAGGCAGGAGAATCACTTGAACCTGGGAGGTGGAGGTTGCAGTAAGCCAAGATCGTGCCACTGCACTCTAGCCTGGGTGAAAGAGTGAGTGAGACTCCGTCTCAAAAAAAAAAAAAAAAAAAAAAGCCTTTAAATAACTGTTGTGAGAATCTTCCCTCAAACCTTAACAACAGTCCCCAAAGATCTATATTTTATCACATAAGTCAGTAATTATCAACTTGATACTTCTATTCTCTCTCCCTGAATCACAGTAAATCTTGAAGTCCACAAAAAATGGAAGTCTTGAATTGAGGTCTGCATGTCTTCAGAATTCAGGATTATATGGCCAAACTCTGTTGCCTCCTCCTGTGCCGTGGGGTACAAGATGGTTAGCCTGAGAACCCGTGCATCCCAGATTTATGTGCACAAGTCATTTTTTATACAGACAAGAAACTCTTTCCTTGCACCAACAGAGCTAATCTTAGGGTCAGGAATATTCCTGAAGAATCTGGCAAAGACTCAAAGCTGGGGCGCTGGGTAGCTCATTTGAAGGTTGCATGAGACTAAATTTATTCCTCCCTCATGCTTAATTGGAGCATTCATTTCCCCGTTCTGGCTCCCTGATCTGAAAGAAACATCTATTACTGACATAGAGGAACAAAAGGACGTCTCCTCCAATTTGTTAATTATGTTCTGTTCTGTGAACAACAACAGGAGAATCAACCATTGAAAAGAGGAAAAAAAAAACCAACTCCTGGTCCTTCTGTGAGGGGTGTGTCATCTGTATACAGGAAGAGATGGAGCTATCTCTTTAAACAACGAATATGTTGAGTTTTGGTGGGCTTTGTCAGTTTCATTTCCGCACATTGGCTCTAAGGGGCACACACGTAGCAGCTTGATTTGGCTGGGTCCCAGCGGCATTTTCATACTTGTAGGTGGAAGATGAGGAAGCCAAGCGGAGAGGAAGTGAGGGGCTCTGTATTCACAGATGATGACTTACTCCCGAAATGAATAATGTGATGGTTTCCAATGCTGTGTACCTGATTGATCTGTCCTTTTCTTGTCTTCAAGAATTCATGTATAAATGTTTTAGAAGATTGCTAATGTCATGCCAATGAATCTCTTCAAGTGCTCTTTTTTGGGGAATAAATAGCTATAGTCTCTTCTGCTTCGATGTTGCTCATCTTTTCTGATGGCATTGTGTGGAATCAACGGGCAACATTTCAACTTCCCGCATGCAGACACGAACCACACACACGCATACACACACACACACATACACACAGACACACACTCTCACTCTCTCTCTGTTTAGAATTTTTTGCCCTCTAGCCTACTTTTTAAGGAGGCTCTTACCTAAGGATGGGCTTAAATTTTTTTTTTTTTTCAGACAGGGTCTCACTCTGTTGCCCAGGCTGGAGTACAGTGACAGGATCACTGAAGTCTCTACCTCCTCAGGCTTAAGCAGATCCTTCTACCTCAGCCTCCTGGGTAGGTGGGGCTACAGGTGCACACCACCATGTCCGGCTACTTTTTAAAAATTTTTTAGAGACTGGGTTTCGCTATGTTGCCCGGGCTGTTCTCAAACTGCTGGGCTCAAGTGATCCTTCTGCCTCAGGCTACCAAAGTACTGAGATTAAAGGCATGAGCCACCACACTGGGCCAGGCTTTTATTTTATTTATTTATTTGCTTATTTATTTATTTTTTTTTTTGAGACCGAGTCTCTCTCTGTCACCAGGCTGGAGTGCAGTGGCCCGATCTCGGCTCACTGCAACCTCTTCCTCCCAGGTTCAAGTGATTCTCCTGCCTCAACCTCCCGAGTAGCTGGGATTACAGGCACAGGTCATCACGCCCAGCTAATTTCTGTGTTTTTAGTAGAGATGGGGTTTCACCATGTTGGCCAGGATGGTCTTGATCTCGTGATCCGTCTGCCTTGGCCTCCCAAAATGCTGGGATTACAGGCGTGAGCCACCGTGCCCGGCCGGCTTTCACTTTTTTAAAGCCTTACCTGTCTATTAACTTTCCTCAAGTGCATTCTTTTTAGACAACGGCAAGGCTGGAAATACAAAGGCTTTTTTTGTTTCAGCTCAATGCTGGGCATAAAACAGGCACTCATACTGTTAGTGAATGGAGGCCCCTGCCTGGGGAAACTCTTCCTTTCCTAAGCCGTGAGCAATAGGAAGCCTTACTCTTAAAAGAGAGGCACTACTATAGTGATTTGGGAAAGACTGTTGAGGATTACAGCTCAATCAACAGACAGAAGAACTCCATCTTAAGCAGAAGGCAATGCTAGTTTTATCTCTGAGGACCAACACTGTAACCTTGAACGAGGTTAAATTAACCTTGCTTAAATTTTCTGAGCCTCCATGTCCTCATCTGTAAAATAGGAACAATATTATTGCTTAGCTTGGAGAGCTGTTGTGAGAATTGGATGATACAAGCATGTATAGCGTGTATAGCACAGAGCCAGGCATATGAAAAACACTCTATAATTGAGCTCTTATAATTATTATAATACTCTGATAATTATTACAGTAACCCAGAGGCCTTCTGGTGGGGTAGAAAGATCACTGGCTTAGGAGCCAGAAACTGGGGAACCCGCATTTAAAGTATCATTCAAAAGGTAGCTGTGCCTATTACTGATTTCACGTATGATGTCCCATTCCCCAATGCAATTTAAATGGCAGTGGTGTTACACACATTCTCTCTCCCCACTAAGACGTGAGAAATAACGGGGAAAAGTCAAAGTTTGACAAAGAGTGTTTCCATTTAATTTATGGAGTAGGCTACCTTTATGACCTTTTTTTTTTCTTAAAATGCTTGGGGCTGAGTTGGAGAAAAGCTAATAGGAACATTTTCTGAGGAAAAGTGTTCTACAAGCTTCACTGGAAGAAGATGGACCATCTTTCTCTTTTAAAAGGCTTTTTGTGAGCAGCTCCAGATGAGCCACAAAACAGCAAGATCCATCATTTGGGCAGGATGGTTTTGCAAGGACCCTCCAGCCCTAACCGTAGCCCTAAATGGCAATCTCTACTTATGTGGGACAATTTCATAGAAAAAGAGGAGAAGCAAAACCACTTTTCACAGAGTCTCAGTTTCTTACTAGATCTATAGAGAGCTCCCAAACTTTAGAAAAAAAGATAATAGAACGTTTCAATGGTTTTTATGATGACTTCCTTCCATTGCTTATTCCTTATTTTTACTCAGCATGTCTACACAGCATACGGCTATTTCCAACCTCATTCTTCTACCTAATATTATGGTGTATATATGTTTTCACAAATTGGCAGAGCTTACGCATTCATCATTTGTAATATTCCTCAGCTGTGAGATTTCCTACATGTCATAAAACTAGAATTATTGAATGATAAAGCTAGATAGATAGCTATATTATATCTCATAAAAGCCAACTTTTATGAAACCCTTACTATGTGTCAGGCACTGTGTTAAATGCTTTCCATACTCATTTCAAGTAACCATCCTAATAGTCCTATGAGGTAGGTCCTACCAAACTTTCCATTTCATAGATGAGGAAACCAAGGCTAAGATGGCTAAATGGCTTGTTCAGAGTCATATAGCTACCAGGGCTGAAATGCAAACCTACACTAAGCCACTAGGCTATGAGCTAGGTACCATATGGTTTTTATGTTTCAGAAGAGGATCCTTAGAGTCCCAAAGAGGTGTGTGAGTTTGCTCAGAGCCACCCAATTAGTTAGTGGCCATCAGGGCTGGAACCCAGTTTTCTGGACTCTAAGGTCCCTGATCTTTCCATTGTATACCTCATTCTGCCTCTCAGCATGAGAGGTGGGGCTCCTGTATCTTTGTGAAGCTCTCCTTTTCCTTCTCATGTTTGCAAAATTCACAGTGAATACTCTCATGTAATTGAAAATTAAATTTTTATGTAAATTACTTTTGACAATGGCACAGCTCCTGTTTTTTTCATTCCTGCTCCTTAAGTCATATTCTCTTGGGGAAGTCTACATTTCCCAAATTTTTAGGTTCAGAAAGTTCACTTGAAATCCACAAGAACTCTCCTGGAATCCTCAAATGACAGCTCTCAGGCACCAGATTCCCCTGGGACAAGAGAACTGTCCACTCCAGTTGATCAGTTGCTAGGGCTTTGTCTCTTTAGGAAGCAGAAGAAAACCCACATGTCCTCCCCATAATAGAACCTAAATGGAGAAAATGATCAGATAAGAAATGCACCCAGATTCAAATTAAGTTTAAACAAGCTAAACAATCTTGTTTTCAGCCTGTTCCTTCTACATATAGTCCTGGCAGATCCTTAAACAAATGGTCTCAATGTGCATTACCCACACCTGTCAAAATCGCATGTGATCCTAGCCAATCCAGATATCACTGTTTGCATGCCATGAGGAGAGTGATGGATGAGACCTGTTCCTTGTGTGTGGCATTGTTTATTTACTTTCCAGATGAATTCAGATTACGAGAAGCCTCTGGAATGGTTGTTATCCCTGTAATCTAATTTACTGCTCTGTGCACCTGATACGTTCTTTACCTTAGGTAATGTTAATTTTATTCTTCTGTGCGCTAAGCCTGGTGTTCACAAAAAGCCGTAAGATGTAATTTATTTCTCCCCACTTGCCTTCTAAATATTAATTCTATTGAAAAATGGTTAAATAGATTATGTAAATCATGGTCATTGCAACCACTTTAAAGGTTAATCCTGCCATCATGTAGCCAGATAATTAATTTGAATTCGCTTCCAAGCACTAACTCTCAGGAAAGCCAAGGTGTAATGGGTTGGAGTACCCTATTATGGAGGTCACTGTGTGCCTGCCTGTGATTAAATTTGGAAGAAACAAATCTCAAAGTTTTGAGAACAAAAGTTCCTTCGGGCCATCGAAGAGCCCAGCACATCATAGGATTGGAATCACACTTTGTCCGGAATTTTAGGAGATAGGTTTTACTGACACGTCTTCTGCTTCCTTGAGTTTTCTTAAGTGCCACTTCCTTTATTGGGAAGCCAGGCATGGTTTGGTTTCAAGGATTCTGGGGCAGTCCTGCTGCTCCCAACAAAAAAACTTCACCCACTTTCCAAAAATTACAGGCCGGAGGAGACCTTATCAGATGTTGTCATAGCTTCAACTGTCTGTTGCCACACCTTACGCCTGAGCACACCCACTGATCAGTCATCCATCCAAGGGTGTCAGCCACCAGCCTGGGTTGATAGAAGATCCCTCATTGCAAGCTGGCTTGGAGGATCTTCCCCTCTGGTTCATCCTCCTTAGTCAGAGGTGGGGCCGGGTGATGTACACTTGAAGCTTATTCAATTTTTCAGGCCTTCTTTAAGAAAAAGAGGGGCTGGGCGCGGTGGCTCACGCCTGTAATCCCAGCACTTTGGGAGGCTGAGGCAGGCGGATCACAAGGTCGGGAGATCGAGACCATCCTGGCTAACATGGTGAAACCCCATCTCTACTAAAAATACAAAAAAATTAGCCGGGCGTGGTGGCGGGCGCCTGTGGTCCCAGCTACTCGGGAGGCTGAGGTAAGAGAATGGCGTGAACCCAGGAGGCAGAGCTTGCAGTGAGCTGAGATTGCGCCACTGCACTCCAGCCTGGGTGACAGAGCGAGACTCCATCTCAAAAAAAAAAAAAAAAAAGAAGAATAGAAAAATATAAATTTAAAATTAGATGCAAAATGAATATGTACTTAGAATGTGAAAATAAACCACAGTCATGAATTTTAAAAAGCTAACACTGTAAACATCACTGAAGCCATAAAATGACACTATTTTATTTTTTAATTTCCTGACATGCCTTTATAATACATTTTTCCTAATTTTCTGACTGCCTACTCTTTGGTCGCGTCTTTGTATGACAGCAATTTTGTAATACCATTTTCTATAGAGAGAATAGGAAGATAATTTTATCTTTACCATAGATCATCAAAATTTGTTTCTTACTATTGCTAGGTTGAATAAAAGATACCAACTTTACACAGCCATACTTGCTATTTTTAATACAGTTTCAGATTTAGGCCCTACAAAAAGAGGAATTCTGATCAATTCGATTTCATGTAATTTCCATCAAAAAAGAAAAAAATGTATATTTAAGGTGAGTTTATAGTTGTATATGTTGCATTATCGAGTATCTCCCTGACAAGAGAGAGCTTCAATTTTGACTAGGCATTGATGCGAACCAAGTCATTCTCTACTTCAATTTTACTCATGTGATGATTAGAACTTTCCTAGACTAGCTTGGCTCCAAACATCTCAAAGCTTATTTCTTCTCCACTATCCAGATACTTTCCTGCCAGTTGTGGTGAATTCATTTATATTCTGATGCAACTTCTGGCCTTGTATCTTAAGTTATGATGCTAAGTAAGTCAGCACAGTCAGTGTTAGGTATATTTCTGGAATTATTCCTCCACTGAAATGACTACACATGGAAGTGATTAAAATCATATACAGGCTGGGTGTGGTGGCTCACACCTGTAATCCCAGCACTTTGGGAAGCAAAGGTGGGCAGATCACTTGAGGTCAGGAGTTCGAGACCAACCTGGCCAACACGGTGCAACCCCCATCTCTACTAAAAATACTAAAATAAGCTTGGTGTGGTGGTGGGTGCCTGTAATACCAGCTACACGGGAGGCTGAGGTGAAAGGATCACTTGAACCCGGGAGGCAGAGGTTTCAGTGAGCCGAGATTAAGACACTGCACTCCAGCCTGGGCAACAGAGTGAGACTCTGTCTCAATTAAAAAGTAAAACCAAACAAAAAAACTACATATGTGTGTGTGTGTGTGTGTGTGTGTGTGTGTATCCCCTTAAACCCAGACTAAATGTATCCCCAACTCAAATTCCCCTTATCCAGCCCACGACCATTGCAGAGCCACCTGCTAGATGGGGAAGCAGGAGAGAAGGGAAGTTGTAATGAAAAGCCATTGACCTCCCCTCCAATTAAAACATCCCCCCTCCAATTTTGTTCTTCCTATGATCATCTGGATACATTGTTAGCACCTTTTTTTTATAAGCCCTGGAAAGGGGCCTTTGGGAATGACTTTCAAACTTCACTTTGACAGTCTCTCTGCCTCTATTTCTATTTCTCCATGGTGTCTAGTGGTTTCCCGTCTTCCTTCTGCTGCAGGCACCTAACCCTACTTGTCAAATTTTGAGCACCAAATTACATCTCTGCCTGCTTGAGCTCATTTCTTTTTGACTTTTCTATTGGATTACTTCTCTTGTCTACAAACCTCTCATTCTCTCTAATTATCTAGAACATTCCAAAGTGTCCCTCAAATTTTTTACCTTTTCCAGAAGCTGATATTTGTCACTGAAATCCACTGCTTCCATGATTTGTGGATATCTCAGGTGGGTGACACACGACACAGACTCTGCCTGCTGGTCACCTGCATGTTCGTCCAGGGTTTCTCCCCTACCAGCCTAGCTCAAAAGCCCTCTCGTTTGATCCCAAGGAATTGCTACAGCACATGCTGTTGGGGTGCCTGGTGTGGGGCTCCTAGAGGGCTCCTTTAAGCCTGCCTCTCCCTCTCTGGTAGTTGTAACTAGAAAGGGTATTCAGGAAAAAACACAAATTTCTCTCTAGGTCTTCTCAGCCTCCTTACCAGGCAGCAAGAGCTGAGAGAACTTGGAGTAGAATATTCTAAACCTTGCTCCTGTATCTGCTTTCTTGCCTTAAGAGAAAAATCTTTTCCCCCAGATTCTGCTGTCTTTACACTCATTCTCATCTTACCGATCTCTTTAAAATTTCAGTCATTCTCGGAGACCATAGGGCAGAACGCAAAGAACATAACATAGGAGTCAAATGGAGCCGAACACTTCAGTCACTCACGTGATGGCTGTGTGTCCTTGGGTAAGTTCTGTAGCTTCTCTGAGCCCCAACTTCCTTATAACATCATTGAAGTCCTAACAGCTGTGAGAATGACACATGATGCCTGCAAATTTCATAAAACAGTGCTTGGTGGTTAGTAGTTGGTTTTGAAAAGGTTATGCTAAAATTCCAGGGTGATACTTTTCTAGGTAGTCCCTTTTTGCAGGTAGCTTTCAGAGGTAAAACCTCAGACCCCAACACGGTCCACCTCTGCATTTTTTTTTTTTTTTTTTTGACATGGAGTCTCGCTCTGTGCCCAGGCTGGAGTGCAGTGGCGTGATGTCGGCTCACTGCAAGCTCCGCATCCCGGGTTCACGCCATTCTCCTGCCTCAGCCTCCCGAGTAGCTGGGACTAGAGGCTCAGGACACCACGCTCGGCTAATTTTTTGTATTTTTTAGTAGAGACCGGGTTTCACCGTGTTAGCCAGGATGGTCTCGATCTTCTAACCTCGTGATCCGTCCGCCTCGGCCTCCCTAAGTGCTGGGATTACAGGCGTGAGCCACCGCGCCCGGCCTTTTTGTTTGCTTGTTTTTTGAGATGGTTTCTTGGTCTGTTGCCCAGACTCTAGTGCAGTGGCACGATCTCGGCTCACTGTAACCTCTGCCTCCCAGGTTCAAGCGATTCTCATGCCTCAGCCTCCTGAGTAGCTGGGACTACAGGTGCCTGCCACCACGCCCAGCTAATTTTTGTATTTTTAGTAGAGAGGAGGTTTCTCCATGTTGGTCAGGCTGGTCTCGAACTCCTGACCTCAGGTGATCCACTCACCTTGAACTCCCAAAGTGCTGGGATTACAGGCGTGAGCCACCGCGCCTAGCCTGCCTGCTTTTCTTTTTTGTGAAGAGTATAACATACTTCTCTGGCCCTGTGTGTATTGATCATATCTATAGATGGGGCTGTAAAAGTTTTTGGGGTCTGGTGAACACAATTCTGTCGGTTCAGCCACGAAGTGCCACACAGCCTGACTACAGAGAATAAATATTCATTTGCCTTCCCTTAATTTTAAAAGAGGTTGATATTATTACGAACAAGCCCACTGGTGACAGCACAAACATCAGCATTGTCTGCTGGGTGAGGCGGCGGCGGAATGTTCTGCACATCTCGTCTCGCAGGGAATGTTCCAAGCATTCAAATGCAAATGAGCACCGAGCCAGCCTCCACTGATTTGCATTCGCTCTCCGGAAACCTGGTTTTTCCCTCTCAAATTTACGTTATGTGCAGATACGATACTGCACTGATGGGGCCAAAATAACGTTTTGCCTTTTCCACTCTGTCCTTTTTATCTGGTTTTGCAAATAATCCCCCTAAACCCCATTCTTTCACTATATTGTTTAATTTTGCCCTCATTTTGCCAAAATTCCCTTGTGCTGTGCTCCCGCCAGCCCAGCCATCCACTCTGGCTTCATTCTGTTTCCCAGCTCGCTCGGTGCTTTTCCTTCTCCTGTGGGATTTTGCAGCTGTTCTCTTGCATTTTTTTTCCCACCGTGACCTCTTGCCCAAGTTCTACAAAAAGCACGTGAGAGGCAGCCGATAGTGGACACATGTGGAGGACCAGGAAAGCTGGATATGCCTAGAATCAGATGCCAGACCTTGAGGGATTCAAGCCTCCGTTAAAGCAAGTTTTATTGATGTCTCATATACATAGAGAAAAGTGCATAAACCATGAGTCTGGATGAATTTTGGCAACGTGAGCTCACCTGTGTAACCAGCGCCCATACCAAGAAAAGAAACATTAGGGCTGGACCTGGTGGCTCACGCCTGTAATCCCAACACTTAGGGAGGCTGAGGCGGGCAAATCACCTGAGGTCAGGTGTTCAAGACCAGCCTGGCCAACATGGCGAAACCCATTTCTACTAAAAATACAAAAAAATATTAGCTGGGCTTGGTGGCACGCACCTGTAATCCCAGCTACTCGGGAGGCTGATGCAGGAGAATCACTTGAACCTGGGAGTCAGAGGTTGCAGTGAGCAGGGATCGTGCCACTGCACTCCAGCCTGGGCAACAGCGAGGCTGTCTCAATAAATAAATAAATAAATAAATAAATAAATAAATAAATAAAAGGAAAAGAAAAAAGAAAAGAAGTAGAACAGTAGGACTTTGCTAGAAAGTCATCACTTCCCTCTCCCAAGGGTAACCACTTTTCTGACTCTTAGACCGTAATTTTGCCTAATAGTGATCTTGACCTAATAGAATAATACAATATGTACTTTACCGTGCCGCTGCTTCTATTTTGTTTGTAAGGTTTATCCATCCTGCTGCTCCTCTCACCTCTGTGCTATCTCCTGTTGCGTGGGTATCTTGGAGTTCGTTTATCCATTCTGCCTGAAATGGGTTTTCGGGGTGCTTTCTGTTTAGGGCTACGAACCTTCTTTCATGTGTCTTTTGGTGAGTACATGGATACATTTCTGTTGGATATGTGCTTAAAAGTTATGCTGTTGCCTCATAAGTAGACTTGACGGCTTTTCATGAGACTGTTTTGATGACAGGGGTATTTTGAGGAGGTCCGAAGAACTTTGGTAATTAAGTGACTTGTAAAATTACAGGTTTGTTTTGTGCTATGGACTGAATTGTGTCCCCCCAAATTCATATGTTGAAGCTCAAACCCCAATATGACTGTTTGGAGATAGGCCTTTTAGGAGGTAATTAAGGGTAAGTGAAGTAAAAAAGATGGGGTCTTAATGTGGCAGAATTGGTAGCCTTTTAAGAGGAGGAGGAGGAGAGAGTTTGCTTTCTCAACATGCACACACCAGGACAAAGCCCTGTGAGCACACAACAAGAAGGTGGCCTTCTGCAAGCCAGGAAGAGAGCCCTCACCAGAACGTGACCCAGCCAGACCTTGATCTGGAACTTCTAGTCCTCAGAACTGTGAGAAAATAAATTTCTGTTGTTTAAGTCAGCTAGCCTGATACGGCAGCCTGAACACACTGACATTTTGTTCTGTTTTGTTTTTTGAAGTTGGAAAAGTACCTTTTTTAAAAAAATTATGGGCTAGGCATAGTGGTTCACACCTGTAGTTCCAGCACTATGGGAGGCTGAGGCGGGAGGATTACTTGAGCCCAGGAGTTCAAGACCAGACCAGAATGGGTGACAGAGCAAGACCCTGTCTCTACAAAGAAAAAATTCACCAGGTGTGGTGGTACCTCATGGGAATTACATGAAATAGAACTGATCAGAATTCCTCTGTTTGTAGGGCCTAAATCTGCAACTGTGTTAAAAATAGCAAGTATGTCTGTGTAAAACTGGTATCTTTTATTCAACCTATCAATAATACTTAGGCGGCTGAGGTGGGAGGATCAGTTGAGCCCAGCAGGTCAAGGCTGCGGTGAGTTGTGACTGCAGCACTGCACTCCAACCTAGGCAATAGAGTGAGACCATATTTAAATATTATTAAATTTTTTGTGGTAAAATACACACAACAAAATTTGCCATCTTAACCATTTTATTTTTTTATTTTTTATTTTATTTTATTTGAGACAGAGGCTTGCTCTTTTGCCAGGCTGGAGTGCAGTGGCACGATCTCGGCTCACTGCAACCTCTGCCTCCCAGGTTCAAGCAATTCCCCTGCCTGAGCCCCTCGAGTAGGTGGGATTACAGGCACCCGCCTCGTGCCCAACTAATTCATCTTAACCATTTTTAAGTATATAGTTTAATAGTATTAAATACACTCATAATGTTGTTCAACCATCACCTCCATTCATCTACATAACTCTTTACCTGGTAAAACAGAAACTCAACACCCATTAAATAGTAACTCCTCATTCCCCCTCCCTTCATTCTGACAACAACCGTTACACTGCCTGTCTGTATGATTTTGATTACTCTAATCACCTCATTTAGGTAGAATCATACAATATTTTATCCTTTTGTGTCTGGCTTATTGCACTTAGCATAATGTCCTCATAGTTCATCCATGTTGTAGAACATGTTGGAATTTCTTTCCCTTTTAAGGCTGAATAATATTCCATTGCATGTATAGACCACATTTTGCTTATTCATTCCTCTGTCAATAGACACTTGGGTTGCTTCCATATCTTAGTTATTGTAAATAATGCTGCCATAAACATACGTATACAACTATCTCTTTGAGACCCTCTTTTCAATTCTTTCGGAGTGCATAGTCCTAAGTAGAATTGCTGCATCATATGGTGATTCTATTTTTAATTTTTTAAAGAACCTCCATACTATTTTCCACAGTGGCTATAACCATTTTACATTCCCACCAACAGTGCACAAAGGTTCCAATTCCTCCACATCCTTGCCAACACTCATTTTCTGTTTTTTTTTGTTTTGTTTGGTTTGTTTTTTAAGAGTAATCATCTTAATGGTAAGGAGTAGGTTGTATCTTACTGTAGTTTTGATTTGTATTTTTCTCTTTTTCTTTTTTTTTTTTTTTTTAGATGGAGTCTACTTGCTCTGTCACCTAGGCTGGAGTGCTACGGCCCGATCTCGGCTCACTGCAACCTCCATCTCCTGCGTTCAAGTGATTCTCCTGCCTCAGCCTCCCAGGTAGCTGGGATTACAGGCGCGCACAGCTATGCCTGGCTAATTTTTTTTGTATTTTTAGTAGAGATGGGGTTTCACCACGTTGGCCAGCCTGGTCTCAAACTGCTGACCTCAGGTGATCTGCCCACTTCGGTCTCCCAAAGTGCTGGGATTACAGGCGTGAGCCACCGTGCCAGGGCTATTGATTTGTATTTCTCTTATCATGGGTGATGGAAAAGTATGATTTTCACATTGCTAGTAATTTTCTATTATTTATGGACCACTTTCTTCATTTGGGGAAAATCACCAACGGGCCCTTGGTCAGATAGATGTGAAGCAATCACTGCCCCCTGTTTGAGGGGGCCCTGATGTCACCCTATTGGCTGCAATGCAGATGTTTCATGTAAGATATGGGTTCAGTGCATTCTTAGCAGGACTGAGTCTTTGCAGACTTGAAAAATGATCGTCTGTCTTGCCTCTAATTTGAATTTAGAGTAGATTGGTCCTAAAAATTGTTGGCTTTGGGAAGATGGGTGATCCTCTGTGGAAGAGGGACTCAGAAAGGATCAGCCTCTACTGAGGGCTGCTCGGTGTCTTTACTCCGTGTCATGCACTGTGTTGAGCACTTTACAGGGACTATTTCATTTAATTGGCATAAAACCCATTTAAGCTGAGTATTATTATTATCCTCATTTTATAGATGAGCAAAATAAAGCTTAGTGAAATTAAGTAACTTATCCAAGATCATAGAACTAGTGAGTCACAGGGCTAAGATCCAAGATCAGTCTGATTTCAGAATCTTTAACCAGTGTGCCCTGCTCACATGTACTCATACACATGTGTGCACATGGGCCAGGAGAGAGATGCAGATTTAGTCTTCCCTTTGCTGATCATGGAGGAAAGATTCTAGAAGTACCTAAGACTAAGTTCGGATGTTGCAATTTCATGGGTGTGCCAGAGGTTCCACTGATGTGCAGGTTATTCTCTCTCTGCCCCACTCCCTTCCCCAATCCATTCTCTGCCCATCTCCACTCTGTTCTATGCCATGGGACACTGATCCCTGTAGCCTGCAACTCTACAACCTCTTGCTGGCTGACTGCCAGGTCGATTTGATCCCAGGAGACAGTGGCAGGGCATCAGAGGTTGGAGGGAGAGGACAAATGGAAACCTCTTTTCATGACTTCAGCATCTGCCAGGTGGCCTCGCCTTTGCCTTCCAGCTCTCACCCAGCTCTGGTAACTCTATTTGTTCCTTGTCTTTCGAATTTTGGGGTGCTAATAACTTCCAACGTTGCTAATCTCTGCATATCTTTAATCTCTGATGTGTTTCCATAATCCTGCTCACACATCTGTAAATAGTTCTTCATAAAATCTCTCCATTTGAGGAATGAAGAGAGTCTTCATTCACCTGTGATGAATTCTGTGTCCTCTCAGAACCCTGAAGGATACACATGGTTTTAGTTAAGTCAAATGAGCCAGACTTTGGCAAAAGCACTGTTAACAATTGTTACTGTATTCCTTGGGCTTGGGAGCAAGGTCACTGTCAATCAGCTTGGTACTTCAGAGGATGGGAGTCTTGGACTTCCTCCTCTCTGGAGCCAGGGAAGTTTGAGGTCTGGACTGGAAGAAAGAGAGCCAAGGTCTCTTTGGTGGGCAGTCATCTGGCCCCTGCAACATGGTGATAGGTGGACAGAGATACTAGGCCAGCAGGAAATTCCTCATGGAAAGTCATGCTCCATGGACTCACACCAAATCAGGCTCAGATTAGTTAACAGTGGCTCAAAGATAGGGAAAAAACACACACTTTTCCTTTTTTTTTTTTTTTTTTTTGAGATAGAGTCTCACTCTGTTACTCAGGCTGGAGTGCAATGGCGTGATCTCGGCTCACTGCAACCTCCGTCTCTTGGGTTCAAGTGATTCTCCTGCCTCGACCTCCCAAGTAGTTGGGATTACGGATGCCTGTAATCTTTTGTGTTTTTAGTAGAGACAGGGTTTCACCATGTTGGCCACGCTGGTCTTGAACTGCTGACCTCGGGTGATCCACCTGCTTGGCCTCCCAAAGTGCTGGGATTACAGATGTTAGCCACTGTGCCTGACCTCATTTTTAACTAGTTCAGTGGGAACTTATGATTTTGGCACCCCACCCTGCCACGCCCCCCCAAAAAACCTTACAAAACCAGAAAACAAAAATACTGAAAGAGATGATACTCCAAATTTAAGGTTCAACCAAACATATATGTATATATTTAGTTGTCATCTTTGGGGTTTGGGGCATCAGTGCAGTCTGCTACAACTTTTGTTCACAATTGTCAGCATGTGATTGCAGAAGAACAGGAGGAATTCTGTCCTGATGTATCCTCTGCAGTAGACATGCTCTTTTTCTGCCTGCTCTGCCTCTTTTCCTTTGGAACTCTCCCACACTTCATATGATTTGTGGGTCCTGTCAGTCAAGAGTTCTTACTTCCTCTGCCATGAGGGCAGGTTCACAACCCAGTCTGACTGACAGGATTGCTCTGGAACTGTGCATGCTCTAGGGACAGACCTGAGGCCAGTCAGAATCCTGCATTAATGTAGATCTTGGGAAAGGAGCTTTAAGAGTCGAGAAGGCTGGAAGCTGCCCCAGCCATCTTGCCTCACAAAGAGAAAGTCTTTCAGATAATAAAGCCAAACAGAGTGAGAGATGGAATGAGAAGAGTGCCCTTGGCTGTTATTAGACCCCCTGAAACCAGTGATGCCTGTAGCCTGACCCTGGGACATTCATTCATGTGAGCCAACTATTTCCCCATTTAAAATTAAGTGGCCAGGTGCAGTGGCTCACACTCGTAATCCCAGCACTTTGGGAGGCTGAGGCAGGAGGATTACTTGAGCTCAGGAGTTCAAGACCAGCCTGGGCAACATAGCAAGACCCCCTCTCTAAAAAAAAAATGTAGCCTGGCCAATATTGATGAAATCCTGTCTCTACAAAAAGTTTATATATATATATATATATATATATATATATACACACACACACACACACGTACATATATATACCTATGTATGTGTGTGTGTGCATATAGATATATGTAGATATATAGATATAGATAGATATAGATATAGATATATATAGATAGATATATATAGATATAGATATATATAGATATAGATATATATAGATATAGATATAGATAGATATATATAGATATAGATATATAGATATATAGATATATAGATATATAGATATATATAGATAGATAGATATAGATATATAGATATATATAGATATATATAGATATCTGGGCATGGTGGCATGCTTGTAATCTCAGCTACTCAGGAGCTTGAGGTGGGAAGATCACCTAAGCCCAGGGAGGTCGAGGCTGCAGTGAGCCAAGATTCTGCCATTGCACTCCAGCCTTGGTGACAGAACTAGACCCTGTCTCAAAAAATAAAATAAAATAGAGCTAGTTGTGTTTCTATCATTGTAAAGTGAAAAGGTCTCCACTAATTCTCCTACCCTCAAGAATAACTAATATTAATATGAGAGGGTGTGTTGTCTTTCTCCATAAAGCTTCAAAGAAGAGGAAAGTTTCTTGCTGTTCCACCTGTTTCAACAGGGAAGCTCCTCCTTCTACAGATCTCCCTAAATTCCTTCTGTGGCAATGTAACTACAATTCCTTTGTTCTTTTCTTCAGCCAGTGTGCAAAATAGGTGGTTACCATCTTCCAAAGAGTAATCTTTGAATCCTCCAGGGAAGACAATTGTCAACAGTTAATAGGTTACCCCAAAGCTAGTTTCCTCCAGGCCGAGAATTCTAGTATAATAAATTGAGTCCTTCTCAAAGATAATTTTTTAGAATGCTTGTCTCTGAACTGTAGACTTTTGAACCTTCTCTTTTGATCTGGAAACGTAAAGGAAGCCCCCCAAAATTGGCATAGGTCTTTATTGAAAAAAACATAAAAATTCTATTACTGAAATCAAGTAAGACTAAGTAAATGCCATTGAAGTAAATAAGGCACAAAAAATTTCAGGCAGAAAAAAATACAAATATGTGTATCTATAACCTTTTTTTTGGTTCAGTTCGAAATAGTTTAAGAGCAGATGGCAGTTTTGTGGGGATGCAGTTAGTGGTTGGGTTTTGCCATCTTATCAATGTGTTGTTGTGTGAAGAAGGAGGTAAGGGGGCCTTTGATGTGTAGGAGGGGGGGCTCTATGGGGCTCCTCACTGCTTGAGGCTCCTCACGGCTCTTTGGGGCTCTTCAAAGCTCATAAGTAGAGGCTTGGTTCCTCCCAGGTTCTGTAGAAATAAGCATTTCGGGAATCAAGCCAAAATCTGGGCTTGGTGGCTCATGCTTGTAATCCCTGCACTTTAGGAGGCCAAGGTGGAAGGAGCATTGAGGCCAGAAGTTCCAGACTAGATTGGGCAATATGGTGAGACCTTGTCTGGACATTTTTTTTTTTAAATTAGCAGGCCGTTGGGGCACACTTGTAGTCCCTGCTACTTGGGAGGCTGAGATGGGAGGATCACTTCATCCTGGGAGGTTGAGGCTGCAGTGAGCTATACTTTGCCACTGCATTCCAGTCTGGGCCTCAGAATGAGACCCCATCGCAACCAAAAAAAAAAAAAAAAAAAGAGAGAGAGTGAGAGAATCAAGCCAAAAAGACTAGAATTCCTAAAAGCATGTCTCATACCAGGAAGCTTTAATTAAAGTGGGGGAGGTACCGATTTCCTTAAAGAAAGACCTCTGTTAAAGATCTATTTGTGACATTAATGAATATGCTATTACTTCAAAAGCCCTTTGGACAAGACCCAAAATTTTACCATGAGGTCCTTTCTTCTGTCTTTAGCCTAGGAACACGATTCAAAATCCTTTAAATAGAAAACTTGTTAGGTTTTTAAAGAGAATTCTTCTCTCAGTAAAATAATGTTCAGAACAATTAACTTTTAATTTTCTTTAATTACTTTTAAACATGCATAAGTTCTCAAACACCAAAATAACACTGTGCTCCAGGGAATCCTGGGGGTCGGGTGGAGGCAGGGGGCTTGGTCCTCAGATGAGCTGCATTGCAGATAATCAGCAAATCTCGCATGCATGTTCCCCAACAAACCAGTTAACAAAAGTCAACTCTTCCTTGTCCTCCCCATTTCCCCTCTTACCTAGTGTCTAAATATAATTCAATCATAGTTTGAGTAACTTAATTAAATTACCACCACTATCTTCAAAAACAGTATCTATCCCTGGTTAGCTAAATTACTTTGAGGCAAATTGATCATGTAAAAGTGGCTTGCATTTCTGTTTGCACATTCACTTTACCTGGGGGAGCTTTTAAAAAAAATACCAATATCCTGGTTTCACTCCCAGAGCTTCTTTCTTTTTTAATAGGGATGGAAGGGAGGGCAGTAGCTATTAGTGTTTTTTTTTAAAGATCTGCACAATTTTAACCTGCAGTCAAGGTTAAGAGTCACTGATTTAGAGACTGAAATAGATCAATCGTGGGTTTAAAACCAACTCATCAGGAAGCAGTATGGTGTCCCAGGAAGAGCATGAGAATCAGAGCCCGATGTTTTAATCCTGTCTTTGTTCACTGGGCTCGATCAGTGCACACAGCCTCTTTGTGCATCATTTCCTCATTGGTAAAAATGGGATAATTATGCCCACCTTACAGGGTTATTTTGAAGGAAAAAAGCACCTGGCATGTGACAGGACCTTTACAGCAAGATCTGCTATTTATGTAGCATTAACTCTTCCTGGAAAAACCATGTTCTCCCCTGTTCCTCTTAGTTGCCTCCTTGTGCCAACAGGAATCCAAATCCACACTGTTTCTGTAGACCCTGAATTCTCTGAATGTGGATGGATGGCACCCAAAGCTACACTAAGGTTGCAGTGTCTTAGGGTTTCGAACACTTGTTACTTCCCATGCTTTGCTGAGAACACCTGAAGTAGCGTGGCTCAGTGAAATAAGCCTGAAGGTCTGAGTTCAGCTTCCCTACAAACGTACTGTGTTACTATGTCTGTTACTATGGAAAAATTATTAACTAACTCCCATCCCCACTGTGTCTTAATTGGTAAAATAGGATTCGACTAGATGATCTCCCAATTTTCTTTTAATAATCAGAGTCTGTCACGCCTGTGGTCCCAACACTTTGGGAGGCCGAGGCAGACGGATCAGGAGGTCAGGAGACAGAGATCATCCTGGCTAACATGGTGAAACCCCGTCTCTACTAAAAATACAAAAAAAATTAGCCGGGCGTGGTGGCGGGCACCTGTAGTCCCAGCTACTCAGGAGGCTGAGGCAGGGGAATGGCGTGAACCCGGGAGGCGGAGCTTGCAGTAAGCCGAGATTGCACCACTTCACTCCAGCCTGGGCGACAGAGAAAGACTCCGTCTCAAAATAATAATAATAATAATAATAATAATAATCAGAGTCTATAAGCTTTAAAGAGACTGTACGATCCAAGCCAGAAAAGCCTGCACATATTTTTACCTGCCTACAGGAGAAAATAGTGCCCAAGCAGCTGCTGCAATGAGGAGGTTCCATGAAGGGAGTAGATTTATCTTCTGGAAGGCTGATTCTTTTGTAATCAATAATGGAAAGCAGTTCTACCCTGACTTTTGGCTTGAGAACAGCATACATGAGTCTCCCAATCAGTCTTGATGGAGAGTAAGGTCTCACGATTGATCTTAGGCTCAAAATGAGACCACATCAGAGCCTCCAGAGAGACTGAGCTTTCTGGTTGCCAGAAAGGGACTTTACTGAATCCACAGGATGTAGAGATTAAATTACCCATGCAAGATTTTGGACTAAAATTGTCAGGGCAGGTTGCACTTTAGAGGCTCTCTGGGTCCATTGTTTTCAAACTGAACATGCATCAGCATCACCTGGAGAGCTTGTTAAATCTCAGATTCCTGGACCCCACCCCCAGAGCTTCTGCCTGAGGTGGTCTGGGATGGAGCCTGAGGCTTTGCTTTTCTAACAGGTTCCCAGGTGATGCATGTGGTACAGGTGGTGCTGGTCCTAGGATCTCACTTTTAAAAGCACTGCTTTAGATTTCACTCCACAAACTTCTGGGTTGCTGTGTTAGTCTATTCTCGCATTGCTATAAAGGGACCCCTGAGGCTGAGCAATTTATAAAGAAAAGAGGTTTATTTGGCCCATGGTTCTGCAGTCTGTACAAGCTTGGCACCAGCATCTATCTGTCCAGCTTCTGGTGAGGTCTGAGGAAGCTTTTACTGATAGCGGAGGGTGAATGGGGAGCAGGGGTGTCACCTGGTGAGAGATGAAGCAAGAGTTAGAAGGGAGGAGGTGCCAGGTCCTTTTAAACAGCCAGCTCTTGTGTAAAGTAATAGAGCAACAACTCACTCATTACCAAGGGGAGGGCACCAAGCCATTCATGAGGTATCCAAACACCTCCCACTAGGCTCAGCTCCACCATTGGAGTCACATTTCAACCTGAGATTTGGAGGGGGTACTTATTCAAACTATATCAGTTGTTAAGAATCACCTGGAACATTTGTTAAAAACACCAATTCCCAGGTCCCTCCTGATTTAGCAGGGAGAGTCTGATTTAGTAGATTTACAGTGTGGCCCAGGCTGTTCTTATCATCAGGGGCCATGAGGAAACCCTGAGTCAATCAACTACCCATTAATTGCATTAGAGTCACTTGGGGAGATTTCAAAACTCTGAAATGCTGATCCCTGGGACCTAGTCCCAAGACTCTAATTCTGAAGAATGGAGCTGGAAGAGACTGCATTTTTAAAGCTTCTCAGATGACTCTGATGTGTAACTAAGTTCTCTCATTTTGTAGATGAGGACCCTAGGGAGGGTAAGGCATTGCTCGGAGCTACTGGCAGAAGCAGAGCTAGGACCCACATGGCCTAAATCCCTGTGCTCAGTCCACACTACCATATTCCTTCTTGTCTTGAAACTGTCCCCACAGGGTTGCTGAAAACTGCATGCCAGGTTCTAGACAGAAACAGAGTTATAATAAATCATCATTCAGGCTTCACTCCGATCCACTTCCTTCTTGCTAAGTCATGCAGCACTAGATTAACCCATTTGCATCCCCGTTGTTCATATAGACAAGACCTCTGACATTAGACTCCTAAGGCTTTTGTTTAAGGATTGCTTAAGATGTTTTTCAGATCCTGAATTCCAGCAACCCGTTTAAAGACCCCAACAGAGGAATGGGACCAGCATGAGAATACAGTTTCTTCATTTCCCTGTCCCAAGATTTTGCTCTGCCCTCTTCGACTAAACAGTGAGCACACTTCAGCCCACTCCAAAACTCTTAAAAACCCTAACTTCAAAATCCTTGAGGAAATGGATTTAAGGCTCCCTCTCATTTCCTCTTTCAGTGACCCTATGATTAAGCCTCTTTCTTTGCTGTAACCCAGTGTCTTGGTGTATTGACTTGCCTTGTGCCCTGGGCGATGAACCTATTATGGTTATAGTCTGGTCAGTCAGAGACAGTGGCTGTTTCCTCTGCCGTTGACTTTCAAATGGAGAAGTCCAAGGAATTGGATATTACACCAAGATCCAACACTAGCTCTCTGACACCAACTGGAAGTCTCACAATTCAATTCTAACATTGACTACTCTGAGTTAGTGTCAGATCCCACAAGTTAAAGGGCAAAGTCTCCAGCAAGACCGCCTTTACCTCAGATGCCAGTCACAAATGTGGTCCCCAGGATACCCACGCTTCTCTCAGATTTGACTACAAATTTGCATCTTCCCAGTATACAACCCCTCAAGTTTGATAACTTGTTAGAATGACACAGAACTCAGGAAAGCACTATACTTTGGATTACTGTTTTATTATAAAGGGCACAAATGAATAGCCAGATGAAGAGATACACAGGGCAAGGTCTGGAAGGGTCCCCAGCCTAGGAGCTTTGGTGTTCATGGAGCTGGGGTGCACCATCCTCCTGGTACATTGATACATTCACCAGCCAGGAAGCTCTGTTGCACTGCAGTGTCCAGAGTTTTTATATGGCTTTCACTGTGTTGTCATGATTGATTAAATTATTGGCCATGTAATTAAACTTAATTTCTGATTGCTGTCTCCTCCACCGAGGTTGGGGGAAAGGCTGGAGCTTCCAACCCTCCAATCACATGCTTGGTCTTTCTATTAATAGCATGACCAGCCCCTCCCTTTCAACTCTCTAAGGGCCCACCACCAGTCACATTAACGTAAGTTCAAACGTAGTCAGAAGGGTCTTGTTGTAAATAACAAAAGACACTCCTGTTGGGAAATTCCAAGTATTTTCGAAGGTCTGTCCAGGAACTGGGGACAAAGACCAGATATATTTTTTATGATATCACATGCACCTGCATCCTCCCAATCTCAGCCTCCCTTGGAACACAGCTTCTTAGATTCTCATCTTCCTGTCCCTCACCATTTACAGGGAGTAGAGCAGATTCAAATGCAGATTGAACAGCTGCTCAGCTCAAAAAAAAAAAATTCTCTTTGCCTACACAGAAACAGCCTCTGGGTTCCAGTTCTGCTTAGCCCCTTGAGCAGCATTTTCTCTCTACATGTGCATAAGGGATTTGGCTTCTGGCAGGCCAGGTCCCACCTGTAACTTGCTCATTCCAAGTAACACAGTTCAGAGAGCTCTGCATCTTGGTTAATAATACTAACTTTTGCTGGGGGGTGATGCTGGCTCACGCCGGTAATCCCAGCACTTTGGGAGGCCGAGGCAGGCGGATCACGAGGTCAGAAGATGGAGACCATCCTGGCTAACACGGTGAAACCCTGTCTCTACTAAAAATAGAAAGAAAAAAAAATTAGTCAGGCATGGTGGTGGGCGCCTGTAGTCCCAGCTACTTGGGAGGCTGAGGCAGGAGAATGGCATGAACCCAGGAGGCGGAGCTTGCAGTGAGCCGAGATTGGGCCACTGCACTCCAGCCTGGAGGACAGGGCAAGACTCCATCTCAAAAAAAAAAAAAAAAATTAGTGATAATAATACCTAACTTTTGTTTATTGCATTACTACTTTCAAAATACTTTACATTTCTAAGTTAGGCTCCACAATGAACAACGCTGTGAGACAGGCAGGAAAATGTAATAATAATTTCCTTATTTTTTATTCAACAAACAACAAGTGCTTACTGTGGATGTGCTTAGCACAATTCTAGCTACCGAGAGACAAACAGGAACAAAATGTGGTCCTTGCTCTCATCAGATTGGGAAACCATAGTTCAGATAAATGGATTGACACCTGCTCAAAGCCAAGCAGATCTTCCGACTCTTTACCTAGTGCTTTTTCTGCTACACGGTGCTAGGAGCAGGAGCCTTTCATTAGAAAAGTTTCGGGGTTAGGCTGACAAAGTGTGAGGTGTGCCAAGGGGACCTGTGCAGGACATAGTGAGTGCCTCTCTGGGGTGCACAGACCCCAGGTGGCTTTCCCGTTGTTTTAGCTTCCTGTGGCTATTATTGTAAAAAAATAAAATAAAAAAATAAAAATAAAATGACCACAAACTTGACGGTTTAAAACAACAAAAATTTGGTCTTTCCCAGCTCTGGAGGCCAGAAGTCTGAAATCAGTATCACTGGACTGAAATCAAGGTTTCAGCAGAGACCTTCAGCAGGGTTGCACTTTCCCCAGAGGCTCTCAGACAGAGTCTGTCCTCTGCCTCATCTGGCTTCTGGTGGCTGCTGGCATTCCTTGGGTTGTGGCCACATGGCTCCAGTCTTTCAAGCCAACATTGTAGAAATTTTTCCTGTTCCATATTCACTTCACCGTGTGTGTCTGTAAAATTTCCCTCTGCTCTCTCTTATAAAGATATTTCTGATGGTATGCAGGGCCCACCTGGATAATCAAAGGCTCTTTTTCCAAATAAGATAACATTTACAAGTTCCAGGGATCATTTGTGACTATTATTCAGCTTACTACACTCCTGCAAACCAAAGCACACTTTGAGAAGCAGTGATAAGCGTTTATCTTTTCATCTCCAAATGTGCTCCATGCAGAGGCCAGAACGCGGGCTCTAGAAAGAAGCATGAAAAATCCAGTCCAACACAAGTCAGGAGAGGGAAGGGCCTTTCACAGGTTACTTGTGCCAAGTTAATGGTCACAAAAGGATCTGGCCTCCTAGTTTCCAGTTTTCCAGTCTTGTGCTGTTTTGCAAAGAAGTTGAGACAGGGCAGGGACCCCTGTTGGGGGCCTGCTGGGCAATCCCCAAGCATGGAAATAAAGAGAAATTTTGAGTTCCTTCAAAGGAAACTTCAGGCACCGAGCCAGCTTTGAAAAGTAAGGGAGCAACTGATAAGCAAGAAAGCAATAATAGCCTAAAACAATAGCCAAGGAAGTTAGAGACACAGAATGTCTGGTTCCTTTATAGAAACTAAAGATAATATCTTTTTTTTTTTTTTTTTAGACTGAGTCTCGCTCTGTCGCCCAGGCTGGAGTGCAATGGCACAATCTTGGCTCACTGCAACCTCCACCTCCCGGGTTCACGTGATTCTCCTGCCTCAGCCTCCCTAGTAGCTGGGATTACAGGTGCCTGCCTCTACGCCCGGTTAATTTTTTTTTTTTTTTTTTTAAATAGAGACAGGGTTTCACCACGTTACTCAGGCTGGTCTTGAACTCCTGACCTCAGGTGATCTGCCTGCCTTGGCCTCCCAAAGTGCTGGGATTACAGGAGTGAGCCACGGTGCCCGGCCAATAACATCTTAATATGTCTCCCTGAGTTGTTTCTTAGAAACAACTTAGAAACCCAGACCTCTACCAAATGGACCCACTGGTGCACAGACCTCAGATGAGGGGGAACAAAGGACTGAAGTCTGACTATGATTCTTTATTCTAAATTTCTTCCTGAGGGGCCTGGAGGGAGCCACACCCACAGGTCAGAATTTAACGTTCCTTTCTGCTAACCCCAAGTTTTTAGATAAAGCTTCCCTTCCTTAACCAATTGCAAATCAGAGAATCTCTGAATTCACCATCCACCTGCGGCCTCACTTTGAGATGTCCCACCTTTATAGGTCAACCACTGTATTGATTTATGACTTTGCCTGTTATTTCTGCCTCCCCACCTTTAGTGGAAGCCATTGAGGAGTTCCGGTCTTAAGCAGTAGCTGCCTGATTCTCCTTGCTTAGTGACCTGTAATAAATGCCTCACCTTTTCTCATTGCAAATCCTGATGTCAATGTTTGGCCTTGCTGCACCAGGTGGGCAGACCCGAGTTTGCTTCAGTAACAAAGTTTTCCACTGAGATCCGGAATATGCACTCTTTACATATATGAGCCCCTCCCCTCTGCACTCACTCGCCTCCTGGGACTCTCTCCAAAGGCTGCTACTAGGGTGCTGATGTGAGGGCAGAGGAGATGGAGGGTGGGCAGAAGAGGTGAGCAGGAGGTCACAGCCTGGTTGGGGACTGAAAGAGGGCAGAGAGTGGACACTGTCCCTCTGGCATAGGGAAGATCCTCGGTCTGGTCCAAGGATGGTCCAGAGACCACTGCCAACTATTCCTTCCCCCTCCATCTCTAAGCAGTTCTGCAACAGACCTTCCCAAGGGAGCTGGTTCACAGCCTCCCCACAGAATCCCAGGCTGCCAAGGCTGATAAGAGCCCAGAGCAAAGGCATTGCCACGTCTCATTAGAGCCAGGCTGCAAGGTAAGGGCTCTGAGATTGCAGAGATCAGGGAGCCTTTGAAGTGCAAATTCAGAACTGCTGAAGGGCCTTGGCTCTTTAAAGGCAGATTCCTCTTAGAGACTGGTTAGATGAAAACTCTGGAAGTTTCATGTCATATAGCATAAAAGCCAAATACTAGCAGGGAGCTTGCCTGAAAGGATAAATACAACTGGAAGAAAGCCATCCTCTTTCTTAAACTAGCTGCCCCTGCCTGCATGGCTGCTAGCAGCCTAGCGATTCTCTGCCCTGCAGGCTGAGTCTCCATTCTCAATGGAGGACAATGAGTGCTCCATCATTCCTGATAGCCAACCAGTTGGCAAATCTTAGAGACTTGCTCTCTGCAATTCAATTCACATCAGTCGTTTCCTTGTACCACTGCCCTGTTTATGGTCCGCATTTACTACTCCTCATCTTTATTTTAATTACAAAAATAGCACATGCTTGTTTCAGAAGGGGCCAAGAGCCAAGGAATGGAAGGAGTGAAGTTCTAGAAGCTGGAAAAGACATGAAAGCAAGTTCTCCCCTGGAGCCATCTTGATTTTGGACCAGTGAAACTGGTTTTGGACTTCTTACTCCAGAACTGTGAGAGAATAAATGTATGCTGTTTTAAGTCACCACCTTTGTGGTAATTTGTTACAGCAGCCACAGGAAACTAATACAGGTTGTTTACAACTTTTCAGAATTATAAATATTTTATTATCTTCTAAATCTTGGTAGGAACCCGTGACTCCAATTTCCCATGGCTTCAGTCTGTCCTAAGCAGCCACTCCTCTGCTCCAGGGCCTGTAATGATTCCCCTACTGCTGGAAAGTGAAATCCAAACTCTTTAGCTCAAAGACCCTCCACAACCAGCCCCAACCCACTTTTCTAGCCTTAAAATCAGCTTTTTGTTCTATGACCACAACACTCTCCAAATGCGCTTTGTACATTCATTGCTGGCTCACAAAATTTTCTGTCTATGAAATGGTTTCCTTAGCCCTTAGCCCTTCTCTGCAGATGGCTTGAAGCTCCAGCTCAAATGAGATCTCTTCCTATTAAGGTCCCTCTTTGTCCTCCACCCACACCCAACAGGATGTTATTTTTGCCTTCAGTGAACATGCATAACACTTTGCATCTCTTTCCTGGCAAATATCAATTCCATCTTGTGTTTGAGTTATACATTTACGTATTATGTGCCTAGCACTTAAACAATTTGCTGAATTATTTGTTTATTAAATATTTGCTGAATTGAATTGAAATGTGAACTATGCTATGTAGAGAAGAAGGCCTCCTTCCTCCTTGTGTTCTACTTTGATATGGTAAGATGGAATCACCATTGATTTAACAATTTATTTTTATTTATTTATTTTTTTTTTTGAAGGAGTCTCGCTCTGTCACCCAGGCTGGAGTGCAGTGGCACGATCTTGGCTCACTGCAAGCTCCGCCTCCTGGGTTCATGCCATTCTCCTGCCTCAGCCTCCCGAGTAGCTGGGATTACAGGTGCCTGCCACCACGCGTGGCTAATTTTTTGTACTTTTAGTAGAGATGGGGTTTCACCATGTTAGCGAGGATGGTCTCGATCTCCTGACCTTGTAATCTGCCCACCTCGGCCTCCCAAAGTGCTGGGATTACAGGCGTGAGCCACTGCGCCCGGCCCAAAAATTTTTTTTTATTTTAATTATTCTGAGTGTATAATAGTTGTATAAACATAATTGATTTTAACAACAAAAGATGGTCATTAGAAATGGCCAAGTAAAGTAGGCTTAAATTATGATTCTGGTTTTTCAAACCTAATCCTTCATTTATTGCGTCTTTAGAGATGCAAGAATAAATGTGATGGCAGTTCATGAGGAAAGAACTGGAGAATATGAGCTGACCGCAAAGTCAACAGTGATTTCCCACTGTGATTCCGTTGTTGAAAACGCTAATACCATCTCAGGCTGCACTTACAAGAGTGCAAGTCCAGAACGAAGAGGACATTGCCTCATGGTTCTTTCAGATGCATCTTCTGTGGGAGATCTGATCAATGTGGTCACTGTGTTTTTCAGACCTGGTAGAGCCTCAGAATAACCTGTGAAGCTGTTAAAAAAAAATACAGACTTCTGGCTGGGTGCAGTGGCTCATGCCTGTAATCCCAGCACTTTGGGAGGCTGAGGCGGGTGGATCACCTGAGGTCGGGAGTTCGAGACCAGCCTGACCAACATGGAGAACCCCATCTCTACTAAAAATACAAAATTAGCCAGGCACAGTGGCATATGCCTGTAATCCCAGCTACTCGGAAGGCTGAGGCAGGAGAATCACTTGAACCTGGGAGGCAGAGGTTGCAGTCAGCCAAGATTGCGCCACTGCACTCCAGCCTGGGCAACAGAGCGAGATTCCATCTCGAAAAATAAAAAACAAAAGATAAACAAACAAAAAAAAATGCAGACTTCTGCATTCCACCTCCAAGAAATTCTGAATTCGTTGGTTGGGAGAAAGCCTAGGAATTTGTATTTTAACCAGTACAAATTATTGGAGGCTCACTGGTCTAAACAAAAACTCAGGTTGTTTTCAATGATGGGACTCTATTATTCAGAATATTGTGTCCAGTTTCTGGTTCCAGAGTCTCAAGCTCCCTGATTATTGCCTGTGCTGGGTCTCATCAAAATCAATCCCAAGTGTTGGTCTTTGATGCTGTACCTACTGAGAAACAAACGGAGCAACAAATCAATTGGCTAGCAGGGAAGGTCTGGGGTTTCAACTAACTGGTTATTTTTTGGTTAGTCACTGTCTTAGTCCATTTGTGTTGCTATAAAGGAATACCAGAGACTGGGTAATTTATAAAGAAAAGAGGTTTATGTGGCTCACTGTTCTGCAGGCTCTACAAGAAGCATGGTATCAGCATCTGCTTCTGATGATGCCTCAGGCTGCTTCCACTCAAGTTGGAAGGAAAAAGGGAGGCTGCATGTGCAGAGATCACACGGAGGAGGAGGAAGCAAAAGAGAACGTGAGTGGAGACGCCAGGTTCTTTTTAACAATCAGCTCTACAGGGGACTAGTTGGGCAAGAACTCATTCGTTCCCCTCTACCCCTGTCTCCTGAGGGGCATTAATCAATTCGGGAGGGACCCACCCCTGTGACTGTAACACCTCCCATTAGGCCCCACCTCTAACACTGAGGATCGCATTTCAACATGAGGTTTGGGAGACACAAATCCAAACTATAGCAGTCACTTAATGCACTAAGCCTCAGTTCCTCCATCAGGAATGTGGGCTGTAATTCACAAGCTCCAGCCACGTGACTGATTTCAAAGAGAGGAATGAAACAGGCCTAGACTATTATGACAGCAGAGGAGCCACCAAAGACAAAAATACCTCAGTGTTACCAGTAGTCTTGTGTGTGTGGTGGTGATAAGATCCTCAAGTGACCGTGGCGCGGGTAGAACTGGTACCTTGTCTGAGTTGATCCTATATTCTAGAAGGAGATCTGAATGATTCAAAGCAGTTACATTGCCCATAACCCTTCCTTCACCCCAGAGGCAGAGCCATTCCCACCGCCTGCGGTGGAAGCAGTGGAAGTGGTGGGGAGAGCCAAGGCCATGGGTCACAAGGCTCTGCCCCTGTCACACTGTCCATCCTGATTTCAGAGATTTACCGCTGGCACCTACATTAACAAAGCCATTGGAAGAGCCCAGTCCAGACAGATGACCAGGAGGAAGGAATCATTTCTCAGCCTTAACGCTATTTGTTGATCTTGTGCCCACTGTCATTAACCTCTGAGAGTGAAAGCAGGCTGCTCCATTACATTTTCTGATCACCCACTTTATGGCATCGTTAAAATTAATAGAGCACTCATCTCAGCACATAACGAGCAGACCGTGTTGAGGAGGCAGTGTTCCTGGAAAAATACTGGCAGAGGCCCCGAGTGTATGTTCACTGTCAGCGTGGTACAGCCCGGGCCCAGGTCCCACGCAGGTGCTGAGAACAGCTGGGAACCTTAGCTAAGACAATTGTACTGTTAAAATGGGCACTATGCATTCTCAGCCCCATTGCTCCTTGGTAGAAGGCACTGCTGAGCTGAAGCAGTACTTGGAGTCAGAGAGGAGAAAATAAGACAATTTGCACACTGATTTCTTTTGGGTTAAAGAGGAAGTGGAGGGTTTCTGTTTGGGATGATAGAAAAGTTCTGGAAATGGATGTTGGTGATGGTTGCCCAGCATTGTTCAATATACTTAACACCACTGAACTGTATACTTAAAAACGGTTAAAAGTTTTCTGGGTAACTTTTAAGTTATATGTGTTTTATCACAATTTTTTTCAAAAAAGAAAGTGGGTCAGCTCATTCATAGACAAGGTTGAAGGTAGCTAAACACTTGCCACTATGTTCCTTCTTGATTTTAAATGTCACACTGAACACATAACCCTCTGACCTCTTGGTAGAGTTGACTTATCTTGGGAACAGTGACAAAAGCTGCCTCTTATTGTAGGGACCATACATGTGCTTTTGCTGATTCTAATTATGGGGCATTTGAGAGCAAAGGGGGCTTCTCCAAACACTTGAGTAATTTTCAGAAAGGCTTGAACCCTGGCTGGGTGCGGTGGCTCATGCCTGTAATCCCAAAACTTAGGGAGGCTGAGGCAGGCGGATCATCTGAGGTCAGGAGTTTGAGATCAGCCTGGCCAACATGGTGAAACCCCATCTCTACTAAAAATACAAAAATTGGCCAGGTGTGATGGTGTGCGTCTGTAATCCCAGGTACTCGGGAGGCTGAGGCAAGAGAATTGCTTGAATCTGGGAGGCAGAGATTGCAGTGGGCCAAGATGGGGCCACTGCACTCCAGCCTGGGCGACAGAGACAGACTCTACCTTAAATGAGAGAGACAGAGAGAGAGAGAAAGGCTTGAACCCTTTTTAAGACAGGAGTAATACAGCATAGTTGCAGGACAATAGAAAATTCCAGGCAACAGTTTTACATGACTAGCAAAAGGAAACTATTAAAATAGCTGCAGAAGCTAGGAACGGCTAAGACCCTGAAAAACCAGCGTGTGCACCAAGCTGGCTAAGACTGACTGGACCAAATGTGGTGCTGGACTTGAGCCAGGTTTCACCTAGGACCTCACCTTCTGCTCATTAACATCCTAAATCACACATTCACCAGTGCCATAACAGTTTCAGGAACAACCATATTTGGTGTAAAAATGGGCAGCACCACAATTCCGAGAAATCTCCATGTTTTTCTAGGAATTTTCATGAATCTTCTACCCCTTGGTTAAAGAAAACTATAAAGGCAACAGCCCCAAACCCCCTTGGTGGATCTCTCTCTTGAGTACACCTGCATCCCCTTTTTATGAGTGTGTGCTATTCTCTTTGCAATAAATCTCTGTACTTTCACTAATATTTCCCAATTCATCTTTGAATTCATTCTTAAAATGGTGTCAAGATCCTGGACACTGGTTGGGGTTGAGGTTCCAACAGCATTTGGGGACCTCCCCCAGACTACTAGTGTCACTTTTATCCTCTGAAAGATAGATAAAAAAGCATTTGTCCCTGGCGTAGACCATCCTATTTTTCCTATGGAAATAATAAACAATTCATCCTAGTTAGTATAGATAATATATTGTTTCTACGCCAACTCGCCATTTGTCTTTCTCTTCCAGAACTGAATACTTCAATAGAGTGCTGGACTAGGAAAGGACTTTTGAATTTCTGGCCCAGATTCACATCCCTCTGTTAAATTAAGTTTAGCCTAAAGCTGCCTCCTTACATATTTTAACGTCAGCCTAAAGGTTTCTCCACACATTGTGAACTATTACCTAACTGGACGTGTGACCAGTCAGGTACTACTCTTTTGCCAGTCACCAAGTTTTGGCCAATCAAAGATAGCCAGCTATTCAAACCATGTTCAAATAAGGCAAACGCTGAGCTCTAACCAATCCAGCTGTTTCTGTACCTCACTTCCATCTTCTGCACATCACTTTCCTTTTTCTCTCCATACATCCTCTGCAACCACAGCAGAGTCTCTCTGAACCTACTGAGGTTCAGGGGACTGCCCAGTTCATGCATTGATTTGCCCAACTAAAACTCTGTTAAATGTAATTTGTCTAAAGTTTTTCTTTTATCACCTCTGCCATATTTAGGCCTCTGAATGTCTTCACCATCCAGAGACAGATAAAATGTAAAGACTGAAAGAGGCCTGAAGTGTCCACCTCTATGAAACCCCGTGCAATGCCTGTCAAATGGTCACGGTCTTTGGTCAGACACCTCTGGCCTGGCTTTCTCTTTGAGAAAAGTCACACCCTGTAACTATTACTCATCCTACATCCTCAGAGAGCCTGCCGACATAAATAAGAACTCAGACATAAATTAGGTTTCAGACACCAATAGATTTTTTAAGTATCTTCCACCAATCTCTGTATCTCTACTGGCTTTAGATTGGGTTATTTTAATCTTCCAGGAAGATGTTTGTAGGTTCAGAAATTTCAGATCAATTCACGTTTTCTACTTGCAGTTTCTAGCTCGAAATCACGTATGGAAGCTGAGTCACCTCCGTTTCTCCTGGAGCCCGAGCTGGCTGTCACCGAGACCTTGCTCATTATGCAGACTCATTCACATGCATACCCAAAGCAACACTTGACGGTTGTGGAAGATTTCCATCCTCACAGGTCATGAAATGCGTCTCCACTGGAATACTGGTTGTTTATCACCTACACTAACGATTTACAATGGCCTAAGTGTTGTATTCCTAGTGACTGTAGTCTGAATCAAAAACTCCTGCCCTGAAGCAAGGACAACTTCTTTATTCACATGGAGAATGATAGCAGGGAAAAGGCAAAAATTTAACAATAACGAAGAAAAATCCCTCTTTTTCTATGTGCAGAATAAAAATCTTATTAAAATAAGACCTTTCAAGTGCTTCCTTTCACTGTTCATTTGGGAAGGTATTTCACAGACGGTATGAACACCCTGAAATGTTGCCCGGTCTGAAATCTTTTATCTGCAGCTTTAGAAGAACAAAGGGTAAAACATATGGAAAGGAGAAACCAGCAGTAGACGGCACAGCTAAGGACAGGGACAGGAATGCAAATTATGATTCTTGTCTCAAAATATTTCTGGTCAGTTTCTACCCACCGAGGGCCATCTCTGGGTGCAGGGTAGAGACTGCATATGGGGTGATTAAGGGCCCTGTGATTTCTTGACACCAACACAGAACTGCGAGCTTTGCAAGTCCTTGCCTTTTATCAAAGACACACTTTTTTTTTTTTTTTTTGAGACGGCGTCTCGCTGTGTCGCCCAGGCTGGAGTGCAGTGGTGCGATCTCGGCTCACTGCAAGCTGCGCCTCCCGGGTTCACGCCATTCTCCTGCCTCAGCCTCCCGAGTAGCTGGGACTACAGGCACCCACCACCATGCCCAGCTAATTTTCTTTTGTATTTTTAGTAGAGACGGGGTTTCACCGTGTTAGCCAGGATGGTCTTGATCTCCTGACCTCGTGATCCACCTGCCTCGGCCTCCTAAACTGCTGAGATTACAGGCGTAAGCCACCACGCCTGGCCCAAAGACACACTTTTAAAAGAAATGAGGAAGGTGGATTTTCATTTTTGCAAAGTCATCGTTGGGATAGGTAGAATTGTGTTTCCCCAAAGTTTGAATGTTAAAGTCCTAACCCCCAGTACTTCACAACGCAACCTTATTTGGAAAAAGGTGATTGTAAATGTAATTGATAGATGATACTGGAATAGGGTAGGCCCCTAATCCAGTATCAGTGGTGCCCTTATTAAAAAAAAGGGGAATTTGGATACAGAGACAGAGAGAAGACCTTGTGAAGACACAAGAAGATGCCATCTACAAGGAACACCAAAGATTCCCAGAAAGCCACCAGAAGTAAGGAGAGAGGCATGAAACTGATCTTCCCTCACAGCCCTCGGAAGGAACCAGCCCTCTTGACACCTTGATCTTGGACTTCTACCCTCTTGAACTGTGAGAAAATACATTTCTGTTGTGTAAACTACCCAGCTTCTGGTTTTTTGTAACGGTAGCCCTAGAAAACTAACACAGTGGTCAAACTGAAAGCATTTATTTCAGTGTATTGTTTTTGCAAAGTCGTAGAAGCTGCAATACCTAAAAGTACAATTTTATTTTCAAAGCATTATGACTAGAAATATTTCTTACTATCTTGATTTCTATTCTATTGCTCATACACACTCCTCATGCACACATGTAGATTTGTATATAATTCATAGAGTCTTTCTCTATTCCTGATTCCTTATGTTTGGAATTCCTATTCTTAGCCCTTAAAAATATTTCCAAAGACTTCCTTTCTTAGATTCCTTCCTTCCTTCCTTCCTTCCTTCCTTCCTTCCTTCCTTGCTTCCTTCCTTCTGCCTTCCTGCCTGCCTTCCTGCCTTCCTTCCTAACTTCCTGCCTTCTTACCTGCCTGCCTTCCTGCCTTCCTGCCTGCCTGCCTTCCTTCTTTTCTTTCTACTTTTTCTTTCTTTCTTGACTTTATTGCTTATTGCAGCTGAAAATGTTCTCTCACAAAGATGCACAGAGCCAGATGGAACAAAAACCTCTTTAGATGCTCATTTTCATTCCACTCCATCGATTGTGTAAAGGTTTTTGTTTAAATTGTGCTGGTAATTTTTGTTTTCTCTGATATCAAGAAGTTTCTCTTCCTAACTGATCACAAGGTGCAGTAGCTCTCCCTTATCCATGGGAGATGCTTTCCAAGACCTCCAGTGGTTGCCTGAAACCTCGGATAGTACCGAACCCTATATAGAGTATGTTTTTTCCTGTACATTTATATCTATGATAAAATCTATCAGTTATGCACAGTAAGAGAATAACAACAACAATAATAAAATAGAACATTTATAACAATACGGTGTACTAAAAGTTACATGAATATGGTCCTCTTTTTCTCAAAACGTCTCACTGTACTGTACTGCGGGTAACTAGAACCACAGGAAGTAAAACCACAGATGGTGGGGGGACTACTGGATTTCATTTTGGTGTTTTTAACAAATAGGTTAAAAACTCATTAAAACTTTTTTTGGAAGAATTTTTAACAGATTTTTTTTTGAGACAGAGTCTTGCTCTGTCGCCCAGGCTGGAGTGCAGTGGTGCGATCTCGGCTCACTGCAAGCTCCACCTCCTGGGTTCAAGCCATTCTCCTGCCTAAGCCTCCCAAGTAGCTGGGACTACAGGCGTCCACCACCACACCTGGCTAATTTTTTTGTATTTTTAGTAGAGACGGGGTTTCACCATGTTAGCCAAGATGGTCTCGATCTCCTGTCCTCACAATCTACCTGCCTCGGCCTCCCAAAGTGCTGGGACTACCGGCGTGAGACACCACGCCTGGCCCGTTTACAGATTTTTGATAGTTTAAGTGTAATAATATGAGAGTTTTTATATGTGACACACAGAATTTTTAAATTAAAAAAAAGAACACATAAACTTGAAAATGTTTCCAAATATTCACTTTCAAATTATTCTTTTCATAGCATGCATTTCTTCAAAAAGCATCTTCTCACAGATTGGCCATCTTCTTTTAAAATCTGATAGATCATCTCTGATTTTTAAAATAACTCATCATGTGGGCAGATACAGAGCCCACTTGGCAAGTAGAATAAATGTCAGGTCTTCCTTTTTCTTGATATTCTCTTGTGCTTGCATTATTATTATCTTCAATGGACTACTCAGGTTGTTTGGACATTTTCTGGGTCAGAGTTTTCTGCAGTGATGACATAGGCAATTCCTTGAAGAAACTGTTTTAAGCCACTTGTTCATTTTGTGAGGATTAGTTTAATCTAGATAACAATACCTGTAAGTGCATTTAACTGGGAGCATGTCCAGTGCAACATTGTCCAATAACCTGATAGCCTGATAGCTCATGGCTAAGTGAGGGGCTGCCATCATTATTCTTTTTTTTTTTTTTTTTTTTTTTTGAGACAGGGTCTTGCTCTGTCACTCAGGCGGGAGTGCAGTGGAACAATCTTGGCTTACTGCAACCTCCACTTCCCAAGCTCAAGTGAGCCTCCCACTTCAGCCTCTCTAGGAGCTGGGACTACAGGCACGTGCCACCACACCCAGCTAATTTCTGTGTTTTTGTAGAGATGGTGTTTTGCCACGTTGCCCAGGTCTTGAACTCCTGGGCTCAAGCGATCCACCTGTCTAGTCCTCCCAAAGCTCTAGAATCACAGGTGTGAGCCACTGTGCTCAGCCCATTTACATTCTTGATCAAATAATCTCCACTCTTCTCTTAAGATCCTGGGAACACTACATGGGTCCCATGATGATGTTTGGGACTTGCAGACTAAATGAGACCGCCAATTTAATGCATCTATTAATATTAGTCAAGTTAAACGTCTTAATTTTTGATAAAACTAAATGTAAGTGGAAGTTTTAGCATTTTCTCCAGCACTCCAATGGATCAGCGCTGGACATTCTGTTTGGGAGACCACTGATCTAGATCAAGGGCTGTTGGAAGGGCTGTGAAATTCTTTAATACTTAAAAAATTATTTAATTTAAAAAATTGACAGATAACATGATGTTTTCAAATATGTCTACCTTGTGGAATGGGAAAGTCAAGCTAATTAACATATGCATTACTTCGCATAAATCCTTTGATACTTTTTATTAGATTCTGCCATATTGCTTACTATAGCTTTGGGAAACACAGGGGCGATATGGATGGATCACCATTGTACAGTCAAAGAAACTCACAGGAAGGCACCCTGGTCACTTCCAAGATTGTGGACTACTGGGGCCATCTCTGTTTTATTACCTCTAATCACTAAGTGAGTCTTTGCCCCATTTTCTTAAGGCTGTGTTGTTCTTTTAGACTGGCTACAGTGGGGCTTCCAAAGATAAGACAGAATATCCCATAGCAAACAAGCTGTCAAGTTGGCCAGGGTGATTTGTTAGGATTTCTTTTTTGGCCAATTAAAAAATAGCTGTCAAAAGCACTACTTTGTAGGACTCATTAAGGTAATGTTCAAATTGTCTCTAATGGTTCTTTGACCATGATTAAGCAAAACAAATAACACAAAACAAAAATCTTCCTATTTCCCAGAGTCCTGGGTTTATCACAAATGCTATTAAGGTTACGAGTTTTGTCCTTTGATAAAAGAAGAACCACGTTTGGAAATTGTCATTACCCTTTATTTTTCAACACACACACACACACACACACACACACACACACTCCTACATTGGTTTGTTTCTGAGCGATGTGTAAGGGAATTAAAAAAATCCTTTGGTAAATACATATGCTAGTGTAAATGGGTAGAAGTTATTAGTTTTAAACACTTCATATAGTATGGAGTGCAAGTAACAAGGCTCCCAGCTGAAATGATTAAAAAGTGATATTGTAGAAAAAGGTGTGGTCCCAGACTTCCTGTACCAGTGTTACTTGTTGAGATTGTTCTGAATCTGCCTATTCTCAGGTTCCTCCTCCAGGATACTGACATAGCAACAACACGGATTTTTCAGGCGATTCTTAGGAACAATGGAGTTTGAGCACCATTTGGTCTAGGCTGTGTGTCAATAAAGGTATCAACTCAAGCGTGTACACACTGCAGTCTGCTGTACTGGAAATGACTTATTTATTCTACGTTCATTCACAGCTTCTGTTTATGGCATAATACCTTCTGAGAGTAGGCCATTATGACAACAATGCCTCTGTTTCCTCCAGATTCTTGGCTGTCACTATCCTGACCTACCACCTGTGTCACATCCCATTAGGTTCTGTGGATGAGGCATGGTGCTTGGCACAGACTGACACAAGTTTGGGCAAACTTGGCAGAGCAGCCTAACCCAAAGCGAAAAACAGAAATGAACCAAGATACAACCTCTGTGGAAAACCCTACTGAACAAAAGCAACTCTGTGGAGTGTCCTCTCAGCTGCAAATTGAGACAGAATTGTGGGGCAAGCTTGGCCACTGATGCAGGTGATGGGCCCGGGGCTGGGATGAACAATGGGGACAGTGATTGTTGGTTCAAAACCAGTTTCTTTGACATGCATTTCCCAGCGTGTGTTCTATAGAACACCAATCTTACCCGATGTTCCAGGACGAAAGGGTTTCATGGTTAAAACCCTCTCTTGGATATTCTCAAGTCTTTTTTTTTTTTAACTTTCCATTTTGAAATAATTACAGACTCAAAAGAAGTTGCAAAATAGTCTTGTGTATCCTTCGTCCAACTTCCCCCAGAGGGACATTTTATATAGCTGTTGTACAATGTCACCCAGGAAATTGATATGATACAGTGTCATTAACTACAGGCCTTATTCCGTTTTCAACAATTTTTACATGCATTCAGCTGTGTGTGTATGTGTATAGTTTGCTGCACTTTTATGCTGTGTGTAGATTTGTGGAACCACATCATCACAAAGTGGCTCCCTTGTACTATCCCTTTGTATTCATCCGCTCTTTCCATCCCTGTCCCCTGGCAACTCTAATCTGCTCTAATCTTTACAGTTTTGTCATTTCAAGAACATTGTATATATGGAGTTATATATGGACTCACACAGGTATGTAAAATTTTGAGATGGGCTTTTTCCACTAAGCACAATGCCCTTTAAGATAGGTCCAGGTTGTTGCATGCATCAATAGTTTGTTCCTTTATGTTGTTGAGTAGTATTCCCTGGCGTGACTCTACCATGGTTAGTTTAATCATTCATCATTGAAGGACACTTGGATTGTTCCCAGTTTGGGGTGATTATAAGTAAAGATATGAACATTCAGGTACAAGTTTTTATATGGACATACGTTTTCATTTTTCCAGAATAAATGTCCAAGAATATAATTGCTTGGTTGAATGGTAGTTACACATTTAACTTAATAAGAAACAGCCAATGCACTGTTTCAAATTCCCACCAGGCACGCATGAGAAATTCAGTTTCTCTTCTTCTTCTCCAGCATTGTTGCTGTTTTGTAGTTGTTCTAACAGGTGTGTCGGGATATCTCATTGTAATTGTAGTTTGCATTTTCCTAATAGTTAATGATTACAAATATCTTTGCATGTTCTTATTTCATCTGTATCTCCTCTTTGGTGAAATGTCTGCTCATGTTTTTGCCCATTTGATAACTGGATTTGGGGGTTGTTTTAATTGTTGAGTTTTGAAGGTTATTTATAGATTCTAGATTCTAGTCCTTTTTCAGTTTCATGTATATCCTCCCAGGGGGTAGGATGTCTTTTATTTGCTTAACCACATTTTCCACAGCACAAAAGTTTTTCATTTTGATGAACTCTGATTTACTTTGTTTTTATGGACTGCATTTTGTTGTCATGTCTAATAATCCTTCACCTAACCCTTGGTCCTGAAGATTTTCTCTTAAGATTTCTTCTAAAAGTTTTATAGTTTTACATTTAAATCTGTTTAAATACAATATATAGTCCCAGTTTTACATTTAAATCCATGATCCATCTTAGATCACTTTGAGTTAATTTCTACATAAGCTGTGAGACTTAGGTCAAGATTTATTCTCAATGCTTTTTCATATATTAAGGGCTAATTAACATTCCAAAGTCAAAGAAATGTATTTTTAAGTTTAACCCATTTCTGAAACTTGGCCACCTATTCATGCAGCCAGTATGTATAGGGCAATTTCTGTATACAAGGTACAGGGTTGGATATTGAGAAAATGGGCAGAACCTCTGTCCTCTATGAACTGGTTTATTTTTATTCATTTCCATACATATACTATTTGTTTACACAACACCCTTGGAACTGTGTTTTGTGCAAATATTACTGAAATACCAAGGATTTGGTCTAGATTCTGCAGCTTGCTACACAGAAAGCCAGAGACCGAGAGCCAATGACTGAGACTATGAGTATTGCCAAGGAAGAAGGCTTTAATCGGGTGCTGCAGCTGAAAAGATGAGAGCTCAGCCTCAAATCCATCTCCCTGACCAACTAAAGCTAAGGATTTATATAGCAGGGAAGAAGACAGGAACTAGGAAGGGGCAAGGAAGCGATCCTGATGAATGAAGGGTCAGGCATTTCATTGTCTGGATGTGGCGATCTGGTGAGTTTCAGTTCTTTGATACTTTTTTGGGGAGGTTGAAGGTCATTTCCTGAGGAAGGAACTCCGATAAAGCAAATGTAGTTTCAAGTTTTAAGACCAGAAGGGTCAATCTCTGTGTTTATCCAAAAAACTACCTATGGGAGGATTGAGTTGGTTTCAGAATTCTTTAGGAAATTCTGCTCAAGGCAGCAGACAAACAAAGAGACTGTCAGGTATCAGTGGAAGCAAAGAGAGATGCAAAATCAGAATGGTACACAGGCAAGAGTCAGGATCTGTTAGCAATCTGCAGTCAAAAGCCAGGAAGGCAGACAGAGGAAGAGGGCTCGGGAGCTGGAGGGAGAGTGCCAGGGATCAGACATGTCTGATGGGCTTTGATGGTCAGTGCCTAGTCCAGTTTTTAAAGATCTGAGGGCCTTTTTCTTTCCTTTTTATTTGCTGGGCAATGCAATGTTAGTGTCTGGCAGGAACCAGTTAGGTTTATATACACACACACACACATTAAAAAAAATTTTTTTTAATGCAAGGAGGCTTCCTTGTCCATACTAGTTTGGAAGCAAAAACATATGGTCACAGCAATACTCACAATACATGTCTCTGGCATTTCCAGCTGCCCCACACCCTGTGAAATCATGATGGAAGTGTCTATGTGTTGCCTGTGCTCCATGCCTCTTCCCAGTGACCTGAGGAATGACCCCTTTACTCTTTCCTATTCCAGCTCACACTGGTCACACCTGGGACTTCCAACATGAATGCTTTTGTCACGGATGCTGCGCTGCTGCTGTTTCTGGTTCTTACTCTGCTTACACCAAGGAGACTGATGTCCCTGCTATAACCCCACTTCCGATGCAGACAGCAATTCCAATGCATTGCAGCTTTCAGGATTTTCTCACTGTGTTTTTGCCTCTCCTTTTCTTTAAGACATGAGCATTTGTCTACGGGGATGGCCTGAAGTGTAGTCTCCATTACCCAGAGTCATCTCACTCTCTGACCTTGACTCATGATCTGAGAACAAGTGCTCCCCTGCTTGTCTTCCTGAGGGGCATCTGTCCCTCTTGCAAACAGATTTCCTTTGGGCTCTGTCATTTAGAAATGCCCTTATTTATCTGAATTATAGTTCCAGTTCAGAACATTTACAAAGGAACAGATTGCTCCCAATTTTAAAGCAGGTAAATTCTAAAAGTTGGCAAGCCAGTCATTTAGAATTTGAGCCTCATATTCCATAGGTATGAAATTATACATAATGAAAAAGTTCCCAGGGCAGCCCACAAAAAGCCTACTTATCCAAAATAAAGCTAACCTGAGTTAATTCAGCTCTATGGCCTAGCCACATTCAGCAATGTGTTTCCATTAGAATGCATGTCTTATATCAACTGGGAAGCCAAGAAGGCAGTTCAGAACTGAACTGAAATCTATCCTGTGTTGGAATTTTATAGCCAGATATCAGTTAACCAGGCCCCAGTGAGTGGAGAAATCTTGGATTTAGATTCTCATGAAATTCTTTATCAAATCCTGGGATCTTCCAAAAGACTGTGTAAAATTATAATTTAATTCTGCAGAAGTAGAACCTCAATTGGATATCATCCACAAAAGCACTGCAATGTCTATCTTTTTGGGATCATGTCAAAGATCCTAAATCCATGCTTACTTTGGCAGAAAGTATTAGTGTTTAGTTCATTAGTAATTGGCACATTGGAATGATATAGAGAAGATTAGCACGGCCCTGCACAAAGATGCCGTGCAAATTTGTGAAGCTTTCCATATTTTTATTGCATTTACTCCATCATATGTGGGAGCTAAAAGAAGGTGATCTTACAGAGGTAGAGAGTAGAACGTTTACTAGCAGTTAAGAAGGACATGAAGGTGGGGGAATGAAGAAAGGTTGGTTAGGGGTACAAACATATAGTTAGAAAGAATAAGTTCTAACGTTAGATGGTAGAATAGGGCGACTGCATTACATATTTTGAAAATAGCTAGAAGATAGGACTTGAAATGTTCCCAGCACCTGGAAATAAATACTCCAGCTGGATACCCTGATACCCTGTCTTGATCATAACACATTCCATGCATGTAACAAAACATCACATATACACCATGAATATGTGAAAATATTATGTATCAATTACAAAAAGATACTAAATCAAGAAGGAATGCAGGCACCGCTGTTGGAGGTGGCCCTGGCATCTGGTGATGAGTAGTAGACAGAGAGACGCAGGCGGGACATAAGAGAGGCCGCAAACTGTAGGTACCTGATTCAGGAAGCCGTTTTGATCCATTGTGAATGTAATTAAGTTGTGTTTTCTGTTCCGAAAGGATAGCCGTCCCTTCGCCATTTGTCTATTCCCCATTTTTCTGTACTAATGTTTCCTTATCTTACACTGAACAGGCGAACAGGCTATTAAATAATACAAGGAAGAAAACATGAGGGATTGTCTTTAAAAGTGATCAAACGGCAAAGGGGATTCCTGACCAAAGCGAAAGAGGAATGGAGTGACACCTGCTATGTGCCAGTCACTGTGCTGTGTCTTTTTTTCTTTTCTTTTTTTCTTGTTTTTTTTTTTTTTTTTTTTTTTGAGACGGAGTCTCGCTCTGTCGCCCAGGCTGGAGTGCGGTGGCGCGATCTCAAGCTCCGCCTCCCGGGTTCACGCCATTCTCCTGCCTCAGCCTCCTGAGTAGCTGGGACTACAGGCGCCCGCCACCACACACGGCTAATTTTATGTATTTTTAGTAGAGATGGGTTTCACCCTGTTAGCCAGGATGATCTCGATCTCCTGACCTCGTGATCCACCCGCCTCGGCCTCCCAAAGTGCTGGGATTACAGGCGTGAGCCACCGCACCCGGACTGTGCTGTGTCTTTTCAACTGCCTTTCTTTATCCATTCTCATTAAAAACACACACACACACACACGAAATGCATATTGTTATCCCTACTTAATTGACAGAAATGGAAGCCCGGTGGGTTACAGTAGACTGAGAGCCTTTAGTCAGCAAGTAAGGGCCATTGCAGGGATTGAAACCCAACTTCTGACTTCAGAGCGACAGTTTTCCCGCTGCTCCGCAGCACCTTCTACCACTGAAATAGAGCATTTCCATGTCACCCCCTCTAGAAACAAAAACATTTTACTCAATTGTTTTTCAACCAGGAAATAAAAATATTCAAAAAGCAAAGATGACCCCATTTCCTCTTAACTATATTTAATACAGGGACAGTGATAAGAGAACACAGTAGATTTGGCATTAGCTAGACGAGGCTGGTCAAACTGAATTAGAAGGGCACAGTTTGTTGACAGCCGCGATAGACAGTGGGTTCTGTGAAATGGACCCCAAGCCAGTTAACACTGATGGGGAAGAAGCCCACCTGCTCGTGAGACTTTGCGTGGGGCCCGGCTCAGTGCCTTAAATAAGGGATCATTATGTATACAATCTGATAGTAGAAAGAAGGAAAAAAGCCCTGTGCTGTAGAAAAAGTGTTTAAGCTTTTTAGATTACATAACGGGAGCTATAACATCCACTCTGGTGGCACAAAAATTAAATCTAGCCACCAAATCATATCAAAGCCAAAATACAGAATACAGGTGTGCTTCTCGTGAGAAGATCCATACGCACAAAATCTAATCGCGTTCCAGCTCAGCCTCACCGATACCCGCTCCCGCGATCCTGTTTCTGGTGCTGCATGACAAGCTCCCCCTAGTGGGAAGCAGGGACATTTCAGCATCCATGCTCAGCTGATTCAGAACAATAGAAATGTCTCAAGGTTTCCATTTTTTTTAAATGCTGCTTTAGTTGGACAGTGAGCAAAAACTGGAGCCAAAACCAGTGGATTTTCATGGCATGCAGGTAACAGTGGGACTTTTCACCCTCCCCTCGTGTTTATGCTCAGGAAATCCTAAAAGGACACACCCTGTAAGTGCAGGGATGTCTGAACAATCCCGTTCATGCCTATGCACACATCAGTCTCTCTCAATCCCTTATCTCCAATAGGAACCAACAATAAAATGTATCCTAGGTTGTCGCAAACACCGTATGTGGTGCGCATAATCGGAAGGTCCCTTCCTTTTTTTTTTTTTTTTTTTGAGACGGAGTCTTGCTCTCTGTTTCCCAAGCTGGAGTGCAGTGGCGCAATCTCGGCTCACTGCAAGCTCTGCCTCCCGGGTTCACTCCATCCTCCTGCCTCAGCCTCCCGAGTAGCTGGGACTACAGGCGCCCGCCACCACGCCCGGCTAATTTTTGTATTTTTAGTAGAGACGGTGTTTCACCGTGTTAGCCAGGATGATCTCGATCTCCTGACCTCGTGATCCGCCCGCCTCGGCCTCCCAAAGTGCTGGGATTACAGGCGTGAGCCACCACGCCCGGCCTTGGAAGGGCCCTTCTAATGCTGCTGACACCTGACTTAGTTGGGTAGAACCCCAGCTTCACATCTGCTTTGCTTTCTGCTTTACTGATAGCCTTTGTGTGCACTCAAAGGGCTGCTGACAAGATCTGTCCAGTGACATTTTTATGTGCCCTTTAATCTTATTTTATTAACAGGTCAACAACCTTAACCAAGAGTAAGGAAGCCACTTGCTCCAAGTCACAGTAGAAGGTTGAGCATGTGACTATTACCAAGAGGAAGTGGGGACACAAGTGACGCCATGTTGGAGGCTAATTTGCTGTTTTCACTTCTGATTAGCCGTTGTCTCGGGAATGCCTTCTGATTATTACTTAATTTACTGTCCCTAATGTAAGAACATGTCAACCTCGATGCTGTTGCACAAATTATAGGCTTTGATGCATGCAGCATTCTTGCCTCTTCTGGAGGGTAGTCTTTCATTGTCTTGCACAGGGCACACATACCCTTTCCCTATGCTATATAAGCCCTGGTTCTGGGGGTAACAGGTGCAGAGATCTACCTGTATTGCTGCCGCTAAAGACCATGCTTCCATCTGTAAGTTTCCCCAGTAAAACATCCTTTATCAACAAACTGGAGTTGTGTGGCTTGTTCTTTGGTTTCTTGGCTCTTTTGGCCTTTGGGGGCTACTTTGCATATATGACCGTTTCACGGAGCGGGCATTTTCCCGTGATATCCAGCTGGCTGCTGCCACTGCCATAGAGCAACTCTGCGAGAGAACTCGGCCCCCTCTCCCTTCAAGTGTTGAAAAGAGCAAGAAGTACAGGCTACTCCATAGGCCCAGTGCCCAAGGCCCTGATGGAGCTATCCAATTCTCACTGTTAGCCTGGGCACCCTCCAGGACACCAAACATTCTGTACTTAGGCAGCCCTCAAGAAGAGGCAGTAGAAGAATTAAGCACACTTTCCAGGTTAAAAACTCCTTGTGTTGCAGATCTCAGGACAGGCCGAAGCTCTTCTGGGGAGTATTTATCCCCATTAATGCATTGTCATCAAGATGGGGTGTATAACCTACAAAGAAAGTCATCACACAGTATCCAGCTGCCATAGAAAGAAAATCGATTGTGTTGCATGGATTTGTGCAATATAAATATTTCTTGAAAGAAAGAAATAATGAACGATTACGTCACTAGTTTTTAGGCATTGATTTTTGAGAATTTGTATATGTAGAAGTTGAGTGTTCTGAAATTAGTACATTGTGAATGGGGAAGGAGTCAACTCGCTTAAGGAAATATAATAGCTGCATGGAGCTGGAGACAGAGTAGGATGAGGCAAGAAGAAAGGCCTGGAGCAGGGCCAGGACTGTGAGACCCACACTTGGTGCTTTTTTTTTGAGATGGAGTCTCGCTCTGTTGCCAGGCTGGAGTGCCGTGGCGCGATCTTGGCTCACTGCAACCTCAGCCTCCCGAGTAGCTAGGACTACAGGCATGCGCCACCACACCCAACTACTTTTTCTATTTTTAGTAGGGACGGGATTTCACCCTGTTGGCCAGGATGGTCTCTTATCTCCTGACCTCGTGATCCACCCACCTCGGCCCCCCAAAGTGCTGGGATTACAGGCTTGAGCCACCGCACCTGGCCCACTTGGTCCTTTTAACAGGGACCTCCTAGGGCCTAGGGGATGGGATTAGCTCCAGACCTCACTGTATCCAAATGTCTCTCCACCGTTAGGGAGAGAAGAGAGGAAGGCAGAGAAGGCCTGAACAAGCCTGGCTGGGGAGGGCTCCCAGAGTCCTTGTGACAGAGATGACTCTACCCACACTTGGGAGACTGATGTGTCAGGAAAGCATGCACAGGTAAGTGAGATGCTAGGTCAACGAATCAGCAAAGAGAGTCGGAAGGGAATCTAGGAGTTGATGTGGAAAGCCATGGTGTCAAACCAGAGATTACGGCCTGGGCTCAGAGTGTCTGGAGGGTGAGAGGGCAGTGCTGGCCAACTACACAGACCAGGCATTGGAGCCAGTGATGGCCTAGGTGTGCTGGCTGCAGCCCAGCTCAGGGCTCAGGGGAAGCTGGCTGCATTTAAAGGACTGAGGCACTGCAAAATGTTACACCCCTAAACTGTGGAGATATTGGCCAAAGCTCCTTTCAGGAGTGGCAAGAGCTGTGTGTCTGAACCAGTCCTAGTACTGGCCGTGATCCTGACAACGTGTTCACGTGTGCTCTTAAGTTAAACCAATCTACAGAGGTCATCCGGAGTGTTGGCTTCATTCCCTCCTTACCCCACACAATCCCCCTAACGCTTTGCAGAATAGAGACCTCTCAAATACTGTAAAAAGAGGTATGTGAATTTGGGTTAGCCCAATTGGTTTTGTGGTTTCTGTTTGGTTGGGCTGTCAAGAATTTGTTCTGTTGGGTGTGGTTGGGTGACAGAGTTGTTAGTTAACCAGACCTGAGAAGAGGAGGGAGCCATGTACAACCTGCCTAGCACTAGTAGTTGGCATTAAACCCTAGAGAGGTTCCCATTTCTCTCAAGTGGAGTCTTATTAGGTACATCTCTCCATCCCCCCTACTCCACCTCCTTGAATACAGAATAAAGGTACACATTTATAGGCTCCCAGAGGGCAGGGACCATGTGATGTAATCCTTTATATCCAGTGTTAGATACTGTCTAATATGGTAGCCTCTAACCCCTTCAGAAAGAGCTACCCTGAATTGAGATGTGCTGAATTTTGAAGACTCAACATGGAAAAAATAATGCAAAACATCTTATCAGCATGTTCTTACATTAATTATGTTGGAATAATATTTTGGTTAAGGGAAACATATTATTAAAAGTAATTTCTTCAGTTTCCGTTTACTTTTTTTAATGTGGCTACTCAAAAATTTAAAACTCCATACGAGGCATGAATCTTCTGATAGGTAGCACTGTTTAATACCTTCTCTGGTGGCAAATCCAAAACACAGATCTTATATAATTTGGATAATAAACCCCCTTCAGTCACCAGTGAGCCCACACTGATAAAAGAAAGAAACTGATCGCAGAGCCGCCGAGATCCCAACCCAATTAAACACTGGCCTTTCTTCCTTCTTTTCACAGCCAGTTAGGAAAGAAATTACTCAGAGGCCCGGCCGCCCATCGTCTGAGATGTGGGGAGCGCCTCTGCCCCGCCGCCCCATCTGGGATGTGAGGAGCGCCTCTGCCCGGCCGCGACCCCGTCTGGGAGGTGAGGAGCGTCTCTGCCCGGCCACCCCGTCTGAGAAGTGAGGAGACCCTCTGCCCAGCAGCCACCCCGTCTGAGAAGTGAGGAGCCCCTCCGCCCAGCAGCCACCCCGTCTGAGAAGTGAGGAGCCTCTCCGCCCGGCAGCCACCCCGTCTGGGAAGTGAGGTGGGGGGGTCAGCCCCCCGCCCGGCCAGCCGCCCCATCCGGGAGGTGAGGGGCGCCTCTGCCCAGCCGCCCCTCCTGGGAAGTGAGGAGCCCCTCTGCCCGGCCAGCCGCCCCGTCCGGGAGGGAGGTGGGGGGTCAGACCCCCGCCCGGCCAGCCGCCCCGTCCGGGAGGTGAGGGGCGCCTCTGCCCGGCCGCCTCTACTGGGAAGTGGGGAGCCCCTCTGCCCGGCCACCACCCCGTCTGGGAGGTGTGCCCAACAGCTCATTGAGAATGGGCCAGGATGACAATGGCGGTTTTGTGGAATAGAAAGGGAGGAAAGGTGGGGAAAAGATTGAGAAATCGGATGGTTGCCGTGTCTGTGTAGAAAGAGGTAGACATGGGAGACTTTTCATTTTGTTCTGTACTAAGAAAAATTCTTCTGCCTTGGGATCCTGTTGATCTGTGACCTTGCCCCCAGCCCTGTGCTCTCTGAAACATGTGCTGTGTCCACTCAGGGTTAAATGGATTAAGGGCGGTGCAAGACGTGCTTTGTTAAACAGATGCTTGAAGGCAGCATGCTCGTTAAGAGTCGTCGCCACTCCCTAATCTCAAGTACCCAGGGACACAAACACTGCGGAAGGCCGCAGGGTCCTCTGCCTAGGAAAGCCAGAGACCTTTGTTCACTTGTTTATCTGCTGACCTTCCCTCCACTATTGTCCTATGACCCTGCCAAATCCCCCTCTGTGAGAAACACCCAAGAATGATCAATAAAAAATAAATTAAAAAAAAAAAAAAAAAAAGAAATTACTCAGAGGAAAATCTTAACAATTTCTATCAAATGAAAATCTTGTCTCAGACCCAGACTGACTTTCATTCAATCCATTCGCTGAAATTTGAGCATCTAACTGCAGCCTGCCGGGGATCGTCTAGCTGAGACAGGGATCCTTCTGGAAAGAATAGACACAGTCTCTGGGTGCTTCTAGCTTCTGGCCCTGTTCCCTCAAAAGGTCAGTTTCAATCTCAGACTACACAGGTCATGTGCTAGAACGCCTTCTCCCTGTGTTCCCCCAGGGCCCTGGTCAGCCCAGCAGAGCCTGAGTTGTAGGTCACAGTTCCAGCCATTGTTGATTCTTAGCTGTGTCGAAGCCGTAGTTAATATTGATCCTGAAGACTTTCTTTTTCTACATCACTTTGTGCTTGACGGTGATTAAATGGAAGACTTATACCATCAGCAAATTGGCTTTCCACACCTCACAAACCAACTCACACGCTTACTCCCAATCCTCATGAATACCGAGAATTTCTAATTCTCGAAGTCGGCTGGCATTTCAGGCCAGGATCCGCCGGAGCCTCCATCTACGGCCTAGTGAGAATGGCCTGTTTGCCTAAGAGGATTAAGTGGAGGGCAGCCAGCTAAACTTCCACAGAGACGTTTTAATGACTTCAGCTCTAATCGCTTCCTAGGCCTCATCAGCCACCACCAGTCATGACTGGGCTTTTTTAAGACGGATGTCACTAATCTGTTCCACTCCAAGGCCGCCAGAGCCCCTCTCTTTGTTGTCGCTTTTACTCCCCCTTCGCAGGCTCCACTTGTACTCTTTTGAATAATGTAACCCCCCTGCCCCCAACTCCTCATACCTCTCAACCTGCCTCGCTCATCTCACCAGTTTGACCTTCTCCAAGAATTCTGGACAGAAAGTAGAACCTCATTCACAGGCTTACCTCATCATTTTGGAATAACTTAACTAAATGGAACATTCACTCACAAAAGGAAACTTACATTTCAGGTCCTGGTGCTGTAACTCGCCCCTTTAATCCCAGCACTTTGGGAGCCCAAGTGGGAAGACTGTTTGAAGCCAGGAGTTCAAGGCCAGCCTGGGCAACACAGCAGGACCCTGTCCCTGCAAAAAATTTAAAAATTAGCCAGATGTGGTGACGCGCACCTGGAACAGATTAGTTCCAGCTACTCAGGAGGCTGAGGCAGGAGAATCACTTGAGCCCAGGAGTTTGAGGCTGTAGTGAGCTATGATTGTACCAATGCACTCCAGCCTGGATGACAGAGTGAGGCCCTGTCTCTAAAAAGTAAAAAAAAAAAAAACTTAAAAAAAAAAAAAGAAACCTGCATTTGATTGGAGGAAGCAGAGAAAATATTTATGAGCAATTTCTGGCCCCAGTTGTCTATGACTTGGAAAACCTGTTTACCTGCAGTTCACCTCTTGATGCTGATTTAACTTCTTTTGCCCAGTGTTTCTAACATTCAGCTAGATCCAAAGACCATGATCAAAACTCAGTTTTCTCATGGTGCCCTTTTGTATTTTTGAAATCTTTAAATTATTTTTCTTTTATAATAGAGCTACCTTTACTCTCTGGTCAAGGAGCTGTTAGAGTGTGTGTCACTTGCAAAAAAAAAAAAAAAGAAAGAAAAAAATGGTAATTACAGTGTCAATATTTTAAAAAATATTTTGGCACTAGGCTTATTCCTAAAAGTCGTCTACTGTTTTGTGAGTCCTGTGTGTGCACTGTCCAGTTTTGGCATTACTGTTATGTTGGCTTTATAAACAACATTAGACATGTTGATTTTCCTTAGAAAAGTTTTAAAAGTACTAGAATAATCTCTTTCTTAAAATTTTTAAATTTAAAATTTCATTTGTGAAATGACCTGTGTCTGGCATTTGGATAAATTATTCACTTCATGTATATTCATTCCTTAGGTTTTCTAATTTATTTGCATAGTTAAAAAGTGTTTTCTCTGTCTTTCTGTTATTTCCCACCCTCCTTTCTAATTGTATGCGTTTGTATTTTGCCCCTCTTTTTTTTAGGATATTAATGGTTTATCTGTTTTATTTAAAAGCACCAGGACTTGGATTCATTTATTTTTCTGCCAAATATCCATTTTTTAATTTATTCACTTCAACTCCCAATTTTTATTTCTTCATTTTGTTTTTTCATAATTATGTTCTTTTTCAAACTTAAGTTGAATCACTAATGCATTATTTTGATTCTTTGTATTTATTAATGCTAACTGCTTACGCCTAATAATTTTCCTCAAAACATTGCTTTAATCATGTCCTCAGGTTATGAAGTACAGCTGGCAAATTTATTCACAATTATTATTGTGTCATAGTTTTTTTTTTTTTTTTTTTTTGAGATGGAGTTTCGCTCTTGTTGCCCAGGCTGGAGTGCAATGGCGTGATCTCGGCTCACTGCAAGCTCCACTTTCCAGATTCAAGCTATTCTCCTGCCTCAGCCTCCCGAGTAGCTGGGATTACAGGTGCCCACCACCACGCCCAGCTAATTTTTTGTATTTTTAGTAGAGATGAGGTTTCACTATGTTGGCCAGGCTGGTCTCAAACTCCTGACCTCAGGCGATCCACCCGCCTCAGACTCCCAAAGTGCTGGGATTACAGGCATGAGCCACTGCGCCTGGCCTATTGTCTAGATTTTCTGCATAAATGTGCTGTGCTCTTTGCCCTGAAGACCTACCTACTTTCATTTTTTGACTTTCCCCTCTTTTGTGGTGAGCAGGGCTGATAGAGGGGTTGTTTTTGAACACACAGATGGGCTGTCCAAGGGTTTCTTCCTATGACATCTACATATCCTAACATTCTGAAATGACAAGCTGTATTAGTCTGTTCTCATACTGCTAATAAAGACATACCCAAGACTGGGTAATTTATAAAGGAAAGAGGTTTAATTGACTCACAGTTCTGCAGAACTGGGGAGACCTCAGGAAACTTACATTCATGGCAGAAGGGGAAGCAAACATGTCCTTCTTCACATGGTGGCAGGAAAGAGAACTGCAGAGCAAAAGGGGGAAATCACCTTATAAAACCATCAAATCTCATGAGAACTCACTTACTATCACGAGAACAGCATGGAGGTAACCGCCCCCATGATTCAATTACCTCCCACTGGGTTCCTCCCATGACAAGTGGGAATTATGGGAACTACAATTCAAGATGAGATTTGGGTGGGGACACAGCCAAACCATATCACAAACTTAAGAATACCACGATAGCAATGTTTTGTTTTTGTTGTTGTTGCTGTTTCCCCCTCCTGTTTCTTCTGGGAATATAAACCTAATTGTTCCAAGCATAACACTTTGGGTTGGATTTCATAGAATCCTTTCACCTACTTTCAGAGATGTTAACATCCTGCAGTAGATGTGGTGAGCACATGTTTCATTCATTCATTCATTCATTCACCAACAGTTACTGAGTGTCAAGTGCTGGTCTGACTAGGTATTTCTTGCCCTTGTTAATTCTCACTCAGTCAGATCCAAATATTCCTCAGGATGGTTTGCAGAGCTATAGATATGATTTTCTGTGTGTTTCAGAAAAGGAAAGTGACAGATAGCAATTTATCCCACCATCTGTTATTGGATGTGTCAGTAGTTAATTTTTTGAAGACTATTTGAAAAGTGTTTTAGACGCATGGAGCTCATGTGAAACTGAAGCTTGGTTTCCAAGTGACCATCAACAGAGAAAGAATTCTCTTGATTTAACCATTTACCTAAGCCTTAACTGATCTTTCATCTCCTAAATACTATTCAGCCTTTATGCCTTTTACCTTCCATCAAGCAGGTAGAGTTTATTGGTCAGAATTACTCTGTTGAAAACATGGGCATGGACAGGCTGGAAACAAAGACAAGGGGCAGCCTTCTGCCCTTGTCTAAGGAGAATGCCCAGACTCTCAGCCCTTTGCAGACCTGACTCTGAATCTGAAAATGTGCTCAGCTTCTTTTATTCTTGCCTAAGGCTGTCTAAGGGAAGCTGGCAACAACAGCTGATGTGGAAGGTCAATAAGTGTGTCAATAAACCCCTGCCCAGACTCTTTTTTTTTTTCCCACCTGCAAAATTGCTTTGGTCAGCAGAGACCCCGACTGAAAGGGGCCCTCTGTCTTTGGGTCATGCAGTTTCTGTTCTCACCCCTGGACAAGACTAACTCCAAAGAAACAGAATCAAAACCTAATCATAAGTCACACTGGAGGCTTTACATAAAACTGGAAAATAATCAGATGGAGTCGAGCATCTCTCAGTCAGACATTTGCTTGGGGCCCACTAACATATCAATGTGATGGCCTCTTTCACCCTGTGCTGGATGCTGCAGGCTTCTAGAGAGCAGCTTGGGGACTGAGGCCAACTCTGCATTCAGGGAGGCCGAAGGCAGTGCCAGGTGAGTTTGGACACACTTTCCAGCCACCTGCCCCGTGTGACGATCCCGCGAAATGCTTCCAAGCCAGAGATCCACTTCATAGGCTGGCTTAGGCTTTTGAAATAAAACACCCGCCTGAAACAAGCATTGGCAGGTTCTATTTCAGGGATGGGGCAGAGGCAAGGACCCTGGCCTTGTCTCCATACAGCTTTAGGTGATGCAGGGTTTTTGAATTTGGCCTCTATTTCAAGCACTTTCTGAAAAAGAAAAGCATAACCAGGATAGTTCCAAGGCAGACAGTTCTTCTGTTTATTTTTTCACAGGAGCGTGTGAGAAATGGAGACAGAGGGATTGGAGAGATGAAGATGGGGGATCCGTGGTCTCTGAAGCCCCCAATGCTTGTGTGAGGGTGAGAGCTCAGGTGCGGGACAGCCTGGACATGGGGAAGGGCTTTCCTCTACATAAATTACTGGGGGATCTAGAAATGACTTCCACAAAATGCTTCCCTTCTGGACCTCACTCTGTTGAAAGGGAAGATTTGTCTAGCTAATCAGGACGGTAGCTGATAAAGATATCAATAAAAGCAACATTAAAGTTTTTCCCAGGGTACACCAGCCTGGCCCTTCCTGACAAGTGACAGAGGCTCTGGGTTAAAAATTACCTCTCCTTCTAGAACTATCTTTGAAACACTAAATCTGATTTTCATCCTGAGGGCATTTGCTAAACTCCAGTGGCCAGGCCACAGGAGAAAAAGCCTAGGAACTTCGCAAAGTATAGAATCTAATAGAAGACCACACAGAAAACTGGGCCCCAAGGGTTTATATCTTTAGTATGATCACAAATTAGATAGAAGCTTATCCTCCCCCACAACTACTACTACTAACCCCAACCACTGCTCTTACCCTGGACATCAAGGAAAAATGCCTTTCTCCAGACTTAGTACTTCGGTAAGAGAACAAAATATCTGCCTTGATTATTCATAAACACAAGGCCATTGTACAATTTTCCAGCTTCAATTCACACTACCTGGTTAGTCCCAAAAAACTCATGCTGAGAATTAGTGTAGAATGCTGCTGACTTGGAAGTGGCTTTAGGCTCATGGTACTAAGAAAAGCAAATTCTTTCCGATTTGTTCAAAGAATTCTCACTGATAGAACTTTCAAAACATATGAGCTCACCAGCACAGATCACAAAACTCACAAAAATACCATGCCCTAGAAGCACCACACACCTGAAAAAACAAACAGCAGATTTAGCTTCCAAAACGTTTCACATATTGGCTTATCAGACAAAGAATATGAAACAAGTATTTTAAATTATGTTTCAAGAAGAAAATAGAGAGGTCTGTATTAGTTTGCTAGGACTGCCATAAGAAAGTATCACAGACTGGGTGGCTGAAACAACAGAGATTCACTTCCCATAGTTCTGGAGACTGGAAGTCTGAGCTCAAGGTGTCAGCAGGGTTAATTTCTTCTGAGACCTCTCCCCTTGGCTTATAGATGGCTGCCTTCACCGTCTTCATATGCTCTTTCCTCTCTGTGTTTTGTGTCCTAATCTCCTTTTCTTACAGGAAGACCATCATATTGGACTAGAACCTACCCTAATAATCCCAATGAAACTTAATGACTTCTTTGAAGGCCCTATCTCCATATAAAGTCATATTCTAAGGTACTATGAATTTTGGGAGTAAACACAATTTATAATAGAAAATATAAATAAAGAAAAAGAACTTTTCTTTGTTTTGTTTTGTTTTTTTTAGACGGAGTCTAGTTCTGTTGCCCAGGCTGGAGTGCAGTGGCACGATCTCGGCTGACTGCAACCTCCACCTCCTGGGTTTAAGTGATTCTCCTGCCTCAGCCTCCTGAGTAGCTGGGATTACAGGTGACCACCACCATGCCCAGCTAATTTTTGTATTTTTAGTAGAGACGGGGTTTCACTGTGTTGTCCAGGCTGGTCTCGAACTCCTGACCTCGTGATCCACCTGCCTTGGCCTCCCAAAGTGCTGGGATCACAGGCATGAGCCACCGCAACTGGCCAAAATTAAAGGTTTTTAAGGACATAAAAGAAAAAATTCAACTAGAACTTCTAGAAATGAAAAATATTGTAACAAAGTTTTTATAAACCTCAATGAGTGGTTTGAGAGAAGATTAGCATGGGTGAAGGAAGAATTAAAGAACCGAAAGACAGACCACTCCACTGTCCAGAGAGAAAAAGGGACACAAAAAAATGCTCAGAATTAATGGACTCCAATCCTCAGGTTCAGAAATCCTAAGGAACCCAAGCAAGATTTTTTACAAAGAAAGAAGTGTTCACCCAGATACAGCCTAATGATACTTCAAAGAGACAGATTGCTTACAAAGGAATGACAATGAAATTGACTTCTTGATAGCATCCATAGAAACTATAGGTAATAGTGGAACAATATTTGTTGTTGTTGTTGTCGCCGTTTAATTTTTTTTAACTTTTATGTTAGGTTTGGGGTTCACCTGAAGGATTGTTTCACAGACAAACTCATGTCATGGGGGTTTGTTGTATAGATTATTTCATCACCCATAAATGAAACCCAGTACCCAATCATTATCTTTTCTGCTCCTCTCCCTCCTCCCACTCTCCACACTCAAGTCTGTTGTTTTCTTCGTGAAACAATATTTTAAATATGCTGAGAGAAAATAACCATCAACCTAAAACTGTATATGCAGTAAAGATAGTTTTCAAAAATAAGAGTGAAGTTAAAAAATTTGAAGTAAGGAAAAACAGACAGTGATTAAAGGAAATGCTGAGGGCTTGTCTTAAGCAGAGGGAAGACAATTCAAGTTAGGGATATTGAGATGAAAACATGATGAGCTAAGAAAGTGGCAAATACATAAGCAAATCTTTAAAAAATTGACTGCATAAAACAATGGCAATAAACTTCTGTAAGTAGAGGGATAGACATGAAATACAAAGCAACAATAGCATACAAATTGTGAGATGTAAGAGGATTAAAGTGTTCTAAGTTCATGTAATGTAAAGAAGGAGAGTAAACCTATTAATTAAATTTAGAATATGAGAAGTTCAATATGCTTGTTAACATTCTAGGATGAGTTCTAGAAGAAGGGAATTTGATATAACTGTATTAGTTAGAGTTCTCCAGAGGGACAGAACCAATAGGATGTAGGTGCATATAAAAGGGAGTTTATTAGCGAGAATTGGCTCACAGGATTACAAAGTGAAGTCCCACGATGGGCCATCTGCAAGCTGGGGAAAGAGAGAAGACGGAAGTGGCTCAAGTCCAAGTCCAAATGCCTGAAAACTAGGGAAGGCCACAGTGCCTCCCTCAGTCTACGGCTGAAAGAGATGGAGTTGATGTCCAAGGGCAGGAGGAACAGAAGCAAACGTCTCTCATGGGAAGAAGAAAAAAAGCCAGAAGACTCAGCAAGCAAACTTATCCCACCTTCTTCCATCTGCTTTGTTCCAGCTGCACTGGCTGCCAATTGGATGGTGCCCACCCACATTGAAGACGGGTCTTCCTCTCCAGTCCACCACTCACATGTCAATCTCCTCTGGCAACACAACACCTTCACAGACACACCCAGAAACAATACTTCACCAACCATCTAGGCATCCCTCAAACCAATCAAGTTGACACCTAGTATTAACCATCACAATAACTTTCCAAGTAGTAGAGAGAAACAAAAAATAATCAGTTCAAAGGAAGGCAAAAAGAAAGAGCAGGGGAAGGAAGAAGAGATATATAATATACATATACATGTATATGTGTATATATATGATTTTATATATATAGATATATAGATATAGTATAGATATATAGTAAATGCAGGATAGTTATGAAAGAAAAAATAAGATATGAAAAAAGGCCAGGCACAACGGCTCACACCTGTAATCCCAGCACCTTGGGAGGCCAACGCAGGTGGATCACTTGAGGCCAGGAGTTTAAGACCAGCCTGGTCAACATGGTCAAAACCCCATCTCTACTAAAAACACAAAATTTAGCTGGGAGTGGTAGTGCACGCCTGTAATCCCAGCTACTCAGGAGGCTGAGACCTGAAAATCGCTTGCACCCTGGACAAAGAGGTTGCAGTGACCCGAGATTGTGCCACTGCACTCCAGCCTGGGCAACACAGCAAGACTCTGTCTCATTAAAAAAGAAAATTTTTTAAAACTCTAGAAATAAAATATTTCAGTGATTACATTCAAATGAACATAGATTAAATGCCTCAGTTAAAAATCAAAGCTTGTCAGACTGAATTTAAATGCACTTTTATGAGAGATCACATGTAAAACACAAAGATCAAAAGGCTCAAATTACACAACGGACAAATCTAAATGAAAGAAAACAGTGTCACTCTGTTTTTAGACTTTAGGGCGAAAACGGTTCTAGAGATCAAGAGGCTCCCAATGTATTGGTAGACGTTTTAGTTCAACAGAAAAATACAAGCCTAAACTAACTGGTACCTAAAAACGTAGTCTCAAAATACATAAAACAAAATTAAAGACACTGGATAAGGAGAAATAGACACTACAGTAAGAGACTCAAATAATTCTCATAATGACTGGACAAATACATTTTTTTAAATCAAGGAAAATATACCACACGGGAATGATGCATCAGACAAGCCACGCAGAAATAGGTTCCAAAGCCGGGCGCGGCAGCTCACGCCTGTAATCCCAGCACTTTGGGAGGCCGAGGCGGGCGGATCACGAGGCCAGGAGATTGAGACCATCCTGGCTAACACGGTGAAACGCTGTCTCTACTAAAAATACAAAAAATTGGCTGGGCGTGGTGGCGGGTGCCTGTAGTCCCAGCTACTTGGGAGGCTGAGGCAGGAGAATGGCGTGAACCCGGGAGGCGGTCCTTGCAGTGAGCCGAGATCGCGCCACTGGACTCCAGCCTGAGCGACAGAGTGAGATTCCGTCTCAAAAAAAAAAAAAAAAAGAACAAGAAAAAAGAAAAAGAAAAAAAAAAAAAGAAATAGGTTCCAAAAATTTGTACTGGAGTCCTTGAAGGTCTGTAGCTGAGGGTTATGCTGTATATACAACGGGCAGCAACACCTGAGGCTCACCAAGTAGCAGCTGCTGTAGGGTTGAGGGAGAAACAATGGGATGAGAGATCAAGCAAGCAGTGCTGTGGACATTAGAGTTCCGACCCTGACAGAGAGCAGAGATAACACCTCATGAACACTCCTGAAATCCAGGTCAAACACAGCAAGCTTGTGCCTTATGGGTACAGACGACATTCTAGAGCAAATATTTTCTCTAAAGAGTCAGACGCTAAATGTTTTAGCCTTTGAAGTCCATATAGTCTCTGTTGCAAATACCCAACTCTGCCATTGAGGTATGAAAGCAGGCATAGGTCAAGACATAAATAAATGAGTAAACCTGCTTTCCTGTAAAACTTTTTTTGCAAAAAAAAAAATAAAAAGGTGTTTGTTAAACGTGGTGATGTTGGCACAACTGTGTGACTATACTGAAAACCACTGAGCTATATGGGCAAATTATATGATATGTGAATTATATTTCAATAAAGCTATTTTAAAAATAAGCAAAATAGACAGTGGGCCAAATTTGGCTCATAGGTCATAGTTTGCTGACCTTTGCTCTAAAAATACGACTCTTAGGCCAAATTCAGCTGTTGCTTGTTTTTGTAATAAAATTTTATTAGAACACAGCCATGTTCATCTGTGTACTTACTGTCTGTGGCCGCTTGCATGCTACAATGCAGAGGTGAGTAGACATGACAGGATCGTATGGCCCTAAAATTTAAAATATTATTTTGCCTTTTACAGAAAAAGCTGCTGATCTCTGACATAGAACTGTGCCTATCAATAGAATTTTCTGTAACAGACATGTTCTGTAGTTGCACAATTTTAATCTGGTAGTCATTGACCCATATGACTACGAAACACTTGAAATGTAACTATGGCAACTGAATAAGTACATGTTTAAATTTAAATTAATTTATTTATGTATTTATTTGAGGCAGGGTCTCACTCTGTCACCCAGGCTGGAGTGCAGTGGCGTGATCATCGCTCACTGCAGCCTTGACCTTGCAGGCTCAGGTGATCCTCCCACCTAAGCCTCCCAAGTAGCTGAGACTACAGGCACAAGCCACTATGCCTGGCTAATTTTTGTATCTTTTCTAGAGACGGGGTTTTGCCACGTTGCCCAGGCGGGTCTTGAACTCCTGGGCTCAAAAGATCCACTTGCCTTGGCATCCCACCCTGAAGTGCTGGGATGATAGGCATGAGCTACTGTGCCTGGCCTAATTCACTTAAATTTGAATAGTCACTGTAGTACAACATACACCACACTCACTCTTAAAAAGCCTAAACCTGAGCCCTAATAGGATGGTCATGGGAGACAGTTTGGAGAATGAGTCTTCTAAGTTAGCACTCAGGAAACACTTCTGACTTTTTCCTTATCTATAATATGAGAGCCTAAAACCAAGATGGACATTCCAAGGTGATCAGATAATAATCAAACTGCTTGCTAAAATGAGAATCAACATTTTTCTGAGGAAGATAGTAGAATCCAGGACTCTACAATATATTATCTACAATGTCCAGTATTCAGTTAAAAAATCACTAGGCTTTCAAAGAAACAGGAAAACATAATTGATAATCAAAGCAAAAAGTACTCAAAACAAACTGAGATGGCCCAAGTATTAGACTTGGCAGCAAAAGACTTTAAATGAGTTATTAAAACTATTGTCAAAGGCTGGGGCACGGCGGCTCACGTCTGTAATCCCAGCACTTTGGGATGCCAAGGCAAGTGGATCTCTTGAGTCCAGGAGCTCGAGACCAGCCTGGCCAACACTCCTAAAGTAGTAGAAACCCCATCTCCAATAAAGATACAAAAATTAGCTGGGCATAGTGGTGGGTGCCTGTAATCCCAGCTACTTGGGAGGCTGAGGCAGGAGAATCGCTTGAACCTGGGAGGCGGAGGTTGCAGTGAGCCGAGATCACGCCACTGCACTCCAGCCTGGGTGAAAGATCGAGACTCCATCACACACACACACACACACACACACACACACACACACACACACACAGTCAAATAGTTAATGGAAGATGTTCAAAGAATTAAAGAAAAATATGGATTTAATGAATTAGTGACTATGAAATCTCACTTGGAAAATGGAAACTATTTTTTAAACCCTATGGAAACTCTAAAACTCAAGTGTATAATACCTGAAATGAAAAATTCCCTGAATGGGCTTACTAGGGATGACAGAAGAAAAACTTGGTAAACTTGAAGACAGATCAATAAAATTAAATCAATCTGATAAATAGAAAATTAATTGAAAAAAACGATCAAAGCCTCAGGGATTGATAGGACAGTAATAAATGGCCGAACTCACCTGCAATACGGATTCTGAACGAGAAGAGAATGAGGATGGAGGAAAAAGACATTTGAAAGAATAATGGCCCCAGACTTCCCAAAAGTTGTTGAAAAACACCAACTTTTAGGTTTAAGAAACTCAGTGAACCCCAAGCAGAATACACATAAAGAAAACCACATCTAGGCACATCACAGTCAAACTGCTGAAAACCAAAAAATGATAGAAAATACGGAAATCGGCCAGGCGCGGTGGCTCATGCCTGTAATCCCAGCACTTTGAGAGGCCGAGGCGGGTGGAGCACTTGAGGTCAGGCCTGGCCAACACGGTGAAACCCCATCTCTACTGAAGATACAAAAATTAGCAGGGTGTGGTGGCACATGCCTCTAATCCCAGCTGGTCCGGAGGCAGAGGCACGAGAATCACTTGAACCCAGGAGGTGGAGGTTGCAGTAAGCCAACATTGCACACCACTGCATTCCAGCCTGGCAACAGAGAGAGACTCTGTGTAAAAAAAAAAAAAAAAAAAGGAAACCAAAAACCAAAAAAACAGAAAATACGGAAATTATCCATAAAACAAAAGACACATTATATATAGGAAAACAAAAATAATTTCTGATTTCTTATTAGAGATAATGCAGGCCAAAAGACCAGGGAATAACACCTTTAAAATGCTGAAAAAAATCTCACCAGTCTAGAATTCTATATAGAGTGAAAATAAACTTAAAAAAATGGTAAAATTAAGACACTTTGAGATAAACAAAAGCTGATAGAATTTGTTACAGGCAGAACTGCAGGAAATTCCTCAGGGTATTCTTCAGAATGAAGGGAAATAGTAGAAGATACAAACTTGAATCTACAGTAAGAAAATGATGATCACTAGAAACTACGCTGCAAAGTATCTGACAGAAGAGAGTAATGAGAAGACAAACATTTTTGTGTTCTTGACTTTAGCTTAATTTCCAGATGTGGTGAGAGAAGATTCTATAGTTGATAACAAGCATTTAAGATTGGGGTCTTAAAAGAGTGACACAAAATGCTCTAGAACCTGAATGTTTCATGTAACACGTAGACAATTTTTGTTGAAATTGTCCTATTGCCATGTTTTTCTCTTGAATTAGGTTTGCTTTTTCCAGTGAAGCTTTCTACCAGAAAAAAGGCAAAGAAGATGGTTTTTCTGATAAAGTCCCATGAGAATGCTCTGATGACACTGGAAAAGCTTTCTTTCATTCATCCACCCACTGGTGACTTGGAAAATAGCCTCTTCACCTTCAAATGAGAGAATAATGCTGAATTTTTCTGAATTTCTAAGACGGGAAGTGATGTATCACTAAAACGGTGAGCTCTCACTGAAACAGGAAATCTTCTACCAGTGTGGGTCTGAGTTGATCTCTCCCTCCCTCCCTCCAACCATCCAATAAATATTTCATTTTAAAAAATTTTAAAATGAATTTTTCCTCTAGTGCTTGTTAAAACACAAAATGAATACTTCGTTGTTTACTTTTTATTCATTTGATTTATTTATTTAGAGACGAGGTCTGGCTGGAGTCCAGTAGCCCAATCATGGCTCACTGCAGCCTTGAACTCCTGGGGTCCAGCTATCCTCCCACCCATGAGTATTTCTATAGGAACAATTATTCATCATGCAGAGTACTAGGTGCTGCAGGGAAGGGAATAAAAATAATCTTTGCCCTTGAGGATTTCATGAGCAAATAAGGAGATACATGCACAGAGCTAACTGTAATGCAACTTAGATCGAGTGCTAGTGTTTATTTATCATCTATATGTGAAGTGTCGAGGAGGAGATATTATAAGAACATAAGTCATTTCCCCTGACTTTAAGTGGCCGATCATCTTACTTGAGGTACAGAATGTAAACCTGCTAAACGAATCCCGGCAAAATTCCCAGGAGTGACCTTGGATTCAGAGCTCGAGGAGCACAAACTAAAAGAAAAACTCGTCCTGGCCTATAGCTGTGCTTTCTCCCTGTCCTCTGGAGCAACAGTGGTATGTCTCTGAAAATGTACATCATCTCTGTGTGTGGGCAGCTCTGCTGGCAAATACTTTTACAAGCTGTTTTCACCAGCCCTTCGCCTGCTCCACTGAAATTCCCAGGGCTCAAGAGACCAATTGCTTAACCAGGGTAGAGCTGTATTTCCATGTACAATCGACAAGCCTGGCGTTTAAAGCACTAACAACAGCAGTGTGGAGTCCCATTTTCTAGCAGTCCCAGGAGCCCATTTTCTAGACCAGCTCTGTTCAATGGAACTTTCTGCAGTGATGGAAAGGCACACATACTGTAGCCACCAGCTAATGCAGCTAGTGAGCACTTGAGACATGGCTAGTGAGACTGAAGAAAGGAATTCTTAATTGTATTTAATTTTAATGCATTTAATTCAAATTCGAACACCTTAATTTTAATGAATTCAGTCTTAAAACCATGGCTACTATATTAGACAGCAGAGTTCTAGATCCTGAAGCTGAAGGACAGGGTGAAATAAAGAGTCCTCCTTGAGCGAATAGGTGGGTCCCCTGGTAATTCACAGAATTATGTAGCTACCAAAGTGGGTAAAACCAGACCTTGACCTTCAACAGCCAGATGGGCCCATGCCACAGGGTTCATCCTCCCTCTTCTCTCCTCTCCCACCCCCAGCTTCAATATAGTGGCTTCTAACATGTTTTTATTCCCATGGAACAAGGAACTCACAAAGCCTCTTAAATTGACCTCCATTAGCCTGAAGGCTAATCCCCTTTTCCCCTGCCTTGGCGACTTCAAAACTTTTCATCAGAGTGAATGGAAAGATTAGGACACCATCAGTGACACACCAATAAAGATGGGATGAGGCTCAAAAACCTGCATGATTTAAAATGTGTCTAGGTAATTCTCCTGAGCTGCCAGACTTGGAAGCCATGTGGCTTCATACTGCAAATAGAAACACAATACAGAACTCACTGTGATGAGACCATTTACTCACACGGCAGATATTACTGAGCATCTGATATGAGGTGGGCATTCATATAAGTTAGGGAAATAGCAGTGAAAAAGACAGACAAGATTGCTTTCATGGGGTCTAGTACGGGGAGACAAAAATAAACCATAAATAAATAAAAAGATAAGTTGAGGCAGAGAGTATTAATTGACATGGAGAAAAACATTTGTGATGAGATAAAGACTGGGTTGGGAGCTACTTTAAGCTGCGTAGTCAGGGAAGTCCTCTCTTAGGAGATGACACTGATGCCGAGACTTGCATGGTGCACAGTGAATTGTGCTGAGGTCCTGGGGGAAAGCGTTCCAGGCAGAGGGCACAGCAAGCACAGAGGTCCTGAAACAGGAACAAGCCAGGGCTGCCCACAGGCTAGAAGACAGCCAGTGTGAACAAGCAGAGAATGGAGGCACAAGGGACAGGGGTCAGATCATGCAGGGTCTTATCGGCATGGCAAGTTACCTAAATTTTATTCTGTAATGTGATTATAAGCCATTAGCAGGATTTATGCAAGGGAGCGATATGGTAGATTTACACGCTTAAGAGATTATTTTGCCTGTTGGGTAGAGAATGCATTATAGTAGGGCAAGTGTGGAAAACCAGAGATAGGAATTCCTGCTATGGCCTAGGCAGAAAATGACAATGGCTTGGATTAGGGATATAACAGTCGATGTGGTGAGATATAATTAGATTCTGGATATATTCTAAAGTTAGAAAAAGTAGGACTGGTCAGTTGAATGTGGGGTATGACAGAAAAAGAAGAGTCAAAAATACATGATTCTTAAGTTTTAGATCTGAGCAACTGGGTAGCAGCTGATGGAATTATTTGTTGGGCAAATAAAGAATGGGGGAGAAATAAGCCTTGGAGGGATATCAAGAGTTTCACTTTGGATATTCAAGTTTGAGACATCTGTTAGGCATCTTAGCAGAGGTGTCATAGAGGCAGTTGGATTTAGGAATCTGGACCTTCGTGGGGTGATAAGGACTGGGAAGATAGATTCGAGAGTCATGAATGTATAGACGATTTGAGACTGAAACAGATTACCAGGAGAGGGAGTGCAGAAGAGAAGGAAAAGGGAGAGAGAAGAGGAACAAAGGGAAGATAAGAGAAAGGGAGGGAAGGGAAATGAAGAGAAGGAAAAGAAAAGGAAGGGAAGAGAAGGGAAAGGGAAGGGAAAAGAAGACAAAACAAGAGAAGAGATCTGGAGATTTATTTTTGGGGGTTCTAACTCAGGCAGAAAAGTCAAGCTGATAATATGGTAGGAGGAAAACCAAGAAAATTTCTTGGTTTCTGGGACCCCAGAGAATAAAAAGCTCCAGAAAAGAAGGAGGCGTCAACAGTGACGATAGCTGCTAGGAAGGCCTGTAAGATGGAGCAGAGAGTTGACCCCTGGATAAAACAAGTGGGGCCCAATGGTAGCACATGAATAGAATTGAACAGGTGAGTGAGCTTGTTGGGAGAGAATGGGCAGTGACAAACAGAGATGGTACTAATCCATGACTTTTCAGAACTTTTGCTATAAAGGGAAGCAGAGAGCTCGGCCATGGTTGGATGGGCCTATAAGGTCAAGGGAATGTTTTTGTTTTGTTTTTAAGATGAGCTATTCCAAGTTAGATGTATTTGCCAATGGGGATGATGTGGGAGTAAGAAAGATATTGAAGGTGCAGAATGATGAGCAATTCTCACTATCCTATGAGAAATCAGTGGCCACCTGGAGAAGCCTTACAGACCCCTGCTTGTCCATGAGTCATTCTATGAGAATCACTCCTGTGGGCACTCCTGAGTTTCCATATGTGAGGAAAGCCTTTAACTGGATTGGATGAAGGGAATATGGCCACTTGACGTCACAGTCTGTTAACAACCCATGGGTCCTGATATCATCAGTTGGCATAAATCTTACCACCCAGGGAGACCTGCTACTCAACACATGGCCCTGGAGGAGTGGGAGGCACTAGGTGACTCACCAAGCCTGGTGTTTGCTGGAGTAAGAGCCAAGCATACTCCATTGGCCTTCCATCAGCTACCACAACCTAGTGCCAACCCCACCGTACCCCAAGATAACAGGGACAGGGGTAGGCTTTAGGAGCATTGACATACCTAGAGGGGATTGGCTTTCTTTCACCTTCAGCCCTGTTTTTCCTTCCTTCCTTCCTTCCTTCCTTCCTTCCTTCCTTCCTTCCTTCCTTCCTTCCTCCCTCCCTCCCTCCTCCCTTCCCTTCCCCTTCCCCTTCCTTCCTTCCTTTCTTTCTCTCACAAAAAACACACAAAAAACAGTTCTTCCCTTTCAAGCAATAGACACACAAGAACCCAGGAACTTGATACAGGAGGCCTGGTTCCTTCCTAAGTCTCTTTCCCCCGCCCGCCCCCATATTTCTCTGCAGTGAGAAGTTAAGTGGAGGTGGAGCCAGGCAGGCTGTATACATTAATATGGATATGTGCCCACAGAGCCTCTGAGATCGTGTATCTATAGGGGATAGATGACTGCTGCTCTTCCCTGAAACCCCAAATCACAAGATTCTTAAGCTAGTGGCACTAAAGATCCACTAATGCCCATGACAGAGCAAACTGCTGCCCTCTAGACCAAAGACAGTGTGGTAGTAGCAAGAGGCCCCAATCGACCTGTAGAGTCCAGTCCACAAGGAAATGACACATGTTCCTGTCTGACTGGAGAGCTGAGGGCTGCTTTCCAAATGGCACTGCAGACAGCACTTCCATTCCTGGGGACAGCTGCCTCAGCCTCACCAACAAAATCACCAGTAATCCATGTCAATGAATGGGCTGGAATGTCCAGACTGAAAAAGAAGTGCCTCAGTACTATTCTAAAATAGGTGATAGGAGCTGGGCATTGTGGCTCAGCACCTTGGGAGGCTGAGGCAGGAGGATCACTTGAGGCCAGGAATTTGAGAGCAGCCTACACAACACAGTGAAAATTCTTCTCTTAAAAAAAAAATGTAATTAGCCAGCCATGATGGCTTGCACCTGCAGTCCCAACTACTCAGGAGACTGAGGCAGGAGGATCACTTGAGCCCAAGAGTTCCAGGTTGCAGTGAGCTATGACTGCACCACTGCACCCCAGCCTGGGCAAGAGTCAGACCCTGTCTGTAAAAAATAATAATAAATTTAAAAAATAACAATAAATAAAATAGCTTATAGGGCCACAGCACTCAGAGTCACAGGTAGTTAAAATAGTGTTTGCTTACTTAAAATAGAGAGGGAGGTGATTGTTGCCACCATAAGAAGCCTTTTGGGGAAATACTAAAAAGCACAGCTGTGTGGTACCCTGCAGGGTGACTGCCTTCTCTTTGGTTTCACTTGTGTTTGAATGAGAGAGCTCCAGTGGCCACTGGGGGACAACAGAAATACAGATCAGATATCACTATGTAAGCATTAAATAACTTGCTACTCCAGGAAGTGCCATTGAGGCAAGAAGTAAAAAGAACAGCCCCGTGCTGGCAGGTTCTGGATGGAAATCTTGCCGGGGTTTTATTTTTTTTCCTTTGATTATTATTCTTGGGAGATCTGGGAAATGGTGTGACTATGGAACTGTAGAACAGTGACTGTAATAACTTAAAAAGCAATATCAATTTAAATAGCGATCTGCCCCTGCTTTGCGACTAATAGAATAATGTCATTGTACTCATCACACAAATATGTATGAGTGGGAAAGAGCTTGACAACAAAGACAGAGTGTTTCAATCAGAATGAACAAAATGACAGCAGGAGCAGCAGGCTCTGGAAAGGCCTCTATGTTCTCCCCAAATATGGAGTCTTATCTGCTCTCCCCCAGCTGAGAATTTGACTCGTTGACCAGTACATCTGGGAAGGGCTCAGCAAGGTGAAATAGCGTAGAGGGAGCCCTGGGAGTCATGTTCGGTTCTGATGCAAAAAAATCTAAGGGGATGTGCAATGTGTTCTCAGTGCAGAAAACGGGGCTGCAGGTGCCTAGTTGGTTGCTTGGTGGATGCATTCAACTATCACTCAATTTCTACACGACCCCGCTTTCAACAGACCTTGTGCATCCCAGAATGAGCAGATGTGGAAAAAATTGTGCAGCTGGTTTTGGGCAGCAGCCCCCTTTTGGCTGCTCTTTTCCCTCCTGTTAATACGACCCTCATAATCACGCATGCCTTCAATGAGTCAGAGAGACCCTGAGAAAAGCAATATTCACTTGAACCGGCGGTCTGGGCTTTTGAGACAGGATGACTGGGCTGGAGACCCAGCATACTGACTGGTTATGTGACCCCCAACAAAGTTATTTCACCTCTGGAGGCTCAAATTTTCTCTTCTGTAAAATGGAGATTTCAATATCTACTTTGTAGGGTTGCTATGAGAATTTCATGATCTAATACATGCAAACTGTTTAATGCATAAAATTCCGGGCATTGGGTGGGCACTCCATGTATGTTAGCTATTACAAGTATTATCTGATAAATCAAGAACCACTAAAAAATTAGTTGGTTTCTAAGCAGATCTCCCAAAGGTGCTGAGGCATGAAAAATAGGTAGGGTGAAGAGTGAATGCTTAACAAGAAGAAATGAATATTCAATTCTGACCTTCCAACCCAACCCTTCTGCCCACTGGGGAGACCTCTCAGGCAGGTAACCCCAAATTATAACAGACTATTCTGCCTGAAACTAAGGTCATCTTGGCTCCAAATTCCGGGGTATGGTTAGTGTGGCATTTGGTGAGCGCGTGCCTTTCAACTGGCTAACTAGTGATGTAAAAACTTCTCTTTTCTTGTCTTTCTTTCTTTTCTTTTCTTTCTTTCTTTCTTTTCTTAGAAACAGGGTCTCTCTCTCTCTGTCACCCAGGCCAGCTAGTGATCTAGAAACTTCAATTTCTTCCTTTCCTTTCTTTCCTTTCCTTTCCTTTCCTCCTTCCTTCCTTCCTTCTTCCCCTTCCCTTCCCTTCCCCGCCCCTCCCCTTCCCTTCCTTCCTTTCTTCTTTCCCTCCCTCCCTCCCTCCCTCACTCCCTTCCTTCCTTCCTTCCTTCCGTCTTTCTTTCTTTCTGTTGAAACAGAGTCTCTCTCTGTCATCCGGGCTGGAATGCAGTGGTGTGATCAGGACTCACTGTGTGCCTCAAACTCCTGGGTTCAAGTGATCCTCCCATCTCACCCTCCTGAGTAGCTGAGACTACAGGTGAGCATCAGCCTGGCTAATTCTTCAATATTTTGCAGAGATGGGGTCTTGCTATGTTTTCCACACTGATCTCAAATTCCTGGCCTCAAGTGGTCCTCCCATCTCAGGCTCCCGAAGAGTTGTGATTATAGGCATGAGCCACTGCACCCGGCCTAGAAACTCCAGTTTTTATGTGTCACTCAGGTCCACAGAGAGTGGATCTCAATTCTTCCAGAAGTCCCTCTCACTATGAGTATGGGGCTTCCTCCTGGCAGTCAAGGCTTCATTCAGACATTTGCATCAGCAGGACCATTGTTCATACCCAGATCCAAGGAGTCTTGCTTGGTTCCTTTGCACACACAAGTCATGTGTACCCTCCCAGCACACACATAAGAGAAAGCAACTAATTAATATACTTTGACTTTGCTTGGTCCTTGATTTTTTTTATAAGTGCTTCTTTAGCCATTATGGCTAAAGAAGAGCTGAGATCAATGCCTTGCAATGTAGCAAATACAGTATTTTCACAAATGCTTATGAGCAAATTTGCGGAGATAGGAAGGTAAATCATAGATTATACTCAGGCATATTAGTTCCCCAGAGCTACCATAATGAATTACCACAAACTGGGTAGCTTAAAACAATGGAAATTCATTCTTTCACCGTTCTGAAGGCCAGAAATCTGAAATCAAGGTGTCAGCTAGGACTTCACTTGCAGGAAGCAACAGATACTTCTCCTTTGCCTCCGGTCACTTCAGTTTCTGGCAGTTCCTGCTGTTTCTTGGGTTGTGGCTGCAGAAGTCCCATTTCTGCCTCCATCTTCATATGGACTTCTTCCCTGTGTGTCTCTCTGTGTCCAAATCTCTCTCTCCTTTCTCTTGTAAAGACATCAGTCACTAGATCTAGGGCCCACCCTAAATCCAGGATGATATCATCTCAAGCTCTTTAACCAATTATATCTGCAAAAACCTTATTTCCAAATAAGGTCACCTATTCTGAGGTTCCAGGTAGACACAAATTTTGAGGAACACTCTTCACCCCACTATATTGGGGAACATGTACTTTAGTGAGACAAATGGCCATTACCTACAATACACAGTAGCACAGAAATTCCATGAGAGACCTGCAATGAGTTCTGGGTATATAAAGGAAGTGATGTTCCCATTCATCAGATTTGGGGGAAATGGATGGATAAGGTCATTTGAAAGGTAGGTCTTGAAGGATGGGAGACGTTTTACAGGACAGGGCATTCCTGGAAGAGGAAAAAATATGAGTACAAAAACAGAGAGAATAGCAGGGCTGTTCGGGAATCATAGGATTCTATTATTGTATTATTCTGAATAATAAGTATTGGCTACTTTATATGTGGCTAGGCAACTTGATTACAAGTGTCTAGCACGGCACCTTGCACACACCACAGAGCTGGTTAATATTTGTTGACTGATACTAAGAAAAAGCAAAAGTGTAACTCTGCCTTCTCCATTCAAATTCTCGAATTGCTAAGCTAAACTTTGCGGGCGCAGACATTATCCCTCACCAACTGGCACTAAATAATATAATCAATGTAATGATGACAAAAATTAATTCTAATAAACAGCTAATTAAAATTGAGTCTAGAAGGGTAACATGGCCCTAATTACTACATTGGCGAATTGTTTTCCCTATTCCTGGAACAAATTCCTACTTCATTATCCTCCTTTTGTGCAAGAAATTGAGCTTTTCCAAAGTGCGAGGCATGGATTATAGACAGTGTTGATGGCAGCCCGACCTGGCCCCTGCTGTGTCCAGCTCAGAGGTGAACATGCAACTCAAATGCCCACGTGCTACCTGCCAGTGACTACATCCTGAAGTCACATTTCCTTTCATACCCAAATTACAGTGACTCTGGGCTCCCACCTGCCACCTTAGCAAGAGTTTCCTTCAACAAATGTTCCTAAATAGCCACAAGGTTGCTAAGTTGGTCCCCTTGCCCTCTGCTTATGGCTGAATTGGGAGGACAGAAACTCAGGCCAGCCCTCTTAGGCTGACTTATAAACCATTGACTGCTTCCCGACTGTTCTGTGTGCTGGGCTCTCTCCCGTTGGTGCTGCTGCCTCGTGCAGGAGGAGGAGCCCAGGCTCCCTGCTTGGCTGTGCCAAGGCTGTCTGCTGCTGGCCCAGGCATGCTCCAGTCTCCATTTAGTATTGAGGGTCCCCACTGGGCCAAGATCCCCTCTGGTTCCTTGGTGATTTGATTTTATGGCTCCTCAAAGCAGGCTCTCTCTCTTCCAGGTGAGCCCTGCCCCTCTCGGATACAGCTGCTGTTTCTCAGCTCTCACTTCCCAGGTATAATCCAAGAAACGGCATTAAATGGATCAATATGTCAGAATTTTATAAAATCACAGAATGCTTTACCTGCAAGGGATTTCACTAACCACTTGCTCCAAAGTCTTCATTTTACAGAGGTTAAAAGATTTTCCCCAAGGCCATACACACAACAACTTAATTTTATTGATGTACCTAAGTTTATTATTGATCTGTTGTCTTAGCTGGCTAGGGCTGCCATAACAAAACACGACAGGTGGTTGGCTTGAACAGCAGAAGTGGATCGTCTCACAGTTCTAGAGGCTGGAAGTCTGAGATCAAGGTGTCGGCAGGGTTGGCTCCTTCTGAAGGCTGTGAGAAAGAGTCTGTTCCATGCCTGTCCCTGGCTTCTGGTGACTTGGTGGGAATCTTTGGTGTTCCTTGGCTTGCAGATGATGCACCACTGTAATGTCTGCTTTCATCTTCATATGGTATCTTCCCTGTGTGAGAGTGTCTATGTCCAAATTTCCTCTTTTCGTAAGGACACCAGTCAGATTAGATTAAGTTCCCACCCTATTCCAGTAAGTTAAGACCTCATCTTAATTAATTACATCTGCAATGACCCTATTTCCAAACAAAGCCACATTCTGAGATACAATGGGGTTAGGACTTTAAGACAGGAATTCTCAGTGGGGGGATATAATTCAATGGATAACATCTGTCCCCACTCTGATTGAAGGGTGGGTGGGATGGCAAGGTCATCTCCACACGTGATTGGAGACTGTCAAGACAGAAAGATCATGAGTTCATGGAAACATGCACAGCGTTTTTGAGACAGTGCTGATCTGTGTTTATCTTAAAACCTTTAAAACAAACTCCATCTTCTTTCTGTCTTTTAAACTACTTTGCATCAAAAATGCTCAATGAACATGCACCAGAATTAATGCCTCTCAGGAATCACAGGACGTCTTAGCACGATGGGCACAATCAGAACCTCTGAGTCCTTCTCTGTGGCTGGCCGCTGATACTCCAGCCTCACACCCACAGCCTCCCTCAGAAGCTATTGACATTTGTTTCAAAACTAATTGTGCTGAGGTTTGGGACATGAAATGGAAAAAGACCGCTTCACATTGCAATCCATCTTGGAATGAAATGGCTATTGTGGCACCAGAAGAAAGTTTTTCCATTAAGTCAAAGGCAAACCTCAATTTGGAGGACAAAAAGTCCAGCACCTTGAGATGAGGGTCTCTGCCTTACAGAACCATCACTGCCTTTTATAGCACTATAGTCATCACGACACTCTGTCCCTTGCACCCATAAAACTCTCCTTTCTCCCTCCCCTTCCCCAAACCGACAATTCTCCATTATCCATGAGCATTTTAACCACAGCAACATTCTACTCTCAGCCTGGCTTGACCCTCCTCTTCTACAAGAGCTGTGACTCCTCCTCTGCCACTTGGGGCCATCCCTTCCTCTAAACTGCAACTGTATTTAAAATTTGGACCCCTCAGTCAACACCCAGCAGGAAATCTTGTAGGACACCAATTTTTCTGCACATTTATGTCTGATTTCTCCTGGGAACATGCTAGAAATGCTGAATCTTCGGCTCCACCTCAGGCTTACTGAAGCAAATTCTCTATCTCAAGATGCCCTGTGAGTGAAATGGATGCTGAATTATAGAAGTGCCACACAGTATCTCTCAGAGTTAGGGCTGAGTTCAGGCCCTCAAAAGCAATTGTCAAGCTGGTGAATGCCTCTCTCTTATCTCTCAGGGACTTATTCTGTCCTCCAGTGGCTGACTACTATTAGTGGTCATAGAATGTAGACTACTATTAGCATTAATTATTAATATCACTAGACCCACTCAGTTCTCTGCAGAACAAACAATATTCAGATATGACACACAGGATGGTGAATCTGAATTTCTAGATCAAACATAAATGCTTTTTTGGTTTTTTTTTTCCTGCTGTCTGGGATTCCCTGTGTCATGATTCTAATAATTCTCGCAGGATTATCATGATCATCAGTTAACTGGAACTTTTGATAGTTTTAAAATTGAAGATCAGAAAATGTTAACCTTGAAAGGGAACTTAAAGTTCATTGAGATTAACCTCCTTACTTGACAGATGAGGAAACCGAGTTATGGTCTACTAATAGCCTCAGACGAGTTCACCAGTCCTGGGAGTTTCCAGTAGGGACAAGAATCTACAATTTGGACTCCAGGTGTGAGCATTTTCTATACCACACTGTACTAATTTGTGTTACACGGGGCTGGTTAGTAGATTGCATAACGTGTTTGGCCTGGTCACTTCTCAATTTCTAACCAAGCAGAGGGGACTGGACAGTGAATGAAAGTTTCTGGAAGGGTGGAGTAGCTTCTTTATATTCTAGCCTCTAAACTCTTCTCAGAGCTCGCTGGTGTAGACTGGGAAGGAGAGTACATGAAGTGGGAGTTCTCATTATTGTTTTCTTTATGTAATAAAATCGTTACTTAAGGTAGCGGTCTGCCCCCGATCCCTGGTACAAGGGACCTGTGCAAGGGAGTGAATTCTGTCTAGACATCCAGACATGCGGAGGCCCCCGTCACGTCCAGTTTCACTTCATTCTTTGCAAAATAACCAGACTTCCAACTTGATGTTGCCTCTCCATCTTCTGTGTGTGTTTACAATGCCAAAGAACCATCAGCAGCAGAATCAAGTTCCCAGGTTCTAATTAGTTCATTCATTCAACTAAATGAGGTCAGGGGTGTTAACTACGTGGCTTCTGGAGGGCAAGGGCTATGGGGTCTTCCTGAGGGAGATTGGCACTGTCTTCTCCAAGACCATAGCTCCACAGAGGCAACTTCACCCACCATCCCCACCACCTCCACCCTCACCTATACCCGCCTGTGCCCAGCCTGAGCTTGGCCCTTTGCATCTGTTATTAATGCTTAGCACTGGCTCTTTTTCCTGATATGCAGCCTGAGGCCAGAGGCTGAACCATTCGGGGTGGAAAAGAAATCATAAGGTCTGTAGCCTGAGAAGCACATGGAAGGCAGAACAGGCTATTTCAAGGTTGACCTCAAGGTGGCCCAGGAAAATCTATGCAACATTTACATTGTACATATTTACATATGCTTCATATATACTGTGTAATATATTTTTACATTTAAATAAAAAGATAGGTTGAATGTAGATTAGCTGGAGCTCATGCACACATAGAAACATACATATCTCATAAATATCTCATACATATATCTACACATATATCCCATAGATGTCTCATAGGTATATTTATGCTATTGTTTTCTTTATGTAATAAAGAAAATATAGATATATGAGGTATCTATGGGATATGTGTGTAGATATATGTAGATCTCTCATATCTATATGTGTGTAAGTATATGTAGATCTCGTATCTATGATATGAGAGCTATCATAGATCTCTGTAGATATATGTAGATCTCTCATGTCTATGATAGGTAGTTATATAATCTCATATATATGAGATTTCATATATATGAGATATTCATGAGATGAGTGTAGATATATGTACATATGTCTCATATTGCATGCATATATCATATATGTAAATACATACATACATAAATAACCTGTATATGTCTATGAATACACATAATGTCTGCTACGCTGGGTCTAATATGCTCATATTCCCTAGGGATATTTTTCCTGGGCTGTGTTTTCCTTTGCATGCCCACAGCCTAGAAGTTTGAAGCGCTTGTCAGGAGGAGGATTCATTTTCCCAGAGGACAGTAGTAACTGAAAAAAAATGAAATAAAATGAATACTACCTGTAGTGAGCAGGTCTGTCCATGAGGTGGTGGTGTTAGTATAATGGAAGCAGAAGGGAATAAGGTCAGGGCAGAAAGAGGCCCTCTGTTGGATTGATGGTGGAAGGATAAATCCATGCCCCTCCGTGAACTCCCACCCCGAAGCCTGACAGGTGCCTGGCTACTGGCTGCCACGGTGTAGGAAATTCGCACACGTAGCTTCTCAGCAGCTCCTAGACCAGCTGGCCTGGAGGCTTGGAAGCAGTCCAGGCAGAGGGGACACAGGATAAACCATCAGGAGCAACAGCTCTATCAAGTGGACTTGAGTAGAATGTTCTCATGGCACTTGGACACCCCTCACATTCTCCGGCCTGTAGGTGGTTTTCTTTGCCGCCCACTGAGGGCTGCAAGAAGCATTCCAGCCAACACACAAAGCCTGGCGCTGAGGCTCCTCCAGCTCAGCCTCCTGGGCAAGCTTTTCTGCCCTTTCCACACACATCTGCAAGCTCCTGCTGTTGGAATCCATAGAGATAGGACCCGGGCCAACAAAACATCTCTGCATATTGAAAGCATTCCCAAACACCACTTCTTTTGCAAGCAATGGCTGCTAAAGGCTGGACCACACCAAAGTAGATACTCCCTGTCTGCATGGTCTTTGAAGGGAGTAGAGATGCTATGAAAACAATTCACCACTGAAGCTTTCCCTGGTGCTAATCTTGCTTTCTAGTTTCTGAAGTTACATTTTTTATGTTTTTTTAAAAAAAGGTACCCTGTGTCTTCACCAGAGAGAAGGGAGAAGGAACCTTGACTGATTCTCTGTGGCAGGCACAAGATCTATCTTATCACTTTCAGTCCATTTAGCAACCCTGCTCTCTGAGGACTTCACAGACGGGGAAGCTGGGCTCTGAAGAGTGATGGAATTCGTCTGTAGTGTGCTCTGTAGTGGGCTCTGAAGGGTGATGGAACTCACATGTGTCAGCCACAGACCCAGATCTCTCTGGTTTCCTTTGTTTTGTTGACTACTTTGTTGATATTAAACAACTGGCTTTCCAATGAAAAGTAGTAACAATCATAGGATAACACCCTTAACATCTGTGTGTCCCTCTACAGTATACAAGATGCCTTTCCATTGCTGGGGCCCGGCCCAGCTTGGAGATCGGCCCCCTCTGCTCTGCTTCTCCCTGGCTCCACCTTGCCAGCTCCAGACTGCGCGTGTCCCCAGCGGAGCTGGTTCTCACTCCCTTTTGCAGACATGCTTCCTTGCTGGGCGACTTCACTGGAAGACTGTCTACTGATTCAGGGTGACAGGCTGTGCCAACGCCCCAGCCCTTGTGGGGCTCATAAATCCTGGGATGGTAGGCGCTAGAGAGGTGCACCTCAATGACAGCAAATTTGGCCTGTCTCTCGTTTTTACCCGGGGCTAGCCTTGACTGAGGCTGAGCAAAGTGTCAGTGATGAAGGACTTGTCAACACTGCCTGGCTTCCTTCCTCACTTGCCATCAAAGGTGGACTTTTGTCCAAAGCTCTTTAATTTGGGAATTAGGTCTTATGTGTAACTGCCAAGTTAAATTGGACCCAAGAGTGAATTTGGATCTGCATTGAAGAGGGAGTGGAAATAAGTAAGTTCTGGGGTGCCCTAAGCTTGGCGCATAATCATAAGAATAAAGACTGATGCTTTGAGCTCTTGCTGCAGGCCAGCTGTGTGCTAAGTGCTTCTTCACTCTGTCAGCTTCTTACTTCACAATCCTGTCAGGTACAGGCTATTCGTGCCCAGAGAAATGAGACGCTAAGAGATGATATGATTTGCCCAAGATCCCACAGCTAGCAATGGAGGCATTGGCATTTGAATTTGTATAGTCTGTACTGCCAGAATGGCCGCTGACCTCTCCAAGGCCATGTGGGAGGTTTTCGATGAGCCCTGAAGCTCTGTGGAGTTTCTGGCATCTGGGGGAGGCCTCTGTTTACATCCAAGCCTTGGGAGAAGCCCTTGGGAGGACCACATGGGGTGACAGCGCTGTGTTGGTGGCAGCCTGTCATGGGTCCTGAAGCCCAGCTTATTTTCTCTCTTTCTTTTCCTCCCTCCCAAATCCTTTCTGCCTTGCCTGCCATCCAGCAAATCAATTCCAATTGATTCCAAATGATAACATTTTATTGGAGTTTTGTTTATTTGAAGATCAATAGTGACAAGAATGTGGCAGTCTCCACCCTGAAAGACCATATTCAAGCACGCTTTTTTATCTTGACTTCAAGTCTCAACCTGGACTCCAGCCTACAGCCTCTGGTAGGCAGACTATCTTGTGCTCACCCTTGTCTTGGCAGCACAATCACATGCCCGTTTTGTGCGTTTGCCTTTTGGGCCCCAGTATACAAGAAATGGGCTTAATTGAAACTGTAAGTGAATTTGTCTGGAACACAGAAAACACTCAACAGCACATCTCCCTCGGACAGACACTGTCAGTCTAATCAGAGGCCTTGAATTATTAAAGCTCTCTAGCCACTTAGAGCTGCAGGTCACCAAGGCACCGAACACACTTGCCTGAGTGGCACTGGATTAGGAAGCAGTGGGCTCACAGCCAGCTGTTACTGTGGACCCCCCAAATTTGTTTGATCACCACTCTTCTTAGTCACGAAATCCCACCCTCCTTTCCCAGGCCTGATCCTGCCGACAGAGCCCTGAACTGGCTCAGGTCCTGGCTTCTGGTCCTACCTCTGGAGTTGACTCTGGGGGTTTTGGCCAATCCTTTTTCTTCTTGGTACCTCCATATTCCCACCTGTATTGTGTGGCTACAAATATTTGCTTAGGATCATTTTAGCAGCTGTGAAGTGTCCTGGGAACTCTGAATGAAAGGCGCTCTATTCCAGCTTATGCACCAAGTGATGACTCTGGCCCTGTCCACACGGCAGGGCTCTGCAGGAGACAGACGACCCATTCATCCTTCATACAGTCCTAATTTTATTCCAGTGCCCCACTGGGGACTCAGGCAGCAGGGCTTGTCAGAGAACTGAGCAGTCTTCACACTTTCAAAGTCCCTTCTATTTGGTAGGGTTGCTTTTTTTCCTTTCCTTTTTTTCTTTTTTTTAACCACTGCATATTAGCAAAGGTAAAATCTACCATGCAAGAAAAGGAACAATCATGAAAGGAGAAAGGCCTTCTCAAGGGAGGGCTGCTTATTAGTCCTTTGGAAGGTCAAGAAGGCCGTTTGCCTGAGGCCAGGATTTATACTGTTAGCATGCTAGGCACATCTGGGGCCCACCCTGCGTACATATCAGGGTGCCATGTTTACATGTATTTTTACATATGTGTCTTGTTTTAGGGTGCCCACGGTGCAAGAGAGCGGAGCTGAGAATCAATAGGATAATATGTCCAGGGCCTGCTAGTGATGAATGTGGGTGTTTTGGCCCATTTGGGCTGCCACAACAAAGTACCCCATAGACTGGGTGACATGCAAACAACAGAAGTTTATTTCTCCCAGTTCTGGAGCCTGGAAGTCCAAGATCAAAGTGTCAGCATGGTCGGGTTCTGTTGAGGGCCCTTTCCAGATTGCACACTGCAGACTTCTTGTATCCTCATGTGGTGGAGTGAGGGCGAGAGAGCTATCTGGGGTTCTGTTGATAAGAGCACCAATCCTATTCCTGAGAACTCCACCCTCATTACCTCCCAATGGCTTTACCTCCTAATCCTAACACATAGTAGATTAGGGTTTCAACATATGAATTTTGGAAGGACACTAACATTCAGTCCATTGCACTGAGTATTTTTGCTTCTTCAAAATCACTCCACTGTTGCAACCTATAATTGTGCATCTGTCTTGAGGCTACAATAGCATGTCTTAGAGCTGGAATCTCCAGCTTCCCGGAATCCTGGGCCCCTCTACCGACCTCTCTAACCCTTCCCCTGTAGGAGCACTTACTTACAGAACATTGAGTCTCTGCTCACTCTCTCCTGAATCCATTTCTGCTCCTTCTTCTTTGAACTCCTCACTAACCCCAGGGCCCAGGCATCCCATCCAGATATCATCCCCAGTTGCAGATATCTGAGAAACTTTGCAGTCACTCTCTCCTTCAAGGCTCAAGTCTTCACTCCCAATAGGTCTTCAATCACCATGGTTTCCAATCTCACTCTTATTCTGAGTATGCAGAGCATGGCTTCCCATTGCTTTCAAAGGGAAGGGCAAATGTCTTATGCAAATTTACTGTATTAGTTTGTTCTCATGCTGCTAAGAAAGACATATCTGAGACTGGGTAATTTATAAGGGAAAAGAGGTTTAATGGACTCACAGTTCTACATGGGTGGGAGGCCTCACAATCATGGCAGAAGGAGAAGGAGAAGCAAAGGTATGTCTTACATGGTGGCAGGCAAGAGAGAAGTGCCGAGCAAAAGGGGGGAAAACCCCTTATAAAACTTATAAAACCATCAGATCTCGTGAAAACTCGCTCACTGTCATGAGAACAGCAGCATGGGGTAATCACCCCCATGATTCAATTATCTCCCACTGGGTCCCTCCCACAACAGTGGGAATTATGGGAACTACAATTCAAGATGAGATTTGGGTGGGGACACAGCCAAACCATATCACTTACCAAGGCCTTACATGATCTAGTCTGTGTCTTCCTGTTTGACTTAATTTTTCCTCTTATTCACCTCTTTGCTCATCAAATCCAGCCACATGATTCTTTTTCCCATCCTTCAGACTCATCCAGGTTCATTCCCACTTTAGAGTTTTGTACTTGTGCTGGTCTCTCTACCCAGTATACTCTGCCCACCAACATTGGCATGCTGGCTTCTTCTTGTCATTCAGATCTCTGTTTAAACATCATATTCCCAGAGCTAATTCCTTGAGCATTTTGTCTAAAATAGCCCTTCCCTCTCAGTCACTTACATCTTATAAAGCTAATTGTCTTCAGACATTTAAGATCATTGACAATGACTGATGCTATATGTGCTATCTCTTTTCCTCCAATAGTAGAATATGGATTCTATGAGTAGAAACCTTGTCTGACATTTTCCCTGCTATATCCCTAACACCATGGAATGTATATGGCACTTGACGGTTGCTCTATAAATACTTGTTGGATGACTCAATGAGTGAACAAACTAGAAATATTTGTTATGGACTATAAGAGGTTGACAGTGAACTTCACCTTGCAAACCTCATAGTCTTTAGTATTGGCACTAGAAGTCTCATCTTGATCCCATGCTCAACTGGTAGAAGGTCATAGTGTTGGGTCTGGGCTGGGTTGCAGTGTCCCACTCACCTAGGCTTTGTGGAGCTTAGCTGTGGCTAGTAGAACAAGGTACCAAGGGTCAGCCAAGAAGCAATCTCCAAACTTATCAGAAAGTCCAACCTGGCCACTACTTCTTGTAGGATAGGCAAAGTGGGAAGACCTTGGTATGAAGCATAGGATATAAACTGGGGAAGCCAAACCAGAGTTCAAGTCTGGAGGAATTCCCAGAGCTATGGGAACGTGACTGTAGAAGGCCCCTATAGTTTTGGGTGAGCTGGTGAAGGAGCAGTTAGACTTACTTGGTTTAGGCACACAATGATCTTCAGTCCTTCTCTTGAAGGCATGAGCTGGCTGCAGTTGCACTTTGCCCTACTGGAAAGGATCTGATGCCAGAGACTGACAATGGGTCAAGGGCTTGGTGGAGAGTATTCACTGCTGATTAAGTCTTTCTTGATACTGAATAGAGAGTAGATTTAGTGGAGGGGAAGGGAAGACCACAGGAAGACCACCAAAGAGATTATTCTACAGTCCAGTAAAGAGAGGACAAGAGCCAGTGATGGCAGAAGGGAGGAAGAGAAAGAGATTCATGCAAGAGAATTACTCATGCAAAATGTGCAAAATTTAAATTCAATCAGATTAGACCAATGGAAAAAGAAAAAGAAGGATGCCATGAAGACTAGGAGGATCTGAGCTTGCTCAGCATTGTAGAGGGTGTTACGGGCATTGATTAAGTTAAAGACAGCAAGGGAGAGGCGTGTGAGGGCAGAGAAATGTGCTTTACCTCTGGGCAGGCTGATGTGACAAGCTCATTGAGCCTCCAGAGAGATTTTTTCCAAAAGTAGCTGGAAATATAGGCCTACAGCACAAAAGCCCTAGGAGCCAGGTGAACGCCTGGAAGAATAGAAGAAATTATATTATTTAAAGTAAAATGGGCCAGGCGTGGTGGCTTATGCCTGTAATCCCAGCACTTTGGGAAGCCAAGGTGGGCGGATCACTTGAGATCAGGAGTTCAAGACCAGCCTGGACAACATGGGGAGACCCGTATCTCTACTAAAAATACAAAAATTAGCCGGGTGTGGCGTGCCTGTAATCCCAGCTACTCCAGAGGCCAAGGCAGCAGAATCACTTGAACTAGGGAGGTGGCGGTTGCAGTGAGCCAAGATGGTACCACTGCACTCCAGTGTGAGCAACAGAGCGAGACTCTGTCTCTAAACAAAACAAAATAAAACAAGCAAACAAACAAACAAAGTAAAATGGGGCTTTTGAAAGTGACCGAGAATTCTAGTAGAGGGAGGGGAAGCCAGGAGGACATTTTTATCTTGAATAAAAAGTAATGCTGATGGAGGGAAAGCTTGAAGCTGGAGGATGGTTTCTTATTCAAACGCAGTTTGGGATTGAATTACTTAAAATGTATCATGTGATTTCAGAAATCAGCTGTCTTTTTGCTTTACAAAGAGAACTCAGGAGTGTCTTTAGAGTCAGAAGCCTAGGAACCAAAACCCCAAAGGGGCCAGACCAGGAAAACCTAGCTCTCCCCAGTACAAAGGGGAAAGCGCTCCCGTTCACTGCTGCTTTCTGCACCACAACCGCTTGTGAAGAGCACTTTGTGCGAGTAATTCTGAAAACGTCACACTAAAAAAAGAATTACATGTTATTAATCATAAAAGCGAAAGCAAAAACAAACGAAGGTTTCTCCTTGCCTTCGAATGAAGACAACCAAAAGCATCAGAGGTGAAAACAAGACAGACACGACATGAAGATTGAAAACCAGATTATACCCTAGGGAGCACGCATAAAATTAAGAAAATAATTACTGACTATGAGACGTAGATCACAGAGCAAAAGGACTCCTAAAAGAACCTCCCACCCACAATAGAAACAAACAACAACTTAAAAACATGAAGAAAGTGGGCCGGACGCAGTGGCTCATTCCTATAATCCCAGCACTTTGGAAGGCTGAGGCAGGCGGATCACTTGAGCTCAGGAGTTTGAGACCAGCCTGGGCAACATCTCTATCAAAAATACAAAGTTAGCCTGGTGTGGTGGCGGATGCCTGTAATCCCAGCTACTCAGGAGGCTGAGGCAGGAGAATCGCTTGAACCCAGGAGATGGAGTTTGCAGTGAGCCGAGATCACGCCACTGCACTCCAGCCTAGGCAACAGAGTGAGACTCTGTCTCAAAAATAAAATGAATAGAATAGAACAGAACAGAACAGAACAGAACAGAACAGAACAGAACAGAATAGAATAGAATAGAATAGAGATATTTCATAAGGCGGTGTTACATTAATGAGAGAATATTATCAATTTAGCCTTGGTCCTTCTCCCTGAGCTCTTACAATAAGCCCCAGGTCAGGGTTACAGACATCAAGCAAAGGGAATACTAAGGAGGTCCAGGGATAAGACTACGAGTCAGGGGTGGTAATAAAAAGATGGTCATGTGGGGTGAGGCAGGTGGGAAGTAGGGCGGGTCTTAGCTAAGAACATCAGAGGAAGCTTCTCAGACCACACCCAAGGCTACAGGGTAAGGATCGACCGCAGAGACGGGGAGCTGCTGGCTTTCCGCGGCTGCAGCTCCTGGTGCTGCCTCTTGGACTAGTTCCCACATTACAGGTTACCTACAGCTTCCCCCAGAAATGAACATTTTCCTTTTGAAATATAGGACACAGACTCTACTATTTCTTGAGTATCTTGGAGGGCCTCCAGGCAATGTGGACCCGGAAACAGGAGATTTGGTTGTCAAATCAACCTTGAGAAATGCTGGATTCAAATAACCTTCTTTGAATTCTCAGTGACCATTGAATTCTCAGTATATGAAGGGCTCTCCAAAGTCCTGCTTTGATTTATTTATTTATTTATTTATTTATTTATTTATTTATTTATTTATTTGAGACAGAATCTTGCTCTGTCACCCAGGTTGGAGTACAGTGGCGCGATCTCGGCTCACTGCAGCCTCTGCTTCTTGGGTTCAAGTGTGTCTTCTGCCTCAGCCTCCCATGTAGCTGGGATTACAGACACCAGCACACCTGGCTAATTTTTGTATTTTTAGTAGAGATGGGGTTTCACTATGTTTGCCATTCTGGTCTTGAACTCCTGACCTCAAGTGATCCGCCCACAATCGGCCTTCCAAAATGCTGGGATTACAGGTGTGAGCCACCACGCCCAGGCAAAAGTCCTGCTTCCACAAAACACACTTTATCTTCACTGCCTTAGGGTTATAATTTGGAACAATCACAATATTGGTCACCAAATTGGAGTTGGCTGATGGGATTGGCTGTGCCCATCTCTTCTTACTTCCATATTTCTGCTTTATAGTAAAGTTGAAGGGAGAAACTTTCTCAGAGGCGGGTATCTGCGCAATATGCATTCTGGCTAGATCCTCTCGGCACACCCATGGAAAGCTACAATACAAATTATCAATCTATTTGTAGAACACTCTGTGTGTTACAAAGAACTTTACTACTATCTATCATAGTATGATAAATATGGTGAATATGTAAATATAGTAAATCTATGTGCATAAAGTAAATGTGGAATATGACAGGAGTTGGAGGTAGCTGAGTTAATTGTATTCTAGGAGTGCAATAAGACAAGCTTGGTTCCTGCAAGGTGTATGTCAGTTGGTTCCAGCAAGGTGAAGATGTGGGATAATTAGATCCCACTGTCTACAGCAGTTTCCACGAGTTGAAAGCATACCTACTGCTTGCCCTGGGGGCGTTTTCCCCACCATCCCTTCTCAAGGTTCATTTCTAATTACTTGAATACCCCTAGCGTGCTGACTGAACAGGTTAATTTAAATGGGAAGACCTAAAACTCTTGTTTTTCAGCTCCTTGCCGAGGTACCTGATGATTATCCCATCGCCAACAGGGGCAAGTCCAAATGCCTTTACGTCCCTTCACGATGTCATCTCCCATCACTTTCCCTGCACGCTGTGTTCCAGCTCCTCGGAACGACCTCCCATTTCCTGAATAGGTCACACTTCCTCCGCTTCTCACCCCTCAACATACCCACCCTGCATTCTGTTCCTGGCTGTCCTTCTTTCCTTTCTCTACCTGCAAAACCCTCCCCAGCTCCCCAAGGCAGAGCTAGTTGCTTCTTCCCTTGGATCCCATGGCCCTTCCTACCTATGGGCCTCCCGTAGTGCCTAATGGCTTGTAAATGATGTCCAGGGAACATTCATTGAGGGGATGGTTCATTTAGGGACTGACTTTTACTGTAGTGTCTCTGAATTTGACGTTAAGACACAGGAAAGCATGCCACCAACTGCCAGCAGTCAATCAGGATCAGTGGGAAGAGGTAGGGGCCAGAGCTGGTGCTGGCTGGCTGGGGGTGGTTGGGACAGGCCTAGGTAAGTGGCTGCCAAGTATAATCTCTTTAGGGGAAGAGATATGATATGGTTTGGAGGTTTGTCCCCTTCAAATCTGATGTTGACATGTGACCCCAGTGTTGGAGGTGGGGCCTAGCAGGAGGTGTTTGGATCATGGGGGTGGACCCCTCATGAATGGCTTGGTTCCCTTGGTGATGAGTGAGTTCTCACTCTATTAGTTATTGATATCTGATGGTTAACAAGAACCTGACACCTCCCTCTCTCTCTCACTCTCACTGTGTGACACATCTGCTCCCCCTTCACTTTCTGCCATTAGTAAAAGCTTCCGGAGGCCTCCCCCAAAACAGATGCTGGCACCACGCTTCTTGCACAGTCTGAAGAACCATGAGCCAAAATAAGCCTCTTTTCTGTATGAACTACCTAGTCCTGGGTATTTCTTTTTAGCAATGCAAAATGGACTAATACAAGGCATACATGTAAATTTTTTAAAAATGCTTTTCTAAAGAAACATAGATTTAATGAGGATAAGGAACAATGGCCTGACAGGAAGAATGGATTCAAAGTAAGCCACCTTGAATAGTAGAGGGAAGAAGAGATGGGGCAAAGGACTGTGCCAGGGCTCTGCCTGCTGGCAGGGCAGAGATCTCACTGCGGTGCCAGGGGTGCTCCTTGTCTCAGAGTAAGGGCAGGGCTGAGGAGAAGGCTGAAGTCCCTCCCCACACCTTCAGCCTCCATGGTAAAGGCTGGGACTTGTAGCCAGGTTCTCCTGGAAGAGAGGTAAAGGCAGTACACGATTTGCTACTGGTTTTTCACCTATTTTACCAATCATTTCCTCTTCATGTTTAACCTTCTGTTATTTGACTAAAGTCTCTAAGAAAAGCTTAGTTCCTTCTGAGCTCAGTCCACTCTTGTTATCTTTTCTCAAAATTTCTGAACTCAAAGGGGCAGAAACCAGGTTTCTAGACATTCAGCTCAGCCAGGCAAACAGCCTCTAGTAATTCCAGGCAAGTGCAAAGACAAGCAGCAAATTGGGCAAACAGTAGAGATTGCACCTGTTTTCTTTTTGAGAGTATCCTTATCAGAGAGCCAGAACTAGTCATTAAATTGTGTTTGTTTGCTAACGTTGCTTTACCTTGCTGAGCTAAAAGTGCCCCCATGGACAAAAAAGATCACAGACCACTGCGATTGACAGGGACTGCAGAGTGTATTTAGTTCCTCCCACCTCATTTCACAGGGTGGAAATTGATAGGGGAAAGGGGGAATTCAAATTACAACAGACTTGATAGAATTCTTTTGCTGTTTTCCTCTAGACAGCTCAGGCTCAGTTTAAGATCCTTTTAAAAAGCCCCCATTTTCTGATCTGCTCCTTCAGAAACAGGGCAGCAAATATAAGGATAGGAACAGAAGTGAGAAAGGCACTCCGAAGCAACGGACACAAAAGAAGAGCGATTGATGGACCTGCCCGAGCTTGGGTAGATAATTCCACTCTGAACCAATCCTGGCATAGAGGAAAGACCATAAAATATTGATCCATGAACAGATATATCGAATTACCCATTCCTTCTTAAAATATACTAGTGGACAGACGCAGCGATACAGGTACATATCTTAACTGCTAATCCCATAAACGTGATTGAGCATCCACTCTGTATTAAATCCACAGAGATTAAAGTAAGGATATGCATATGTATAATGAGAAGAACAAACATTTATTGAGAGCTACAATGTTCCAGGGGCTGGACCAAGTTATATCCTTAATAGTAACTACACTTAACCTTAATAGTAAATACAATTGTTTGTCCATTTTATAGGTAAGGAAACTGAGAGTAGGTTGATGAAGTAGCGTGCCTGAGGTCACACAGCTGACAGGTGACAGTGCTGAGATTCTGAATTAGTTTAGCCTGAGTTCCTAATCATTCTGCCCCAGTGACCTCCATGAGACTAGATCTCTGGAACCTGCAGTAAAATGGGTGGCGCATACCCAAACGGAGTGCCAGTACCACGTGATAAGAACTTCAAATGGGACAAGGGAAGATGGGATAAAGAACAGGGAGATTTGCTATATGATACAAAATTACAGCTGGATAGGAGGCGGAAGGTCTAGTGTTCTATAGCACTGTAGGATGACTGTAGTTAATAGAAACATATAGTTTCAAAGAGCTAGAAGGAGGATCTTGAAAATTTCTAACACAAAGAAATGATAATGTTTGATGTGACAGATATGCTAATTATCCCGATCTGATCACCATACCTTCTATGTATCAAAAGATCGCTATGCACCCCATAAATTTGTACAATTATTATTTGTCAATTAAATAAATAAAAGAAAAAGGATTCCAAATGGCAAAAAGGAAAGAAAGAATTCACAGGGAAGGTAACGCTAGAGCAGACGCTTGAAGAATGAGGGAGGAGACCAGGTGAGGTGGCTCATGCCTGTAATCCTAACACTTACGGAGTCTGAGGTGAGAGGATTACGTGAGCCAAGGGGATCGAGACCAGCCTGGGTAACATAGCAAGACTCCGTCTCTATTTTTAATACATATTTATATTATAAAATTTAAAAAAAAAAGAGAGAGAATGAGGGAGGAGATGTCCATTTGGAAAGGAGTGGAGGAGTGGAAACGCGCCTTAGGAATGGGGTTGAACTAAATAGGAACATCGTACCTGATGCTGTAGAAGAACCGTTCGAATGGCGCCAGGGTCAGACAAAACGTACCCCGGGGGCTCAGATGGTGGCCTAAATCCAGCTGAAGAGAGAGACCAACCTCCATGCAGTCGGGATGAAGAGTTGTAGACCACAAGGTGGAAATGGCTGTTGGCCATCGGAGCTCAACCTTCATGGAGACTGGTGCGCCACTGCCCTCTCAGGTCACCAGCTGGATGCTGCCCTGGAGTAGACTAGCTGGGAGGGTTATGCAGGGTAGGGACGCAGCCAAATGGAGCTGCCAAGAACCAGAGAAATTACTGAAGATGGTGTCAAGTCCTCTGAAACAGTCTCCCTTTCCATAGCCCCTGGCTTCATCCAGCCTCACCCTTGGAGATCAGCACGTGCTGCAGGCAGGGGATCTGCAAGAAACGCAAGAGGTATCAAAGAAAAGGCTGGTTCCACGTGATATTGATGCCCAAGCATCTAGCAAAGTCAGCTTTCTGTTCTTTGCTCTGTGCTTGGTTAGGCAAGTCCTCGAGTTTGAAAGACCAAAAATCTTTCAATGTCCGTGGCTAACACATGGACATCAGTCACCCTGAGTGGCCCTAGCACCTCCGCTAATACTCGCTGTCCTCCTTAGAGAGGCCTCCCTTTTCTCTTTTGCACTCCTTGGATTTTCTCTTTTTCCATTTCCCACCCTAATCCTCTCTGAGGTTCCCTGTTCCCTTTCCTCTTTCCTCCATCAGTCTCTGGTGGACCCGCCTCATGGCTGGCAGCTCTGGGGCCAGGCAGTTGCCAGTTCTGGTTCTCCAGGCCCACTGTGGAAGAGCAGCATCCCCTTGTGATGACAGACTACCTGCATCTAGATCCCCCAGAGAGCTGGGAAAATGCAGAGCCCTGGGCCCACCTCCAATCTGCTGAAATGGCTCGCTGAACTGGAAGGTATGCCTCCAACAAGTCTTCCGGATCAGTTTTTGCTCACTAAGGTTTCAGACCCTCTGCTCTGGAGATAAAGGCCCTAGAAACTTTGGTCTCTCATCTCTCTCTCTCTGCTTCCCCTATTAACCCTTCTCCAAAAAATGGAGAAGCTAAGTTGAAGGCACAGCATTGAGCTTTTCCTTTCCCTTCTGTCTTCTGTCTCGACGTCTTTCTCCTCTACTGGATGGTGAATCCCTAAGGATGGGAGTTGTGTTCTACTCAGCTCTGGAACCCTGAAGTTCCCATGATGTCTGGGTCACCATGGACACTTAGAAATGTTTGTGGAATGAATAAATTGTTGACGCAGGGAACACTCTCTCTCCCTTCCTCCCCGCTCCCTTCTTTTCCTCCTCCTCCCCTTTTCTGTTCCTCTTTCTCTTGGGATCCCCTCGGCCTTGGGCACAAAACCCAAATGTTTTAAGAGATTGTTAATGTTTAAAGGGAGACAGGCGGGCACAGGCAGGGCAATGGCAGGTTGCTCAATGGACAAACAAATCCACCTTCTTCTGTTGTCTCCTAAGCCAACAGGAAGCAGCCAGAAGACGGTCAGACGGTCACTCACCCGGCAAGGGCTCGGGACAGCTGTCCTGCCTGCCCCACGCAGCAGTTGCATAACCTTGCTGCAATAATCAGAGCTATAAATAGTCTTTACTGAGAAGCCCCAATCTGGGATTGGACAGGCCCGAGGAGTGGCCTTTATTTGTTGCCCCTTCAAACCAGTGGGGAAAAACGGTTTTTGAAAGTCTCACTTATAGACTCTAAGCCTGGGGCAAAGTATTCCATGTTCTCCTTTGAGTTTAGCCTGTGGTCTCATTCTGTAACTGCATTTGGAGTCTCCATGCGGCTCTTTCTCCTTCTCCTTACTGTGACAATACGTGACCCAGTTCCACTGATGGAACGATGCTAACAAAGATAATGATGATCATTCTTTAGTAGATCTTCTTTTCCACCCGCTCCTATCACTCCTATTCTTGTCTCGTCTTTTGTCTCTTGTGTATGGCCCTTTCAGTGCCTTGCCCATTGATTGGTGACTCTATCTCCATCTAGTCTATAAGACCAATTCTTCTGAACACTTGTTTTTTTCATGTTTTCCCCCGGTTCAGAGTCTTTCAGTGGCTTCCACTTACTTACAACAGCAGCCTACAATTCTCAAAGGCACCTCCTATTCTTAATGTATGTGTTTTGTTTGTTTGTTTGAGACAGAGTCTTGCTCTGTTGCTCAGGCTGGAGCACAGTGGAGGCGATCTCGGCTCGCTGCAACCTCCGCCTCCTGGGTTCCGGTGATTCTGCTGCCTCAGCCTCTCAAGTAGCTGGGACTACAGGTGTACGCCACCATGCCTGGCTAATTTTTGTATTTTTTAGTAGAGACAGGGTTTCACCGTATTGGCCAGGCTGACCTTTAACTCCTGACCTCATGATCCACCCGCCTTGGCCTCCCAAAGTGCTGCGATCACAGGTGTGAGCCACCATGCCTGGCCAATGTTTGTATTTATTTATAAATCAAATATGTGTGCTACTGTCATTTTATAGAAAATATTAGAAAAGTTTACTTTCATTGTTAATTTTTGACAAACCATAAATAGTAGTTCTAATACTTTCTCCCTGACCGCCAGTGGATCACTGTGAATACCCTACAATGGATATCACTGAAGATAGCATTGAATCATTTTGCTGGGATATCAAAGGCTTCCAAGATCTAGTTTCAGGTCATTTCTCCATTGTCTCAACATTTCTTAGAGATGACTATGGCCAGGCACAAGGCTAGGCTCAGGAGGCAACAATGAGTAGTTACCATCCCTGCCTATCAGGAGCTCACAGACTGGTAGAGGAGATAAACTCATAAACAGGTAACTTTTGGAGAGTCCTATGTATCATCAGAAACGTTTGCACAAGGCATTAAGAAAGAACAGTGGAAAGAAATGACAGCCTATGTGAATCCAGAAAGGCTTCATGGACGACTATTTGAGCAGGGTCTTGAAGGATGAGTATTTCACCAAGTCACAAAAAGGACAAAGGGCCTTCTGGGCACAGGCAAAGGCACAAAGGTAAAAGAAGAGCTTGGTACACCGGGGAAGGGAGAAGCTGTTCACAGAAGCTGATGGGGCCTGGAGGAGAGGGATGGAAGATGAGGACTATAAAGGGAGGTTGAGAACAAATCATGGAGGACCTTATCTGGCCATACCAATAAGACTGGCTGGTATCCTGAAGTTAGTGGGATTCAAGGATGTTGTGACAAACTACATTTTCTCCTAAATCTGATTTTTCCTGACCTCTCTGCAGGAGTAACAGACTATAAAGTAGGAAGAATAAAATCAGCATTTTCCCCAGGGCTCTCATGAAGCTGATAGTCTGGGCTGCTCAGGAGGCCCCGCACCAAGGGCCACAGCCCCAAGACAGTAGGACATGCCCCTCTCCAAAGTCTAAATGCAAGGTCAAGAGCATCCAGTGTTTGAACTAAAACTAAGGAAAACTTGCACTGCATGACTGGGACTAGTGGTCATTGGAAAAGCTTTTCAGGGGTCACTAGAATTTGACTTTGTGATGAGATGAAGACGTATCTCTTGCACATTGTCAGGAATAAATCAACCCAAACTCTAGTAAAAGAACAAAGTTGTAAAATATAACACAATGACAGATGCATGTAGTTTAATGAAACCAAGATTGGACGATAAGAATTTTTCATCTCTGGCTCGCCATAGTTTCAGGGTGGGAGACACCGCTATCCATCTTCTACGTTTATCACACTTTTATTAAGAAATTGATGTTTAAACAGTGTTCCCAGAGAAGCCATTTATCTTTTAAGTTCATTAGCATGTGCAATTCCTCTTCTAAAAAGCTTCACCTCAAAAATCTTTGTAGAAGGGTTTTCGTTCATTTAGTCAACCTTTATTATGTGCCTAATGGTTGCCACGCGCTGCTCTTGGCTAAGTTTTTGCTTCTAAAGTATTTCCCTTCATCTGTGAAAAGAGTGCAGATGGCCACTGTCCTCATGATGGGGACTTTCAGTTTTGCCCAGAAGGGATGCTAGACAGACCCTGAGCTATCTGCTCTGTCCCTCCTGTGAACAGGGCCAGGCATTTGTAAGCTCCTTGGGTCACGTTTGGAGGTGTCGTCTGTGTTGGAGGACTGGCACCTTCTCTTGTGGAATAGAGTTGTCCTCTGTGCTGTGCTGAAACAGCAGCCTTGAGCTTTTAGCCTAATGTGCTAACAAAATGAAATAATCGTCCAGAGGGAAAATGTTGGACGGAATTAGAAATGATAGAGATCCTCATCTGGACAGGGACAAGACTGTTAGAGATTATAAGAATGAAACGACAGGCCTGAGGTGCAGCTGTGTAGGCATGTGACCAGCAAGGTAGTGACAACCTGGGCAAGAGCAGGGTGTCATAGAAGATGGACTGGACAGCCAGGCACGGTGGCTCATTCCTGTAGTCCCAGCACTTTGGGAGGCTGAAGCGGGCGGATCAGGAGGTCAGGAGTTCCAGACCATCCAGACCAACACGACGAAACTCCGTCTCTACTAAAAATACAAAAACTAGCCGGGCATGGTGGTGCGCACCTGTAATCCCAGCTACTCAGGAGGCTGAGGCAGGAGAATCGCTGGAACCCAGGAGGCAGAGGTTGCAGTGAGATGAGATCATGCCACTGCACTCCAGCCTGGGTAACAGAGCAAGACTCCGTTTCAAAAAATATAAATACATAAGATGGACTGGACTCAAAGTCAGAGACAGGAGCACCAGCCTCAGCTCGGAACACCAGCCATCTCCTTGAAACGCTCATACCCTTTCTGTCTCTCCATACACCCTTCTGTCAAGGGAGGATACTAGGTGTTGCTAGCTAAGACCTTGATTCTAAAGTGTTGCATTTATTTCATATTTCCACACTTGTCAACAAAAGTAAGATGGATTAGGTCGGCACTTCCTCTTGTATGCGTATATCTGAAATCTAGCTGCTTTCGTTACTGTAGATAAGTGTTACTGACATGCCATTTTTCTTTGGAAATCCTTTGGAAGGGAAGAGAAGGAAATAAAGATTCTTTGTTATCAGCTGTTCTCATTAAGGGGTTCATTCTGTGGCTCCTCTGATATCTTCTAATGAAGAGTGAGGCTGGGAAAAGGAGAAAGAGACATGCAAAGGGGAAAAGGGATCTCATGGGAGAGATGAGAAACCAGAAACATTGGTCCACCTCATCAGGAAAGTTGACTTTTGTGTCTTGAGAACGTTGTTTAAATATCTGTCATCACAATTCCCTTGTTTGCAAATGACAGTGATAATGCCAGCTTATCTCATTAGGGTGTTATGGGAGAAATAATAACAGCTTAAACACACAGTCAACAAAGTACTGTCAGAATGCTCATTGTCACCGGTAACACGAATTGGTTTTTACATGGGCAGTAGCGATCCCCAAATGAAGATCCTTGTCCCACTCTCCCTGAGAAGGAGGCCATGCAGGAGCTATGCCCAGGCAGCACTGCCCAGGTAGGCAAGATGGTCTGCCAGCGGTTTCATTTCTGTAAGGCCCCAATGAACCTCTTAGGAGTGACAACCAGCCAAGCTGAGGCTGAAGGCTGCCCTCTAGTTGTATGACTGCTAAGCAATTCAGAGTAGATGCTGTTTTGCCCAGGAGGGATGCCAGACAGACCCTGAGCCACCTCTGGATGATTGATTGTTTCATTTGGTTAGGCTAGGCAATGAAGAATTCAGTGAATGGCAAAATGGTCTAGGAGTACTCAGACAAGATGGCCTATGGGCTGGGGTTCAAATAATTACATGAGTGCGGGCCACAAGTCAGAAAAAACGTGTATATGTAAATTCCTTTCTATTTATATATGATTCATATATTACGTATTTTTAATGTTTATTTAGATTCAGACTTATCACAACTGCTGACCCTACCTCCAGTCCTCACCTCTGATTCGCTCTGAGCAGAGATTGGCAAACTACAACCTGTGTGCCAGATCCAGCCTGTGGCCTGTTTTTCTGTGACCCAGGAGCTGAGAATTAGTTTTACATTTTTCAAGGGTTGTAAAACACACACAGGAATAGGCAACAGAGGCCTGATACAGTACAAAAAGTCTAAAATATTTACTACCTGGCCCTTTGCATAAAAGTTTGCCAACATCTAGCCTTGAGGACTTACTGGCCTCTTGTGTATGACATGATTTGTGATTGCTTTCTCATTTCATCCTTACAGCCATCCCGGAAGGGAGGTAGGACAGTTGCTATTATGTCCATTTTAAAGGTGAGGAAACAGAAGGCCAAAACAGTTACCTAACTGCTGGAGGTCACATTCATAGTGGCAAGGCTGGGAATAGACCCATGGCCTTGGAATTCCCCGTCCAGGACTCTTATCAGTAGATCACAGAGAGAATGACTGACGCAGCTCTTCTGTACCAGGGGAAGGATGAACTGAGTCCAGACTGATCGGAGGACATTGGGTCTGTCTACTCTTTCTTAGCAGGCAGCCTACTGGGGGAAAAAGTCACAAAGAGGATTTGGAAATTCTAGCAATTTTTAACTAGTCTTATTACAGACTTAGGCAAGGCAGGCAACAAAAGTTCACATATTACCCTGAACTGATGTCTCAACTCTCCAAGCTGACAGTGCCCCCCGCCCCCTACCCTGCAGAGGAACCCCCGAAGACAGTGGCAATGCACTTGTGGCAAAGGGCTGCTTGCACCCCTGGGCTGTCTGTACTCCTAGTTCAGAATTCAACCCCCTCTCCTCCAGTGAGTGCTGCAGGGAGCTGCCGGAGTGAATGAATGCCCACATTATCTGACGCCCCGGCCTGTCGGCAGCTTGCCGGCCACAGACCCGGGCGGACCGCGGGCACCTGGCGTGGACTGCTATGTCCCTGACATAAACAGCCCACAGCTGAGTAGCAGCTTGTTCTTATCCCCGCCCTAAGCAAGGTCTCCCCGAACCCAGGCCTCCCTGCTGCCCTGGAGCTGAAGAGGGGCTTTGTGCCCGTAATTCAGACCAGCTTCTGCCTAACGCGCTTGACTGATACCAAGCAGAGACCTGGAATAAAGATGTGCATGGGGATGGTGCCTAAGTCTTCCCCAGGCAGGCAGGACTGGGGGCTGCCAAGACCCAGGCCTATCTGCCTGTCAGAGATGATTTAGGGAGCTTTGATAGAATAGTAGGAGGCTGGGCAGGGTGACTTTAGAGGCTCTTCTAACAACTTACAAATCCAAGTCCTCAAATACCTTCCTTTTGACTCAGTGTGGAGGGAGATTGCCATTCTTAGAGATCGACCTCTAAGAAACAAATACAGAGTCATTACTAATTTCATCCTATCAGTAAGTTAGTAATTTAGCCCTTACTAGGTAGAGACCTGGACCCTAGGGAGGAACAACAGAGAGGGGAAAAGGAGGAAGACAGGAAAGAGTGGGGCCCCTCAGAGGCAGAGCCCCTGCACACCAAGCCATAGCGCGGGAGTACTGAGAATCTGGGCAGCAGGTGTCAACAAAGGGGCTCAGTGAGGGTGAGGGCACAGCAGTATTAGGCCTTGCTGCCTTTGTAATTCTGCCTCATCTTCACTCTTCTCACAGCAGCTCAAACATAAGGAAGCCTTCTCGCTGGGTTCTCACTGCCATCTTCTCATCTCCACCCACCGTGGCTTCCCCATCCTCTGTCTTTCGCTGTCCCAGAGAACCTTTTGCACAACCCGGTTCCACACTAGCAACTCTCATCTTAAAGATCACACGGATCTGCAGCTCCTTATGCAAGTCTTGGCCCTGCCTTGTACTTTTTACGGCCCTTATTTCTTTCTACCTTGAATTCCAATTTTTGGAGACTTGTCTTACTTCCATCATGAGACTGTGGGCAACTTGAGGGAGAGGCCTGTCTGATTCAGCCAGCACCAAGCACAGTCCTTTGCCCACAGGTGAAGCTGCAATAAATATCAAGCCATTTTAGTATTTCCTCATGATTCTTCCAGCCAGATGCTTAGAAAAACTTTTAAAACCCTAGGGAAGGGCCAGCTGGGATCTTTATAGCTGCTCTAATCTAAGAGGGATTCTTTTCATGCTCAGGATTTAAAAAAATTTAATGTTATTCAGGACATCAGGTTGCATCAGACACTAATAGAGATTTCCAAACTCCTTAGCAATCACCCATTCAAAACTTCTGCCAATACAAACATGTCCAATGACGGGGGAGAAGAAAGAGACTTCATTTTCTTTCAAAGTCATTCACATGTAAAGATCAATTAGGATTTATAGAAGACAATTCTTACCAAGGGGCTCACTAGGCTTTAGTTCTGAAATCACGTTTTTCCTTCGCAATCACATTTTTTGTAGGTCTCTTATTAGACCTGCCAAAACAGGCAATCTGCTGTGTCTGCTTATTTGCTGAATTGCTGCTGACGTAAACTCAGCAAACAGCAACAAAAAACTGTTTTAATGAGACTTTAAAGTTCGGCTGTGAAAATTGAAAGTCACCCAATAGCAAACCACCCAACCACCTGAGAATATTGCACTGCAATGTTCTTGTCGCTCACAGCAATTCTATTTCTGACCAGCCAGTTTACAGTAGCAGGAGGGAGTGAGGCAGGGAGGATAAGAAGCAGTTACCCAGGGACAATTTGGGGAGAATTAAATAGAAAATGTTTGCAAAGGGCCCGGCATAGGACTTTGAGTCAAATAGATGCTCAATAAATACTGGTTGTCCATTCTGTGGGCTTCTTTTAGATCTCATATGAGTAGAGTTCACCGTGGTGCACAGTATTCTTCAGTATAAAATTTGGACTTTGAATGCATTCATCTCTTTGAATAATTAAACAAATGCAGTCACTCACACGCTCAAAGAAGGCCATGATGAGAGTGTGTTACAAATCGAGTTCTAATTAATCTAATTCTATCCACGTGAGGTCAATTAAAAACAAAAATATGAATGACTCTATCTTTTATTGTTTTAATCAATCACATAGGCCCCTACTTGTCCCAGGAAGTCAAGTATCTCCCTCTAGGGACCTCCACTTCTCATTCAAGAAAATACTCTTCCATTCCAGTCTGGCTCAGCACAAAGGGGCTGATGATCACTTCTGGTGTCAAGGCCAGGCATCTGGAAACTGAAAACTGTTAGTAGTTAACTGTATCTCTTGCATGGCTGTGCCACACAGTATTGTGGATGGAGCTTCATGTGATCAGTCCCTGGATGCTTGCCCTCTCTGTGGCAATACTCTGGGTTTCTGCCCAGGCCAAGTGGTGTTCCGCTCCTGAGCTCAGATACGCAGCCGCCAGCAGCAGCCACATGATGTGCAGAAACAAATCCTCCCTCAAGTTCAGGGACTCTCAGGCCAGGGATTGAAAGTCACATGCCTATACAGCAGGCAGGTAACAGAAATGAGTGGACAAAATTTAAGAAAAGTTGGCATATACACTTTATTCTTATTTTATTATTATTATTATTATCATTATTATTTTCAGACAGAATCTCACTCTGTCACCCAGGCTGGAATGCAGTGGCACAATCATAGCTCACTGCAGCCTCCAACTCCTAGGCTCAAGCAATCCTCCCACCTCAGCCTCCCAAGTAGCTGGGACCACAGGCATGTACCACCAGGGTCAACTCATTTTTTAAATATTTTGTAGAGATGGGGCCTTGTCATGTTGTCCAGGCTAGTCTCAAACTCTTGGGCTCAAGCAATCCTCCTGCCTTAACCGCCGAAAGTGCTGGGATTATAGTCATGGGCCACCACACCCAGCCAGATTTATTTTTTATTAAACTTGAATGTTAGCAGGTTATATGTAAATATATGTAATATTGACTAGATTTTCTATGTATATAATGCAAGTAGAGAATAAGGAATGCTTAATAAATACACTTTTTAAATAATTCATTTCTTCTTTAATATAACTCTGGAAACCAGGCACTGCTGTTTCTAGATCAAAATGTCAATGTCTCTTCTGTTTTGTTTTCTGGACATGGATTCCTAGAAAAGTTACACCTTTAGATTTCTGGGACTTCAGTATAGTTATGGTAAATTTTTAGTACTATTTTTCCCTACAGTTCAAGCATATCAATTTATAGTGCTTCCTTTATCCTATCAAGATTAATTGAGGAAAGCAAACTCAACAATGTTATTTCATTTTCATTACGTTTGAAATACAATTTTTTGGAGTCTGGTCTACAAATGGACAATTTTAAGAATATAGTTCCGTCTATCACTTTCATTTCTGGAAACTCATTCCAGTGTAGTTAAGTGGGTCAGATAATTTTCCATGAAATGAGTTTCTCAGATGTAATTTCTTTAGAAATGAGTGCATTGCATCTTATATTTCTTAACTACAGTGTCTAGGTATCTCACGCACAGACACCCTTCAAAACAAATATTCCAGATTTTGTTTCTGATGGCCTAGTCTTTGGTGAGAAGGCATGGAAATTTTTCCTTGGATCAATGAGCAAGTCAATTTATTTCAACAATTCAAAAAAACTCTTTCTGGCCAGGCGCGGTGGTTCATGTCTGTAATCCCAGCACTTTGGGAGGCCGAGGTGGGCAGATCACTTGAGGTCAGGAGTTTGAGATCAGCCTGGCCAACATGGTGAAATTTTGTCTCTACTCAGAATACAAAAATGAGCCGGGCGTGGTGGCACACACTTGTGATCCCAGCTACTTGGGAGGCTGAGGCAGGAGAATCGCTTGAACCCGGGAGGCAGAGGTTGCAGTGAGCCGAGATAGCACCACTGCACTCCAGCATAGGTGACAGAGCAAGACTCTGTCTCAACAAAACAAAACAAAACAAAATATCTTTCCAATTTTAAACCCCCTCGATGGATCTCCCCAGACTCCATGAAATACAGCTGAATATGGTGTTCTGTTTCAAGAGGGTCATGAAAATCATTGTACTTTCAGCAGTTCAAGGCACAGAATCATATTCCGTACTCAGTGCTAATTGCAATGTCCCTGACATTTTCCAATTCTAACCTTTTAGTGCTAAGCAATTGCTGGTGAATAATGTAATGAATGGGCTGAAGTTCTCTGTCCTTACAAATGTTGCCTTGCTACATTTTCTAATAAGTCTGAAATTAACACTAACAGGTCACCTGTCACAGCCTGTAACCACGCTGTCTGATATTGACTGGTCTACTGTCTGCTCAAACCATCAAGACTCTCCTGGCACCCCTAAATAGTTCATTTCCTGATATTATGTCTGTCATACTGATATATCCAAATGACCTCTTAGCCCATCAATCCTAATCAACTCCATGAACAAATATACTAACTTACCAGCTACAGCAAGAAAACACTAGTAATTATTTACCTTTCTTACGTAAGTCGTGCTATGGATTCTTAGCCATACCTTCAACACACACTGCAACAGAATTTCTGGTTGTTTCTGTTTGGGATACGTAATGTCTGTTGCATTCAATAGACACTCTTGTGTAAACTCACCATCTGTCAGTGGTATTGACGCCCACGCAGAATTTTCTCTTAAGATATAGTGGCATTTAACTACAGCATCACTTTAACAGATTCAGTTTTTTTTAAAAGCCTTTTAAAATACCTGTCCTCTTTTTGGTTTAGTGTTTTTTATCATGCATATTTTTTCATACTGGTCATAGGTATGACCATGTTTTGTTGCATCCCTTATATTCTTTTGACACAGAAACACAACAACCTTCTCGAGGTATCTTTCATTTCAGAGAAGCAGCAGGTGGGAGTTCAGTAGATCTGATCTGTGACATTAAACCAGGCAACTTAACTTCTCTAGGTGTCAAGTTCTGGGTCTCCTCTGCAAAAATGATGGCTGGCTGCTGACTAACCCTCTAACGTCCTATGCATTCTAATATGTTTAAATTTTATGGCCTGAAGTCCTAATGGATCCCAGGTTCCTCCTCTATCCCAGAGGCAAGCTGCCTGGAAGAGGGACTTTTTCCTAAGGAAAATGAGTCTGTACCCCAAGCTATAACAGACACTCACAGCAAAGCAGCAGTATTATTCATCCTAGCACTACTTAACCTTACATGTGATTATATGCAAAGCATTTCATTGCTTTTCACTTTATGCCTACATATACATAAGATAAAAGGGAGAAGAAAGGATAGATGAGGTGAGAGGGGGCCTAACATTACGTACCTACCACAAATCAGGTGTATGCAAGGACTTTTATATACAAGCTCTCATTTAATCCTCCCAATAAATCCATGTGGGAGATTATGTTGTCCTCACGTTACAGATAAGGAAAAGAAGCTCAGAGGCTTTCAATATTCTGGCCAAGATGACACAATTAGCAGCAGATCTAGGATCTGACCAATTTGGCTTGACCGCAAAGCCCATGGTGTATCCACTATACACTGTGTGATTCTTCGTTCCTGGGCAGTCTTCCTTGCCAGTGGGTTTTCTTGGGTTGCCCATCTCCCAGGCTGTCCATGCTAAACAAGAATGCTTTATTCTCTTATGCCCCTTGGGCCCAGAAGCCCTGGCTCAATCTTGGGTTGACCAGGTTGAAGGCCAAAATGAGGAGAGACAAGGCCAGGATGCAGAGCCTGGTGTGAAGATCAACAAGACCCAGGAGCTGAAGGTCCAGCCGGAGCCCTGGGTCCAAGCTGGGTGAGCCTGTAAGAGGCAGGAGCAGGTGGAAGCTGAGAGGCAATGGCCAGGAGAGGCAGGGAACAGGCCCAGGTCACACAACCTGAATGTGCTTAGGGGCTGTTGCAGGCCATAGTCCAACCCAAAAGCACTGACTGCCAGAGAGTCAAGTCTTTTTCAGAGGAGATGGAAAAACCAACCAACCAATTAGACTGATTTTATACTGTTAGATGTAACACCTTGTGCTGGCTGGTATTAACAGAACATCTGTGGCTAGAAGTACTCTCCTGATGGCATGCTCTCTCTGTCTCCTTTCTCCAGTCATTTCCCCCTAATGTTTATCATGAGCATTGTAAGAAGAAAAAAAAATAATAATGAAAAGAAAGACAAGAAAAGGGGCTGGGTGTGGTGGCTCACACCTGTAATCTCACAACTTTGGGAGGCCAAGGCAGGAGGATCCCTTCAGCTCAGGAGTTCAGGACCAGCCTGGGCAACATGGTGAGACTCCCATCTCTACAAAAAATACAAAGATTAGCTGGGTGTGGTGGTGCATGCCTGTGGTACCAGTGACTCAAGAGGTGAAGGTAGGAGGATTGCTTGTGCCCGGGAGGTTGAAGCTGCAGTAAGCTGAGATTGCACCACTGCACTCCACCCTGGGTGACAGAGCAAGACCCTGTCTAAAAAAAAAAAAAAAAAAAAAAGAAAGAAAAAGAAAAAAGAAAAAAAAAAAAAAGAAAAGAAATCAACAGAAGAAATTACAATGAAAACCTATAGTCACCACCCACCCCATTCTTCCCCATGTAGTTTCTGTTCCCCAAGGCAAATGGTTTCTGCTCTTAATTCTGGAAGTTCCCTCCTTGACGATAACTAATGTATATGCTATTTCCTGACTTATTAACTTAAGACATTATGAAGTCACTCATACCTACAGAAAGCTAACGAATTAACTCACCTTAACCTCCCTCTTTTCTTCTTCCTAATTTTTGACACTTTTGTCCTACTGTGTATTACCTCTGAATAATAATGTAAGCATATATTTTATATTACATCCATTTTAGAAAGTATGTCTTGATTTTCACCTCAATTAGATGAAGACATGAGGGCCCCTCTTCTTCCTCCCATACCTTTCTCACTTTCTGACAGCTGGAATTTGCTTTTACACTGGGAAGCTGATCATATCACATTTTCTTCTATAACCGTATTTAATCTTCTGTGTCCTACGAGACTGATTCTCAAGGTTAAAAACCAATAGACACTATTTCTGTTATTATAAATCTGAAGTCATTGATATATGAGTCCTTTTCATAGATATTGAGGCAGGTGCTGAGCTTGGATTACCAGACAGGGGTCATGAGGCAGGAGTCATGTGCCCTAGGTGCAGCGGCTTCTCTTCATCACATTCCGGCAGTGTCCCGGCAGCATGTCACCATCTGGCAGCGCTTCACTTTGGCTTAAGCAGACAGAGGAATCTGGCCAGGACACCACTTACACAGGGATCTAGAAGCCCCAATTCTCAGAAAGAATGTTTGTCTCTACGGAAGGGAGCTCCGTTTTTGCCTGGAGATGGCTGCCACACCTCCAAACTCAGGGATGTGTGAGAAGATGCCTCCCCACCAAGTGGCCAGTTCTTCCCCAGATAATGAATTATCTTTTCTGCAACCCCACCGCTCCGCCTCCTCCACCATGCTGGAATATGGCTTCCATGTTCTGATTCTCCAACTTGTCAGCTGGTTTCTATTCTCTTTACCTCTCTTGAAATTGTACGGGGATCTCTCCTCCACTGTTTCCTCCCATTACCTCGACTGTTATGAGTTTATTCCCATGTTTTTATCTTATGTCTCTGGAAGGAGGAGTAAACCATGGTCATATGTGTATTTTATTTCTTTCTTGATTATAACATAGTTTAGGTTTATTATAAACAAAAAATACAAGCAATCAAGAAAAATATAAAAAGGAAAGGAAAACTTCATAAAATCTTGTGTCTCAGAGGTACTCACTGTTAACATGCTGATGGAAATTCTTCCCAAGTCAACCAACTCTTCCTGCTCCGTGTGGAATTCCCAGAGGGGGTTCGCCTGTGCTTTTATCTTGGAGTCTTCACTCCTCTGGGAGCCATTATGCCAAAGGTAGGCAATCAAGTTAAAGGGCAATATTCATCCCTTTCTGTTGCAGCCCCAACCAGGGCTTTAGTGAAAGAGAAATTAGTCTGGGTAAATAGTTTTACTCAGCATTGCCCCTTGCTGCTCTACTTTTCCTGCTCCTGGCTTCTAGAGCATCTTATGGTGGAGGTACATCCCTAAGGCTTCATCCATAAGGCAGCATCCTGAGTCCCTTTGCAGAGAAGGGCCCTCTACTGCAGATTCTTCTGGAATCTTTTCTCTCTCTGGATTAGAGTGTGGGAATATGGAAAGTCAGATTTACTAGTTTATGAAATGGACATTTCACAGTCGGGACAGCCTCCCAAGTAAGACACTACCCATCTAGTCTCCTTTTATGGGAGAAGGGCTCTTCATGGAATATACAGCTCCTGGGTTGGAAAGAGAGGGCAGAGGACAGATATGCAAAGCTGAGAGACGGCACTCATGGAATTTCTGTCCTCCCACCCTTCTTCCCTTTAGGAACAAGCACTTTTTCATTTTTCCATTTTGCAACAGTTGCATTCGTTGGCTTGTTTGGACGTGAATTAGAAAAGAGACGAGTTTATCTCTTTTTCAGTTGACTGCTGAGCCAGGGAGAGTTAGCAGGAGCTAACTTTGCCTTCTACTGTGTGGGGTGACCCACAGGGTCAGAGACAAGAGAACTCTCCGAAGGCGTGCACCTGGCAGACCCAGTTTCTCCGTCCATGTGAGGGGCCTGTGTGAAGGCATCAGATGACCCCGTGCTTTTCTGGGCCATCAGTCAACTCTCCAAGTGTGTGCTTTGCTTTTGACTTGGCCCAAGCTCCTGGCAGCAAAGAGGCTGAAGAGAGGGGAAGGCCTCAATCTCCCAGCCATGCACAGGTTGAAAGAAAGAAAACCATCACACTGCTTTCCTGAGGAAGACTTTGGACTTTTTCTTAAATGTTTATGCTTCTCTCCTTCATCCCCACGTAAGACATTTTAGACAAACTCTGCCACCAAGATACTGAGTTTGTGGGTCCCAGGTAGGGAGGGTGCAGAGAGGGGGCAGAAGGATTCTGCCTGTGAGTGACAGCTTGAAAAATGGAACTTTGCAGGGCCAGGCCCCCTACTCTTACCATCATTTGCTGACTATCCGAGGGACGAGGAGACAAAATCTCTCACTTTCTCGGACACACAGATAATCAGAGCACTCTCTGAGACTTTGATCAAACCACACATTTTTTTCCAGTAGTGGTTCTGGTGGAGATAGGCCATTTTATGGATATTTTGGAAGTGATTTCCTCTATATAAAAAGCACATGTTCTGAGTTTGTTCTCCTGGCCAAAAATGTCGCTATAGCATGGCAATGAACCCCTCCCAGCACCTTTTTGTTGTGTTTTTTGTTTCGCAATGCATCAGGAGACTGAACTGAGAGATAAAACATGGAGATAGGAACAGGAAAATATAAAAGTCACACCTTGCCAAGCTCACCACACCCAGAAAAAAACAAAAAAACAAAAAAACTGTCAATAAAACAAGGGCCCTATACAACTACATCTCCTTCTAGACTGAACTCACCTTCCCTGTTCAGCATAGGCTTCTTGGACCCTGTAAGGCAGGATTGAGACTGCTGGCCTCTGTGTGACATAATATATTTCTTATTGCACCATTTTGCAGTGATTTGTTTGTGTCTTTTTTCTTTTCTGGTTGTTGTTGTTGTTGTTTTGAGATGGAGTCTCACTTTGTCACCCAGGCTGGAGTGCAGTGGGGCGATCTCGGCTCACTGCAACCTCCACCTCCAGGGTTCAAGCAATTCTCCTGCCTCTCAACTTCCTGAGTAGCTGGGATTACAGGTGCGTGTCACCACGCCCAGCAAATTTTTTGTGTATTTTTAGTAGAGACCGGGTTTCACCATTTTGGCCAGGCTGGTCTCAAACTCCTGACTTCGTGATCCGCCCGCCTTGGCCTCCCAAAGTGCTGGGATTACAGGCGTGAGCCACCACGCCTGGCCTATGTCTTTCTTGCCTATTATAATTTGAACCCCATTGAGAGTAGAGACCTTTACCTGTTTTTGTGCTCTATCATTGAGTACAGCACCTTACACCTATAAGGTAAAAAATGGTCTATGAAGTGAGAAAATGAATGATTAAATGACGTACGGATCATAGGCTTTTCTTCCCAATACATATGTCCACAAAAAAAATTTTGCCTCACATTATTCTAGGTGAAGTAAGTCAGGAATAGAAAACTAAATACTGTATGTTCTCAATTATAAGTGGGAGCTAAGCTATGAAGATGCAAAACCATACAGAGAGATTTAGTGGACTGTGGGGACTCTGCTAGGGGAGAGGTTGGGAGGGGAGTGAGGGATAAAAAACAATATATTGGGGGCCAGGCGCAGTGGCTCACACCTGTAATCCCAGCACTTTGGGAGGCCAAGGTGGGCGGATCACAAGGTCAGGAGATCGAGACCATCTTGGCTAACACGGTGAAACCCAGTCTCTACTAAAAAAAAATACAAAAAATTTAGCCAGGCGTGGTGGCGGGCGCCTGTAGTCCCAGCTACTCGGGAGGCTGAGGCAAGAGAATGGAGTGAGCCGAGATCGTGCCACTGCCCTCCAGCCTGGGCGACAAAGCGAGACTCCGTCTCAAAAACAAAAAAAACAAAACCCCCCCCAAAAAACCATATTGGGTACAGCGTACACTGCTTGGTAATGGGTGCACTAAAATCTCAGAATTCACTACTAAGGAATTAACCATGTAACCAAAAACCAATTGTACCCCCAAAACTATTGAAATAAAAAAAAAGATTTGCCTCCTTGAAGCATGTTCTTTAGACCTTTAGTAATAGCAGCTACCGTTTACTGGGCACTCATGTGCTAGGTACCATGCTGCACACTTCATGCATAGTATCTCATTTAATCTGGATTCCTCCCATAAGTTCACATAGATGTGAAATAATCTTCACTTGATCTTAGCCAAAAGGCCGAGAAGTGATAGGTGTGATATGATATTAAAGTGTCCTTTACTTCTTCACTGTGATACCTGTCACACTTATAAATAATTGTTCCCTCTCTGTCTTCTCTTGGATTTTTAAGTCCCATGAGAATACAAATGTCTTTTCTTGCATGATGCTGAATCCTTCAGCATGCAGCCCATATCACACGTGCCATGGAACACATGCTGAATTCATCTTCATGACTTTCATGAGTCCCAGCAGATTGCTGGTAGGTGCTGTTCCAAGTATTCTCCAGTATAATTATTATTGCAATCCTGGCTGTCTCTCTTCCTTTTTGATGCTCAGGTAGAACGTAAAGGAAACTCGCAAATTCTCCCTGTGGTAGCTGAAAACATTGGTAACCCCTAACATCACCATTTGTCACCTCTAATGTCACCATTAGATTACTCCATACCTCGATCCGTGGAAGAAACTCCTTCCCTGCTCTCTGATCATCTGTTCTTTCGGTCTCCATTTCCATCTCAGTGTTGCTGTCTCCACCAACATGGCATCTCTTCTAGGCATTGCTACTGCTGCTTTGGGATTCCAGGAATCAACAGAACTGTAATGAAGTAGGCACATCCAGGGGCAAGACAGGGCAGGGCAGGGTACAGGGCAAAAAGCGTCTGATGTGGAGACTGTGCTCAGCTGAGAAAGCTTCAGGCACTTTTTCCCACTTTCCTGGAGGAGTAAGGTGGGTCCCCATCTCTGCCAATCTGAGGGAGTTCCCGTCTGCCTTCAACCCCCCACCCATCTCCCCACTGCATACTACATTTAACGTTTCCACCCTAATAGGATTTCCTGCATGGTTTCCATAGATCTGTTTTTCTGTTTATTTGCGCTCCTTGTTAGCACCCTCACTCCCAACTCTTCACTGTTGCATTTCCAAGTGCAATCATCTCATCGATCTCATCCCAAGGCCAGAAAGGAGTTGAGCAATTTACACAAAGTAGGCTAAGAACATTCTCACTATCCCAGGGCACTGAACCAAGTTTCTGAAAGTGGCACAAGTCGGATGTTATTAATATTCTCTCTTTAATGTTCATCAATTCCAGAAATGGATATTTCCTCCAAAGACCCTGGACAACCTCTGGAGTCATTGCCATTCTGGTCCGGGGCCATCGGGGATCTAACCATTTCCGAGAAAATTAGCAGAGAGTGGGAGGGGTATTATTTCAAACTGGCGCTGATTGCATTTGGTATCCTAGGCTTGTTGCTGGGATCACGCACGAAATCCCTGGTAGAAGAACAGAGGCGACTCACAGTTTCCGTGATAATGATAAGCTGCAGACGACTATTTAGAGCATCCCAACATTTATTTCAAAGTAAAGACAGTAGAAAACAACTGGACTGCAAGATGGGAGTCTTGGTCACTCACTGTGTGATATTAACAGAGTCACTCGACCTCCTTGGACTCAGTTTCTTCTTGTCTAAAATGGGGCTGTTGTCCTCACTCAGCTCTAAAGGCTCCTCTTAAAGCAAAAGTGATGGTTCTTGGAATTTCTTTTATTTCTCCAGTGAGAATCACTTCAATCTTCAGGCAAGATACCTGCCTGTCTCCTGCCCCTCTCTCCCATTCTGTCCCGGATATTGTGAAGCTACTTCTTCAGTTTCATGAACCTGGATTTTGGCCAAACCCTTGATCATTCATCTTAGAAGCTAGATTTCCTTTTCGAAGCCACAACTCTGGGAAAGGTCTTCACAGCCAGTTCCTGATGTTGCTGAGCTGATCTTGTCCATTCTCAGTCAAGGTAGGATGACAGCTCCCCGTGAGAAAAAAAAATAGGTGTTGCATAAGAGAACATCTTGGCTATTTATGAAAGATTTTCTATGCTTCTGTTTTAAGTTTGTTTTTCAATTACAAAAGGGACTCATTCTTTTGTATAAAATTTGGAAAGCTAAGTTAAGTTTAGAGAAGAGGGTAAAATCATTCTTAATCCCATAATTCTACCATGGAGAAATTTTGTTAGTATTTTGGTGTATTCTCAATTTCCTCTGCAGTTTTTTACATTGTTGAAATCATGCTATTTATACTATTTCATCCTTTCTTCCCACTGAAAATTGTATGATAAGCATTTCCTCATGTCACTGAAGTCACTGATAAGTAATATTTTAATAGCACCATAATATTTTATTTTGTGGGTTTTGTCCTAAGGTTGAACAGATAGGTTGTTTCTAGTTTTATTTTTTTAAAAATATTATTAGCAATGCTGAGATGAACATTTGTGTGTATATATCTCTGGAAATTTCAGATTATTTCCTTAAAGTACATTCCTAGAAGTGAATTACTAAATTTAAGAGCCTGAATAATTTTAAGATTCTTGATACCATTTAATTTTTGATACCATCTTGGTCTTAATTTTTCAACCACATTTTGTGACTTAAAATCACCACCTTTTCCCTTAAAGAATATCATATTCATTTTAATCATGAGAAAACTTCAAGTTTTCTAACACTTTTCCTGAAACAACTTATTCCAAAACCTCCACCCAAGAAACATTAGAATCCACATGTTTGTCCTGAGCTATCAATCAATTTAGTGAACACCTGCCTGACCCTAGGCCTCTGCCAGGCCCCTATGATACTTATTTTCAACATCACTGGGAAACGTGGAATTATAAAGGAAGCAGAGAGAATGGCTCTTTAGTATAAGGAAGAGAAAATCGGTGAGTGCAGAAAAAATCCGAAACTGTATTTGTCAGAGCCCCCACCGTACTTTAAACACACTAAAATATAAAAGAAACAGCTATTACTAGAATGTTCTATGTGACTTTGAGTCATTCCACAGCTTTGCTGCACACCAATCTCCTCTTCTGCAAAAACAGAAGCAAAAGCTAGAGTGGTTTTTCAGGTCTTTTCAGTCCAGTATTGGATGATTCTATATTTCTTCCCAGCAGTGTGAGGATAATGAAGTCACATGCTACAGGTACTTTGAAACAATTTTTGAGTTTGAGGTATTCTTCAAAATGGTGATAGTTAAAATAACCATCTTTGGGGTAAGGAGTGCTGCATAAATGAGATTAGGCTGAGTTTGGGATCAGATCAAATCCAGCTTTGCTAATTGTTAGCCATATGTGTCCTTGGGCCAATTATTCAAATTCCTTGAGCCTTAGTTTCTTCATCTGTAAAAAGGCTGACAGAAGAGCCTATCCTATGCTGTAGTTGGAGGATTAAAAAGATAATGTATATAACAGGCACACAGGAAGTCCCCAGGAACTAGCATTGTGAGAACTGCTAAGTTTGGTGTGCCAAAATGTTCATTATTCATAGTCCAGAAAGGGAAACTGAGGCTCAAGGAATTTGCCCCTTGACAAAAATTACACAGTAGATTAGTAATGAAACAAATCCCCTCTGCCTTACTTGTCTGGTTCACCCCTCCATTGTATATCATTGAAGAACTAGCTGAATGAAGCTAGTTCCCAGTGCTTTGGGAGGCCAAGGCAGCCAGATCACTTGAGTTCAAGGCCAGCCTAGCCAACATGGTGAAACCCTGTCTCTACTAAAAATACAAAAATTAGCCCAGTGTGGTGGTGCACACCTATAATCCCGGCTACTCAGGAGGCTGAGGCATGAGAATTGCTTGAAACCAAGAGGTGGAGATTGCAGTGAGCCGAGATCCGTTACTGCACTCCATCCTGGTCGACAGAATGAGACTCCATCTCAAAAAAATAAAAAAGTAAAAAATAAAGAACTAGCTGAGTGAAGACAAATATTTCAAATGGAAGCTTAGGCAAAGATGTAATTGTTTTCCTAACTGTGGTCCAAAGTCAACTGCCAGTATTATGTATGTATAAGCTTATTTTATCCAAGTAAGGTGAGAAAGTCATAAATAGGCAGCACCGTGTGTAGGACAAAGTCTAAACCCCCTACCTGGTATTCAAGAGGTCTCTGAGCTCAGCCTCAGCCTCCCTGCCTGTGCTTACCTGCTGTCATAGCCCCTCATGGACTCCAGGCTTCCACTCAATCCACAGTGCATTGTTCTCCTCCTGCAGGGACTTCACCATGGCCCTGCCAGAGCTGCAGCCTCCTTCTAGAAGACCTTCCCCCATGTCACTGGCAGCTTCCTCCTCATCCTTCAACGCACAGCCCACATGTTAGCTTTGGTGCAGTCTCCTCCTTCCAGACATACTCATTGCTCTGGGTTCTGGCTGACTTACTATGGCGCCCATGTTTTTCATCACATGTCACAGTGTGACTGATGTGATTTAGCTCCATAACAGACGGGTACAGGAAGTCTTCCTCCTCTGGCACTTCTAACATAATCTGTAGTGGGTCAGATCTTCCCAAAGCTAGGCAAAGATTACTTCTGCAAGGCTTCAGAAACTCAGAGAGTCTTAACCTTAACGTAAAAGTGTGGTCGTTCTTCTAAGTAGAAAGTGAGAAGGAAAATGTTATCTTTATTTTTTTGCGTTCCATTTAGCAGCAAAAGCAAATAAGAAATGAATATCTTAAATAGACTGTCATGCAACAATCATTATTTATGTTTTTCTTCCGCTATTATAATGAGAATCCATTTTTGTTTTTCACCTTTGAACCTCGATGTTAAGGTGTATTAGTTACTATGCATGCTGGCTGCTCCGTGATTCATTGAATGGCCCTGGCATGAGTCAGCCACTTCCTCAGTGGCCATTAATGTGTCCAGCAATGTGCCAGGTGCTCTGGAGACTGAATGAGGCTGAGTGTGATAGCTAATGCCTCTAATCCCAGCATTTCAGGAGGCTGAGGCAGGAGGATTACTTGAGGCCAGGAGTTCGAGACCAGCCTGGGCAACATAATGAGACCCCCCCCATGGCTACAAAAAATAAAAAACTTAGCTGGGCATGGTGGAAGTGTGCCTGTGGTCCCAGCTACTCGGGAGGCTGGGGTGAGAGGATTGCTTGAGTCCAGGAGTTCAAAGCTGCAGTGAGCTATGACTGCACCACTGTACTCCAGCCTGGGTGACAGAACAAGACCCTGTCTCTAAAAAAAGAAAAGAAAGAAAAGACTAAAGGAGACACACCTGCCTTTTCAGCTAAACTCAGCCAGCCACCACAACACTTAGCCTTTCAACTCTAGAGATGGTCACTTTCTGGGGTTGCAGTGGAGCTTTAAGACCCCACAGAGGTCTCCGCAGTTCTTCGGCACTGGCATTCCATACTCTACCCCTCTATGTTCATTTCAGCTTGACGCCACTCCCCCTCCTTTCTGCCTGTGTAAGCTCCAACATGCTTAGACAGATCCTCTCTGTTCCCGAAGACTTCCAGCCCCACGTAGGCTCCGTAACGCACACACTCTTCTGTTTTACTCTAGTGGTTTCATGTTTGCATGTCTTATCTCCTCTTTTTAAAAACTCTTCAGGGTACTTAGCAGAGTGCAAAGTACACAACTGACAATAAGGAATTCACTCATTGGTACTGACATTCTTCACATTCCATCAGATGAAACTGGGATCCTCTGGTCTTGCTACTCATGGGTGGGCTGGACCAGCACCTGCTCGGGCATCTTCTGGGAGCTTGGGAGGAATACAGAATTGCAGGCCTGGCCCTAGACCTGCTAAATCAGAACCTGAATTTTCACAAGATCCCCAGATGATTCGTGTGCACACTGAAGTTAGAGAAGCACTGCACTAAGTGACTTTGATTGCCAAATTCTTTATCTTTCTTCCTCACATGGCCCACGGATTTTGCTTCCCCTATACCTGGCTCTTACCCGCCTTTTCCTTCCTTTTCTCTCCCTAGTGCACCACTTTAGCCATTTTTTTCCAGTATCCTCAATCCTCCCACTCTTCTAGTCTCTCTATCCCTGCCTACAAAATGCCAGCGATTTACCTTCTCAGCTCTTTCCTTGTTCTTCCTTGAGCCTTTGGCACTTGCAGTGCTACCAATACACAGCAAGGCCTCCTGTGCTGTTGAATCAATACACACCTTGCTCATCAAATTGCCCTGTAAGAGGTGGTTAGCAAGAAATCTGACCTCAGTTTTCTCTTGAAAGGGTTATAGCTCTTTTAGTATTTCTGTTTATCAACACACTTCTAACTGAACAGTAGGGATTAATTGGCCAACAAAAAAGGTGGCAATGAATCTATTCTCTGCTTATACATTTACCAGCTAAAAAACAATTTGAGAACTATAGCAGTCTTCATTAGTTAAGATTAAACCTTTAACTCAAAAAAAGATAATCACTTGAAGACCAACAGAGAAAATCATACTTAGAAAAAGGAACGCTAGGGTTTGCTTTAAACAATAATTCTTCCACTTAAAAAAAAAAAAACAAAACTTCAAAGGGACTTTAAACTAGTAATCTTTAAAGTGACTTTCAAATTACATTTATTTACATATTGATAACCGCACAGGTATCTTGAAATTCAGGGGAGAGGGGAGACTTATCCTTAGTTTCAGTTGCCATATTCTATGGGGAATCCAGGAAAAAGCAGGGTTGCGACCTGAATTATACAGAAAATTCTCTGATTCCTCACTCTCTTTATTGTAGCAGGAACTAGCAGTTAAGTACTAGCTCCTGAACATCACATCCCTTTCTGGCTCTCTTCCTACCTGAGGATTGATTTACAGTGATAATTTTCTTTAGACATTTTAAAAAGTGACTGTTCATTAAAAAAAAAAAAGAAAGAAAGAGATATATTGGACAGCATCTTTCTGAATGTCAAAGGCTGACGATAATTGGGTCATTTGATTTCTCCTCATTTTTCTAAATTCTCTGATTGCTTGCACAATAACTTTCTTCCCCCAATCAATTAGTCTAACAATTCATATCCATATTTTATTTTTAATGGTTGACTACTCATTTCATTAAAAATGTAAGTGCATTAGCTTCCCATGAAATGATTCCATTGAGATGGGCATATTTAAATATTCATAACATAAAAATTAATAAATCTGAGAACAGTGGTTGCATTTTAAAAAGGCTACTGTCAGATGTACCATGTCCCAGATGAGATTCACTAAATTAAAACTCGAGCATCCTCTTTCTATTGATTCTTCTTTACAACGAAACAATGCAACAGAAATGCAATGGGAATAGGATTGCTACCCAGTAACTCACTGCTTCTCTCAGCTTCATTCAATTCTAGCTTGCTTCTCCTCCTTCTTGTCTTTCATGCTACTTTCCACCCCGTCACCTGGATTCTGACCGCTAAATCAGCCTTAATATCAAAGAAGTTAAACGCTGGGTGTGGGTAATATTTATTTACGTTCTATTCAATGTCTCTCTCTCCCTCTGCCGAAATAAATCCAATGGATCCCAATCGTGTACAGCAAGAGCTCTACGGAAAACCTTTCCCAATAAGCTTCCTCCCAGCTGTAGAAAGATCATACACTTCACGGTGAGTAAAAGCGATTTGTTGTTTGTGTGTTCATGAGCATTATATAGCCGTAGAATCAGCAAATTTGACAAATCAGTAGATTGACTTAGGAGGTAGAGGAAACCAACCAATGCAGGGCACCTCTATTAACTACCAGAGGCTTGAGAATGCCACTCAGAAAGAGGAAGAAACACTGAAATAGGCAAGATCTGCCCTCCCTCAAGAGCCCCCAGCAACCCAGCATGGGATTACACTTTCCTCACATTCAGCCCCAAATCATTCCTGTTAGTGAAACTTGCCTGGATTTTCTATGTTGGTGATATGGTTTGGCTGTATCCTCACCCAAATCTCTACTTTAATTGTATACCCCAGAACTCCCATGTGCTGTGGGATGGACCCAGGGGGAGGTAATTGAATCATGGGGGTCAGTCTTTCCCAAGCTATTCTCGTGATGGTAAGTCTCACTAGATCTGATCGGTTTATCAGGGGTTTCTGCTTTTGCTTCCTCCTCATTTTCTCTTGCCACTGCCATGAAAGAAGTGCCTTTCACTTCCCGCCACGATTCTCATTCCTCCCCAGCCATGCGGAACTGTAAGTCCAATTAAACCACTTTCTTTTTTTTGAGACGGAGTCTCGCTCTGTCATCCAGGCTGGAGTGCAGTGGCGCGATCTCGGCTCACGCCATTCTCCTGCCTCAGCCTCCCCATCAGCTGGGACTACAGGCACCAGCCACCAGGCCCGGCTAATTTTTTGTATTTGTAGTAGAGACGGGGTTTCACCGTGCTAGCCAGGATGGTCTCGATCTCCTGACCTTGTGATCCGCCCACCTTGGCCTTCCAAAGTGCTGAGATTACAGGCATGAACCACTGCTCCCGCCCTTAAACCACTTTTTGTTCCTAGCTTTGGTTATGTCTATCAGCAGCATGAAAACAGTCTAATACAGTTGGTCTTCAAGTGATACCTTTCTTTGAGGTAAAGGTTTAAGGTTAACTAATGAAGACTGCAGCAGTTCTCAAATTTTTTTCTAGCTGGTAAACCCATACACAAAGAACAGATTCACTACCACCTCATATTTTTTTGTGGGCCAATGAGTTTGTACCTTCTGCTCAGTTCAAAGCTGATAAACAGAAAGGCAAAAACAGCTACAACCTACCCATTCAAGAGAAGACTGAGGTCAGATTTTTTGCTAACTACCTCTCACTACTGAGAGCAAAACTTGTCTGGATTAGTGTCCTCCACTAATGTGGATGATTTATTATGAACTAGGTTATTGGGAAGAACATGGAATTTGGAGTCAGGAGACAGAAGTTCTAACCCTTAGCTATCAAATTTAAAAGTTCTAAAATTATGTATAAAAAGAGTAGGTATTGCAAGAGAAAGCCAGGGCTGGACTGGCAAATAGTGATTTAAAAAGGGACCCCACCCTATCCCCAAAAGGCTGTAGATTACACTCATTTGCTTGGGGTCCATATAAAGCCTCTGAGTCCTTCTCTGCCCACTCTTTTGTTCAGCCTCTGCAAAATGATCATGAGTTGAAACCTATTTGCCATCTCTAAAGGTGAGTGATTAACAGAGGGGAAAAAAATTATTTTCACTTGGTCAAGGCAGGGCAGGGCAGGGCAGGGCAAATTGACTAATTTCCTGTCTCTGGAGGCCTCTATAAGGCATCAAATTTTGGAGCTCAAGACCCAGGTTTAAGACTGAAAAGAGTGAGAAGCCATCAGGATAGCAAAGATGAGATCCCCACATTTATTTGAAATCGTCCCTGAACCACTGAAGCCACATAGACATGTCTATGTTTATGTGGAGCCATGTTTGTGATTCTAGTCTTCTTTTATAAATTAAATTCCTCTTCTGGGTCAAATAAGGAAAGAAAATACTCAAATCCACACACTGTTTATTTGATTTTGCTGAAAACTTATAAAATTCAGTTGTTCTATTATAAAAGAGGCACATGTGGAATTCATACACAGTGGAGAGAGACAGAGGGTGTACAGTTTCTCCCTGCATGTATACACACAGGCTATGAATGCATAAAATATACAAAGAATGGAATGTTTCCAGGTTGTATATATATTATACAGCTGAAAAATCCTGGAGTCATCTATTCCAGAACTTCTCAAAGTGTGGTCCACCAACCACCTGCATCAGAACCTCCTGGGGTATCTGCTAAAATTCAGAATGGGGGCCCCACTCCAGACATTCTGAATCGATCTTCTCCATACCCCCACCAAGACTGATTCTGGGTCAATGATGTATGACTGGTTGACAGGGAGCCTTTTGAATATGCATATGTTACTCTGTAGCTCTGAGGACCCAGGCATGTGTTTCCGGGCATGGCTGTATTTCATAGGCAAGTGTAAATGTGTTTTTAAGTTACCAGTGGCTTTAGTCTTATCTTGACCCCTCCCCTGACCCATCAGCTAATCATGCCTTTAATTCAGTCTGGGTTGCATTTTTAGTTCTTCCTCCCAGATTTGTAGTGCATTATATTCAGCAATGGTGAAGCGTCTTAGAACCATCCCTTGTTATATCTGAACTTACTTCTTCCCCCCAAGTCAATTATAGCCTCTTTGCAGTTTTCCTGCTGTGCTCTTATCATAACTGAATGGTCTTGATTTTCTGAAATCCAGTAGTTAATGGGAGAGAATGAGCTACAGTAAAAATGAACAATAGCAATGCTACATATTTATCCTCTTTTCTCACCTGGAGGCCCCACACACATTTAAGCTGATAGGATTAACTGGGAATACAGTGAATCTCTTTATCATTACAGAAAATCAGGCCCCTTGAGGGGTAATTATGGCACCTGCTTAGTTACATTAAAATCATGACTTAAAAGATTTAGGTGGTAGTTAAGTAATATGCCAGAAGAGACAGAAAGTGAAGGGAGAAGTCAGAAGTTAAACATGCTCAAGAACTCAACTTGGCCCGGGCTTCAAGCACAGTGCCCTAATTTGTAGACTCCAGTGTTAGCCATACAGAATAAGCAACTGGGAGGTTGGAGAGCTTTTTAGCATCAGTTCAGGACCAGAGAGGAGAAGGTAGCCATCTTCTGAGGAATTACCTGGATAATCCTGCACAAATGTGGTAGGCTGACAGCTGGGACATGAAACAGCTGATGGCCACAGGGTTCAAAACACTCAGCCAAGCTCCTGAAAGTTCTGATTGGCCAGTGCTTTGTGGGGTTGACAGCGATTTTTCTCCCGGAGAGTTTAATTTTTCCCTAGCATAGACGTCCTCTGTGCTGTCCTTAGGGAAAAGAGCTGTTGTCAAAATCTCTGCTCAAGGAAGAATCTTGTAGATTTTATTATGCTATAAATTGTTGCATGTCACCTCGAGAAAGAATTTATCTCGACTCTTTTGTAGGATAAGGGGATACAGGTGCATGATAACTCTTGTGGTGGGGGCTGAGAGAAAGCTGTGTAGCTAGGGATACCAAGGCCCCTGCTTCCCTAGGCCTGCTTTGGCAGATATCACAAAAATGTGACAAGGCTGCAAGCCCTGCTTTGAGCTGTGTAAACAGCAGAGCTGGAAAAGGGGCCAGTGGATCTACTCCGGTACCTGGGAGGGCAATGGAGACCACCAGTCCCCAGCATGGTAGAAGCCCACATTCACTGAGCACTTTCCAAGTGCCGATTACTGTGATCAGTTTCCTTTCCTTTCCGTTCCTTTCCCTCCCTCCCTCCCTCCCTTCCTCCCTCTCTCTCTTCCTTTCTTTCTTCTTTCCTTCTTTCCTTCTGTCTCTCATTTTCTCTTTCCTTCTTTCCTTCTTTCTCAGGATCTTGCTGTGTTGCCCAGGCATGCAGTGGCATGATCACAGCTTAGTGCAGCCTTGACCTGTAAGACTCAAGCGATCCTCCCCCATCAGCCTCCTGAGTAGTGGGGACTACGGGTGCACGACATTACACCTGAGTAATTTTTTGATTTTCTGTAGAGACAAGGTCTTGCTTTGTTACCCAGGCTTGTCTCCAACCACTGGGCTCAAGCAATCCTCTGGACTTGACCTTCCACAGTGCTGGGATTACAGGCGTGAGCCACCACTCCCAGCCTGTGATAACAGTTTCTTACTACTACTACTACCACTGTCATCACTACTATTACCAACAAGTAAGTACCTAGACACATCATCTCACATAATCCCCACAAGAAGCCCATGAGGTTCACAGGCTTACTGTACAGATAAGGAGAAGGTAGATTAGGGAATTATGTCACTTGGTCAAGGTCATGTGATGTGATTACAGAGGAGCCGCTTTTAACCCCTCCTCTACATGCCTGATGTTTTCAGTGCTTGATGGTACTTCAGGCTCACAACAGCTCCATCCCCCTTCTTAAAGATAAGGAAATAAAATGGAGGCCTAGAGAGCTTAGGAGGTGTTTCCTACAGTGACGCCTCTGAAGTGATAACACTAAGATTCACGCCCAGGTCTACCTAATGCAGAGAACAGTGGCCTGGCTGGGGAAGACCTTTAGTTGTTGGAGAGTTGTTAATCTTCAAGGCAACAATAAACACTGGCTGAAGACTGTTTGATTCAGACCCTGATATAGGATCTTGCCTGGTGCCACCTCAGACTGGAGCTAACATCAACCCAAACCCTGGATGCAGTTATGCAGACAGGACTCTCATACCTTAAGCCAAAGTACAAATTCAGACAACATAATTGAATGACAAAATGCATGGCTGAGGCAACAATGGGTGGTCAGGAGGGGCAGAAAAAAATCAACGTGAGTCAGTGGTTGGGGAAGGTTTCCTGGAGAAATAGGATTTGAGATGCATAGAAAATATGGGTGATATTTGAGGAAGCAAAGGATTATTTAATATGCATCTTTTTCTCCATTACCTGCAAATGTTTGCAAGGTGCTAAACATGATGGGGGAGGCTAAAGAAATAGGAAATTCATTTTCTAGTTGTAAATGGCTGGTAGTGTAGTCAGTGAAATAGGACCTACAGGAGATGGTGATGACAAATACTAGCCAGTATCCAGTTAATGGCTAAGTTAGGTTCTATTCTCTCTGAGTACAGCGGAGTTTCAGAGGTCAGTAAGGGGTAGGGTGGTCAGGAAGGGCTTCCTGCAGGAGGAACGACTTGAGACATGCCTTGGAAGATGCAACAGTGACATGGAGGATATACAGTCAGTAAATTCACAGAACAGGGAGAGAACGTGGGTGCTCACGGGCTGGTGAGCAGTGGAGCCATCAGGGATGGTGGCAAACCTCAGAGACATCTTCCATATTTGGGGGCTGGGGTAAACTAAGTCCCTTAAAGCTACCCAAATAATTTGGAATTAAGGTTGCTATCCTATGAGTTAAACTATAAAACATGCATAGGGTGGATAAAAGCAAGAGAGGCCAAATCATCGAATGGGAAATGCCTCCAGCCTTACAAAAAATTAGAAGTGTCATTTCTCCATCTCTAAAGAAAGAATATGGCCATCAGAAAAAGAGATAGTCAGCTCCCAAACTAGGAACCTCATGGGGTGAACATTGACTATGCTCATCTCAGCACTATCCAGGAAGAATGGATCCCAACCTAGTTGTCCATTCCGAGTGGCTGGTCTATGTCTTGCTTCTAATCATACCAGCCTCTGTGAGTACCACTAAGGTGGGTTCTTCCCTGATAGAGGCCTCTATTCCCCTCACAAATGAGGTGGCTAAACCTCCAAAACTGATGTTCAGGCCCAGGCTGTGGCAAAACCACCCAATACAGCCACTCCATGGACATGTGTTTGTCAGCCGCTGGCTTCCCCCTGGGCTGTTGCACGTCCCTCACTGGTTATGCACTGCATACTCTGGGGGTCATCACCTAGCACCCCCTGCACAAATGCACTGGCAACCTATGCAGCCTCTTCACTGAGTTCCCATTTAAGCATCAATGAATATATTCCAAAGGTCCTCAGCCATTCCTAGTGCTAGGGAGCAAGGAGAGTTAAATCAGGGTCTACTTTTGGCCCCTCCTGGGCTCCAGCAGCTGCAAGAGTGTAGCCCCTGGCCTCAGGAACCACACATAGAGGGGGAGTGATTCCCCTTCACTACCATCATGGGGCGGCATAGTTGGCATTCCCACGCTATCTTTCACACAGCTCCAGGTTCTGGCAGCTATCAGAATATCATCAGCCTCCCCAGCCTAGCACACGAAATGGACAAGATTGTGGAACCAGCTACCGGAGATAATTTAAAACTCCAGGCTGTGGTTTTTCTGACCCAACATTGACCTGATTTTGAAGACAGTCTTATTTCCTTGGTGGTGAGTTTCATGCCAGAAAATTCTCCTGTTTTGTAAATAAGTGGCCAATCCTCCTGGGCAGATGGGGGCTCCTAGTGTCAAGGCTTGAGGCACAGCCCCAGAAATCTTGAATGGAAATGAGGACAGGCACCTGACTAAGAGCAAGTGAGTACTGAGAGCTCTGGGGTTTCTGCAGAAGATGAGGTTCCGTGAAATCTCTCTCTCCAGGTAATATGGTTTGGTTTTGTCCCTACCCAAATCTCATCTTGAATTATAGCTCCCATAATTCCCTCATGTTATGGGAGGGACCCAGTGGGAGATAATTGAATCATGGGGGCAGTTTCCCCCATACTGCTCTCGTGATGGTGAATCAGTCTCACGATATCTGACGGTTTCATAAGAGGAAACCCCTTTCTCTTGGCTCTCACTCTTCTCTTGTCTGCCGCCATGTGAGACCTTCCTTTCACTTTCCGCCATAATTGTGAGGCCTCCCCAGCCATGTGGAATCGTGAGTCCATTAAACCTCTTTCTTTTGTAAATTGCCCAGTCTTTGGTATGCCTTTATCAGCAGTGTGAAAATGGACTAATATACCAGGTGAGTCCATGGCAGCCTCATTAGTGATGTTTTCTCTCAGTGGAAGGAAGCCAGGTGCCCTCCCAGGCTGGACAGTCCAGCTTGACACAGTAGGGGTCCAAGATCTCTAGAGGAAGAGAGCAGAGGTTGGGAAATTTCAAACAGGGAGGAAAGTGTGTGTGTGTGCACATGTTGGAGGATACTTAGAATAAAGAGGGGTGAAGGGTTTCCTCTGAATATTGAAGTTGTTTTGGATTTAGGAAGTTCACACATAACACCAATTTTCTCCACCTGAATTCCCAATCCAGAGAGAGGAAGGTGCAGGCGGTCCACTGTTGGAGATCAGCAGGTCAGCTGTGTTACTAACACGCTGGTGAGCAGGTGTGGTCTTATACCTGCAGCCTAAGCATTGTGCCAGCACTTTATCCCTATGGACCCTCCCAGTTCCAGGTGAGGCCAGAGCTTACCAGGCCTTCCCCACAGAGCTGGGTCCCTCTGCAAGGATGGAGGCACCAGGATGGATCGGTGTTGCCTGCAGACAGATCTGGAGCAAGAATGAACGAAGAAAAGCTGTGTCACCCAGGCCCAGATTCTTCTCCCAGTCACCATCCTGATGACTTTCTCTCTCCTGAGAGTGTGGGGGTGAATGGAGGCTAAGGTAGGGGAAAGTACGTTAAAAGAGGTTCCTCCTCATGGAAGCACACACCCATGGGGAAGAAGTTCTCCTAACCCTTAAGAAGTTCTATGCCAACATGAAGGAACAACTAGAATCTATATTGCACTATAAGGTTTTCCTCATTTGTGATTGATGTAAACTGACGAGAAATCAGGTGTCTCTATGAATATCCCATAGACTTCCAAGATGTGCACAGGTATTGCTGTTGCAAGGCTTAGTTTACGGACCCAGAGAGGCTTATATGTCACAGTGATGATGTATGAGAATGGGGTCAGAAGAGGAGATGTGCCTATAGGTCAAGAGGGCACCCCCAAAAACTCCCTGGGCTTCTTACATTCCCCGAGTTTTTGACGTACTTCTGTCCAGATAGAAATGCAAGTGCCTTGAGAGGAGGGCACGTGTATGATCTTTCTCAGAATTGGCCCTGTTCATCTTCGGTGTGGCTCAGCAATGGTTCCATGATTTTTTTCTCCATCCACATGGGACTGAAAACTGGCAGATCTAGATATTAACTTGGATTGTTCCTATCAACTCTGACCTTGACGGCTATTGCAACCATTAAATGCACAGTTGGAAGGTCACCTTGTCCAATCTCCTACCCCTGAAAAATTCCCTCAACAATCCCTTTAGATAGTAACTTACATAGCTTCTGTCCTCCACAAACTCCTTTAGTAACTGCCCTACTGAATCCTGAATTTTTTTGAGACCATCATCTCAATTAGCTAGATGCTTTGTGGCAGGATTATGTTTAATTTAATCTTAAGCTTCACCGGTGCCTTACTCATTCTTTTAAAATGCCTGTGATATTAAAAAAATCTTTCTAAAGTATGTGAGCTCTATATGTGTATTAAAAGAAGTTTAGGCTCTCCCTGCTGAGAATGGCAGTCGGATTAATCTGAGATGGGACTAGGCTAATGAGATGAGGTTGAATATTCAGATGATGGTGGGGGTTGCAGCCGGAAGCCAGATCCAGAACATGGAAGAACAGGTCCAGCTTGCTAAGCCATGGGAAAGAAGAGAAGATGTCAGAGTTGGCAGTGATTTTTCTTATGGCTCAGGGTCAAAAATAGAAGACAGTCAGGGGCCAATAGAGAACAGAGATGTTTCAAGCACCAACTGACCCCTCTTCATGTACAGGGGTTGCAGGGTGGTTGTTAGTCTCTAACCTCTACCTCCCTTCAAGATCCTGGCATCCTGCTATATTAGCAGGGGAACCTGGACACAGCCAAAGGCCTTGCAACACCTAACACAATAATTCTGAACATTACAATTCTTACGCAAAAAGCCCTTATGTATATTTCAGATATTATTCTGCAAAGTACTTCTATGTGCATAAAAATGGAAGTAAGATATTAAATGGAGTGCACTACGTCATTTAATATACATGGAAGGGAATATAAGGTTATTGGCAACCAAGTTAGGGAGAGTTTAGTGCAATCATATTTAATCTTATTTTCTGCCCATGTTATGATGACATATACAAAGACTGGGAAGCTCTTTTTGCAAGTCTTTACCCAGATCTAGAAAATGCTACTCTCCCTGATTAATGAGATGAGTTTGGTCTTGCCTCTTGGTGTGACATTGGAGGGTACCCAGGCAACAGAAGTGAACGTGACTTTAGGAAATGATGTTCTCTCTAAGTCTTGTTTACTTCTGAACCCCGGCGGCTTCAGCATCAACCAGAGTAGAATAAACATACATGTAGATATTCTATCTCTGAATTGCATTGTAGCCAGTATTTCCATCTCTTGTTCTTTGCCCTTTAATATAGTTGAAATGTCCCAGTATGAGCTAGAAGAAAAGTCTGTGTTTCTCAATGAAATCCAATTGCATGGACATTACCAGGTTCATAAATCTTCCAAATTTAGTCCTCTGGAATTTTCCCAGATTGAAATCAAATACTCACACTCCTACCTGGCTCTCAAGTTCCAAATCAGCAGTATCTCTCATTGCACACAGCCTGTATGTGACACTTTTGCGGGAGGTTATCACAATATAAGGACTGTCTGAGTACTCAGAGCTTATCTAATCAGGTTTTCTTGACACTTGTTTTATTGTGCTCAGTACTCACAGGCTGATCAAGTGACTGGACTGTTTAGTGAGCTGTAAGGAAGGAGAGCTTCCTTGCAAATGCCTGTCCTTGTTTTAAACCCATTCTCCCACAAGTTAGAGGAGTCTTGCCTCATCCAGCCTGACTGATCACTACCTTGGAAACCTGGGCCTTAGTCTTATCTCTCTAGTTTTAGAAACTATTCCTGAATGGGATAGGTTTTTGGATAAGATGATTCTTAAGGTCCCTTTGTAGACACTAAAATATAATTGCTGCAGCATCTAGCACAATTCCTTCCTGCTCCTTATCACCAAAATAAGTATTTAATTATGGAATAAATGAATGAGTGAGTGAGTGAATAAATGAATAAATAGAATCATCAGGTAACTCTGAGGACATCAAGTCCTCTTCCCAGTTCTGTCCTGGTAAGCCATTTTGCTTTGGATAAAAACTCTTGCAAAAAAAAAAAAAAAAAAAAAAAAAAAAGACTCCTGGTGCCAGATATGCTCTTTGATATGCCAGAGCTCCAGTGGTAGGAAGCCAACCTTATATACTCTTGGGTTTCTTGCCACATGGAGATGTAACTGACATCCTTCAAAACAATGGGGTTACCACTTCACACTCATTAGGATGGCTGTTATCAAAAATGGAAATGGACAAGTGTTCATGAGAATGTGGATACGTTGGAACTATTACGATTGTTGGTGGGAATGCAAAATGGTGCAGTTGCTATGAAAAACAGTGTTGCTTCCTCAAAAAGTTACACATAGAATCCAGCAATAACCAGGAAAGGACATAACCAAAAAAGAAAACTACAGACCATTATCCCTGATGAACATAGATGCAGAAACTCTTAACTAAATGCTAGCTAACCAAATCCAACAACATATCAAAAAGATAACCCACCATGATCAAGTGGGTTTCATACCAAGGATGCAGGGATGGTTTAACATACACAAGTCAATAAATGTGAGACACCACATAAACAGAATTAAGAACAAAAGTCACATGATCATCTCAACAGATGCAGAAAAAGCATTTGACAAAATCCAACAACACTTTATGATTAAAACTCTCAGCAAAATCAGCATAGAAGGGACATACCTGAATGTACTAAAAGCCATCCATGACAAACCCACAGCCAACATAATACTGAACAGGGAAAAGTTGAAAACATTCCCTCTGAGAACTGGAACATGACAAGGATGCCCACTCTCACCATTTCTATTCACCATAGTACTGGAAGTCCTACCCATAGCAATCAGACAAGAGAATGAAATAAAGGGCGTCCATGTTGATAAAGAGGAAGTCAAACTGTTGCTATTTGCTGATGATATGATTGTATATCTAGAAAATCCCAAAGACTGCTCCAAAAGCTCCTAGAACTGATAAAAGAATTCAGCAAAGTTTCAGGATACAAAATTAATGTACACAAATCAGTAGCTCTCCATACACCAACAGCGACCAAGCTGAGAATAAAACCAAGAACTCAACTCCTTTTATAATAACTGCCAAACAATACAATACTTAGGAATGTACCTAAGCAAGGAAGTGAAAGACCTCTACAAGGAAAACTATAAAACACTGCTGAAAGAAATGATAAATGACACAAACAAATGGAAACACATCCCATACTCATGGATGGGTAGAATCAATATTGTGAAAATGACCATACTGCCAAAATCAATCTACAAATTCAACGCAATTCCCATCAAAATACCACAATCATTCTTCACAGAACTAGAAAAACAATCCTAAAATTCATATGGAACCAAAAAAGAGCCCACATAGCCAAAAATAAAAGACTAAGCAAAAAGAACAAATCTAGAGGCATCACATTGCCTGATTTCAAATTATATTATAAGGCTATAGTCACCAAAACAGTATGGTACTGGCATAAAAATAGGCACATAGACCAATGGAACAGAATAGAGAACCCAGAAGTAAACCCAAATACTTACAGCCAACTGATCTTCAACAAGGAAAACAAAAAAACTATGTGGGGAAAGACACCCTTTTCAACAAATGGTGCCGGGATAATTGGCAAGCCACATGTAGGAGAATGAAACTGGATCCTCATCTCTCACCTTAGACAAAAATCAATTCAAGATCGATCAAGGACTGAAATCTAAGACCTGAAACTATAAAAATTCTAGAGGATAACATTGGAAAAACTCTTCTAGACATTGGCTTAAGCAAGGATTTCATGACCAAGGACCCAAAAGCAAATGCAATAAAAACAAAGATAAATAGCTGGGACTTAATTAAACTAAAGAGCTTTTGCATGGCAAAAGGAACAGTCAGCAGAGTAGACAACCCACAGAGTGGCAGAAAATCTTCACAATCTATACATCTGACAAAGGACTAATGTCCAGCATCTACAATGAACTCAAACAAATTAGCAAGAAAAAAAATAATCTCACCAAAAAGAGGGCTAAGTACATAAATAGTTCTCAAAAGAAGATAAACAAATGGCCAACAAACATGAAAAAATGCTCAACATCACTAATGATCAGGGAAATGCAAATCAAAACCACAATGTGATACCACTTTACTCCTTCAAGAATGGCCATAATAAAAAAATAATAGATGTTGGCATGGATGCGGTGAAAAGGGAACACTTCTACACTGCTGGTGGGAATGTAAACAAGTACAATCACTGTGGAAAACAGTGTGGAGATTTTTTAAAGAACTAAAAGTAGAACTGCCATTTGATCCAGCAATCCCACTACTGGGTATCTATCCAGCGGGAAAAAAGTCATTATACGAAAAAGACCCCTGTACATGCCTCTTTATAGCAACACGATTCACAATTGCAACAATATGGAACCAGCCCAAATGTCCATCAGTCAATGAGTGGATAAAGGAATTGTGATGTGTGTGTGTGTGTGTGTGTGTGTGTGTGTGTGTGTGTGTATACTCACTACTTAGCCACAAAAATGAATGAATTAATGGCATTCACAGCAACCTGAATGGCATTGGAGACTATTATTCTAAGTGAAATACCTCAGGAATGGAAAACCAAACATCGTATACTCTCACTCGTAAGCGGGAGTTAGACTCTGAGGATGCAAAGGCATAAGAATGACACAATGGACTTTGGGTACTTGGGAAGAAAGCTTGGGAAGGGAGTGAGGTATAAAAGACTACAAAATTGGTTTAGTGTATACTGCTTGGGTGGTGGGTTCACCAAAATCTCACAAATCACCACTAAAGAACTTACTCATGTAAGCAAATACCACCAGTTCCCCAAAAACCTATGGAAATAAAAAAGTTAAAAAAAAAAAAAGAATCTAGCAATAAACAATAAACATGTGATTCAGCAACTCCACTTCTAGGGATATTCCCAAAAGAATTAAAAGCAGAACTCAGGCCGGCTGCAGTGGCTCACACCTGTAATTCCAGCACTTTGGGAGGCCGAGGCAGGAGGATCGCTTGAGTTCAGGAGCTTGAGACCAGCCTGGGCAACATGTCAAAACATCATTTCTAGCAAAACTACAAAAAAATGGGACAGGCATGGTGGCTCATGCCTGTAATCCCAGCACTTTGGGAGGCTGAGGTAGGAGAATCGCTTGAAGCCTGGCAGCAGAGGTTGCAGCGAGCCAAGACTGCATCGCTACACCCCAGCCTGGGCGATAGAGTGAAACTCTGTAAAAAAAAAAAAAAAAAAAAAAAATAGCTGGGCGTGGCGGTACACATCTGTAAGTTGCAGCTACTCTGGAGGCTGAGGTAGGAAGATGGTTTGAGCCTGGGAGATGGAGGTTGCAGCGAGCGGAGATTGCACTATTACACTCCAGCCTGGGCAACAGAATCAGACCCTGTCTCAAAAAATAATAATAATAAAAGTAGAACTCAAATAGATATTTGTACACCATGTTCATAGCAGTATCATCCACAATAGCCAAAATATAGAAACGACCGAAATATTCATCAACGGATGAATAGATACACAAAATGAGTATATATGTATGCAATAAAATACTATCTCGCCTTAAGAAGACTTCTGATACCTGCTACAACATGCATAAATCTTGAAAATATTGTATTATGTGAAATAAACTAAACATAAAAGGACTAATATGTACTGTTTCACTCCACCAATGTGAGGTCCCTCACAGGCAAATTCTTAGAGACAGAAAGTATACCATAGGTTACCAGAGGTAGGGGAACAGGGGGATGGTGACTTATTGTTTTATGGGTACAGTCTCAATTTGGGATGATGAAAAAGTACTGGAGAGGGATCATTGCAATGGTCGTATGACATTGTTAATGCAATTAATGCCTCTGGATGTACATTTAAGAATGGTTCCAGTTCTTACTTCAGCAGCACATATACTAAAATTGGAATGATACGGAGAAAATTAGCATGGCCCCTGTGCCAGGATGACATGCACATTCGTGAAGCATGCTATATTAAAAAAAAAAAATTAAATCAGCTGGGCACACTGGCTCATGCCTGTAATCCTAGCACTCTGGGAGGCTGAGGCGGGTGGATAACTTGAGGCCAGGAGTTTGAGACCAGCCTGGTCAACATGGTGAAACCCTGTCTCTATTAAAAATATAAAAATTAGGCAGGCGTGGTGGCATATGCCTGTAGTCCCAGCTACTCGGGAGGCTGAGGCAGGAGAATGGCGTGAACCCGGGAAGCGGAGCTTGCAGTGAGCCGAGATTGCGCCACTGCAGTCCGCAGTCCGGCCTGGGCGACAGAGCGAGACTCCGTCTCAAAAAAAAAAAAAAAAAAAAAAAAAAAAAACAGAAAATCAAATACTGCAAGTTCTCACTTATAAGTAGGGACTAAACAATGGGTACAATGGGTACATGTGGACATACGGAGGGAAATTAGACACTAGGGACTCCAAGGAGAGGGAAGATGGAGGGAACTGAGGGTTGAAAAATGATCTACTCGGTACAGTCTTCATTATTCAAGTTGATGGGCAAACTAGAAGTCCAAATCTCACCATTACACAATATATCCATGCAACAAACCTGCACACGTACACCCTGAATCTATTTTTACAAAATTTTTTTTCTGCACCCTTAAAAAAAAGAATTCTGAGAAATGTCTTTATCGAAACTCTGAATAAAATACTCAGCACTAACATATAAGTTGTATCCATTTTTAAGTATACAATCTAGGGCAGTTAAATACAATTTACAAATATAATTTAAAAAATGGTTATTGGGGTAAAATGTTGTTATGTATATTTTAGCATAATAAAATAGTAAAACCAAACACAAAAGCAAATGCAATATTTGAGAGGCTGAAGATAGGAGACAAATATCAGGTAAGTAAATGATGCCTTAAAATTCTGCTAACTCCATTAGCCAGCATTTCATGTTGCTTTGTAGCTTCCAGGTGCCCTGGTATACCACTGTCTCTATCCTTAAAGCATCTCTCAGGCATGGGATTATAAGCCTATTCACAAATGACTAAGTGAGGCTCAGAGATGTTGACTCACCCAACGCCTTATCACTAGTCAGTAGCAGAGCTGTGACTTGAACACATTTCTCTACACTCAAAATACTGTGCTTTTTCAGTTTCTGCACAGTCACCTTCCTACAGTGGTTACCATGCAGATTGCAGAAATGAAGCTCATTCCTAGTACCAGAGAGAAAGGCTAGTGAGCCGGCGATGTGTGCTGGCCCCAAGGACAAGACAGCCTGCACCCCACACCTGGCCTTACTCTCACCCTCCCCTTCCTGGGGAGGGTGATAAAGTCTACAGTTGGGTTGACAGCATGAAATGCATTCCCTTCAAAAATACATCTTGACCATAAAATAAACAGAACCCCCACCACTCCCCGCTTAAAGCTTTATGTATTCAGGGATCTTTTTAAGGCATTGACCTCAAATTTTAATCTTCTGCATGTTCAAAACCAGTACTTCTCTCACAGCCCCATGGCACTCTCTCAAGAAAACTTTTCCATAGTTTCACATTTGAAGCCAGCATCCTTGGCATGAAACTGCTATTTGCAAGTATGACGAGGAGTCTTCCCCACCTGGTGAAATTCATTCATATAATTTTCACTTTGTATGTGAGGTTAATCTCTTCAGGGCCCCATTTAGCACAGAGATAACCATATATCTCCCAATTTTATGGTTGCAGAAGTCACTACATCAAACCATCCACCGGCTTTTTCTGAGCAAAGTCATGCATCTGTGTAATTAATCTAGACTCCTCTGCCTAAACCAAGCAAGTGCAGCTCTGCCTGTTGCAATCCATGGCAGCTTGAAAGACGGCAGGGAAGGCCCTTCAATTCTGATTTTCAACCCCAAGGCATCCACTCATGGATTTCCCATTTTTCTTGGCATTCCTGCAGTGTGCTGTTAATTAAACTCCCCGAATTGTTATTTCCAGGCAGTGACTGCCTTGAGATGCCAAGAGTGGGTTAAGCAGACTCCACCTACTGACCATGTGCCCTGGATTTGCAGAATGCTTCTCTGGAACAGCAAATGTTGGGTTTCCAGGCCGGGCAGTGTTCTCACCCAAACACTGCCCACTGAAGCTGAGGAGAGGCAGTGGAGCCTTGTGGTTAGGAACACGGGCTCTAAACCAGACCACTGGGGTTTCAATCCTAACTCCACCACAAGCAAGTTCTGTGACACTGAGAAAGCCTCTTAACTTCTCAATACCTGGTTTCCTCATCTAAAAAATGGAGATAATAATAGCATACTCACCCTGTAAGTAGTTGGGATTAAATAGATTCTAATATGCAAAGTCCTAAAAATAGTGCTGGAAGTTGGGTAAGAGCTCAGTATAGGTTAATTACTACCACTCTTAGTATTACTAATATATATCTTGATTTACAGAGTAATTCACTAAAATGCAAACCCTCAGACATTCCCTGGCAGTGCTTGTCAAAATCCACGGCTTTAATACTCAAAAGCAATTATGTTGAGTGACATCCCTTGGCCTTCCCCAAATCCTCTTAAATCTTTAGAGACTGCAGCAACTTGGAGGTTAAAGATTACAAATCTCCAGTTGTCAAAGTTTTGAGTCATTTACCTCCACACTTGTCATTTGAAGATGACTTTATAATTTACAGAAGACTTTCTCTGATGACTCTACCCTGGCAAAGCTCTAGCCTCGTGCCATATTGATTCATCTCTAAGGTCTCATGAATTCTGGTGCTCTCTCAACTTTTGCATATGCCTTTCTCTTTGTGTAGCATGGCCACCTGGGAACATTTTGACCTTTTCCATTTTCCATAACTCTTCACGTGGCTCTAGCCGATTAGAAACTGTAAAAATCTAACCGACTATAAACTGTAAAAATGAGGAATGAAAGAAAGGAAGGAAGGAAAGAAATAAAGGAATTGCATGCTGCAGTGTGAATGAGTGACTTACTCCCTAAAGTCTGCTAGGGAGGTCTGGCTAGGATCCCATGAGCAGTGCAGGTGAGTGGTTACCTTTGCCCACCTAGAGCTCTCCCTTCCGGAGAGCCAAGCCCACTGTGTGCACCCTTGAGCTTGGGGGCTCCTTTTCCCCTTCCCCTACACAAGTTCCCAATTAAATGGCAAATTCTCTTATTTTTTATTGTGAGTCCCTTCTAGATCTCAGCTAGCAGCTTATGTTCCGCCTCCCCCAAGAACTTCTCCAACTGGCCTTCCCAGTCTGCATGTGCATCCTCTTTCCCGTGTTCCCAACACCAGCAATGATCACTCACTACTGCCATGGCTTGTTGACTTTTCCCTGCTAGACCTTAAGTTCCTTGAGGGCAGAGACCGTGTTGTTTCTTATGGTCTCTCTTGTCCAACATGGTATTTCAAGAGTGTTCAGAAAATAAGTAAAGCACCCACTGAGGAATACAGAACTTGCTAAGAAGGGTACTTAGAGGAAATGGTCAATATGACTGAGAAATTTGGAGAAACCTTCACAGCAGAAGCGACAGATGTGCTGGGTTTTAAATGATGAGAATAATTTTGACAAGCAGAGGAGAAAAAGCAAGAGTCTCCAGACCAAAGGACCAACAGGAGTGAGGCTCCCAGGCCTGGAGCTCTATGCTGTTGAAACCTGGGGTGGGGTGGGAGGGAGAGGAAGAAGCTGGAAGGAAGGAGGGGGTCACTGAACTGGAAGGAGATACTCATTTGGGGAGTTATAAAGGATGTTTCATACCAGAAAAAGTTTGGACTTTATTTTGCAGAGAACCAGGATCTATTAAAGTATTTTAAGTGGGTAGTGTTTTAAAAAGTGTTTTTTAAACAGCAAGGTGCAGAAGATGCATATATGCTTGCATTTATGCAGGACATAGATAAATAGACACTTTCACCTGTAGTATCTCTGGAAAGATACTGTAGAAACTGGTAGCAGTGGTTAGCTCTACCAAAGGGAACTTTTGTAGGAAGACAGGGATGGAAGGAAGATAATTTTTGCTGTATTCCTTTTGCCCTGTTTGTATTTTTCTCATATGTTTGTATTATATTTTCTAAAAGAACACACAATTTAAACTGATTGTAAAAATGAGGAATGAAAGAAGGAAGGAAGGAAGGAAGGGAGGGGAAGGAAAGGAAAGGAAAGGAAAGGAAAGGAAAGGAAAGGAAAGGAAAGGAAAGGAAAGGAAAGGAAAGGAAAGGAAAGGAAAGGAAAGGAAAGGAAAGGAAAGGAATTGCGTACTGCAGTATGAATGAGTGACTTACTCCCGAAAGTCTGGTAGGGAGGTCTGGCTGGGAGCCTGTGAGCAGTGCAGGCGAGCGGTTACCTTTGCCCACTTAGAGCTCTCCTTTCTGGAGAGCCAAGCCCACTGTGTGCAGCCTTGAGCTCGGGGGCTGCTTTTTTCCTTCCCATACATAAGTTCCTAATTCAATAACAAATTATCTTATTTTTTATTGCAAGTCCAACCTCAAATTTTCAAAAAGGCAAATCCATCCTTAGTTGTCCTGGAAGAGAGGGCTCTTAGTCTTCTGCTGGAAGAGATGGCTCTTCCTCTCTTGGCTTCATGTGTGGTGCACTCAGTGGGCGCCCAGCTCTCCTGGCCCTGGCCCTGCTCACTTTGCTGATGCTTTGTGCTGAGACCAGCTCCCTCTCAGTGAGCCCAGGCAGGAGGGAGGAGAAGGGCTTGGTCCGCTCCTCAGAAGAGCACTTTGGAGCGCAAATGGAGAGACAGAGATTAGCTATTTGACCTCCCAAGCTGCCCCTCTGCTTTTTGGACGTCTGCAATCCTAAAAAGAAAGCGCTCCAGGCACATGAGAAGCCCAAAGTCAGGCACTGAGGGAGAAAGCAAATCAGCACCGCGACCTACCTCAGATCCCAAAATGATGGCTTTGGGATTATGAATAGCTAACAGTTTTGGACTCCTAATGAGAGAAACTTCTAAAGAAATCACTTTTTTTTTTTTCCATGCAGGAAAAGTTATAATTTAAGGCACTGAGACAACACAAATAAAAGATGCATTTCAGTTTAAGTAAACCCAACTAAAAAAAAAAAAAAACAAAACCTGGACTGTGGAGCTAGATGTGAAGAGTATACTGAACACAAATGTAATGTTTACAGTCTGGGTTTCGGGAACACCTCTCTGGTACTGTCGGGTTGATCCTGAGTAAATGACTTCATCCATCTGGACGTTGAGTTTTCCCTTTAGATCCCCACGATACATTTCAATTCTTGCCTTCATTCCAGCAGTGTGCATTTGCATTCTGAAATGCTTCTTGATTTATTCATAGATGTCCTGTCACCTGTTATCCTAGAGTATGCAGAGCATCATTCCTCAGGATGCTGATGGCTCGTCTGAGCCAGGGGTGGTATGGGGGAAGGCGGAGTAACTAAGGCGCTTTGTTCTAAATCATCCAGTGCTTTAGGCCTTCAAACAGGCTAGAGTCATGTCTAGTGCTGGCATCACATGACTAAAGCTGGGAAGTGCCCATGATGGGGACCCTCGAGGTGGCAGCAAGAACTTTCTTTTGCACATGGGTTTGTTCATATGAAAATCACGCTTCTGATACTGCCACCAAATCAGGACTTGTGTCTGTCAGTGTTTCAAAAACCTCTGGATGATGGGAGGCCGACTCTTGCTTACTAGCAAGGATCTGAAAGTGGTTTGAAATCACCGGAACACATTTTTCAAGATGTTCTGCCTTTTGGGAGATCTTGCCAACAGTAAATATCACCAGAATTAACTGTGCCAAGCAAACATACTCTCACAATTTAAATTGAATTGTCAGCTTTGTGTAATAAAAGTTTAAAATTATGTGTTGCATGAAGAAAAAATTTACCCTATTATTTGAGTCAAAATTAAATTAAAGACTGGATGCACTTACTTTGTAATAGGCTTTTTACATTGTTGTGGGATGTCCCTTAGTCATTTCTATCCAAGCCATATTTCTTTAAAGCGAGTCATATACATTTGCTATCTCTAGTGTCCTTGACATTACCAAAGCACACAATATTTCTTCAGTATAACTTTCTTTCCTAGTAATAACAGTTGATCCATCTTAATATTGCTAAAGTTTGGACTTTCAGATTCGTATGAAGAATGATCTGTTTCCACACAGTTTCACTCTATTTAATTTTTGGAGACTCTGGCCACAATAGCAAATGCTACAGATACTGCTTCTCACTCCTGTGGTCCAACAGACCCTCTAGAGTAGGGTGGCCAGGTAGAAGAGAGGACTGGGTGTTTCTTTTTTTATTTGCTAGGTCTGACAATCCTACAGCAGAGCCCTTCGAACATTCTCAGACCTCCTGTCTATACCGGCCTCCACTTCCACCCTCTCTCTCCTCCCATTATCCCCCTTCTACTTGCTCCAGCCTTTCAGATCCCACAGGGCCCCCCTACTGGTCTCCCCTGAGCTGTTGTTCACGTGCTTGCTTCTGTGCCTCTCCCCAACCCCCATCTTGAAGTGCTGAATTTATAGGCAGGATACTCCCCACTGTAGAGTCCCGTCTCTAGCCTTGGATAGCTCAGCTTTCCTCTTAGCCGAAGTTTACCCTTGTGGCAATTTCTCCTATGTCTGTCATGTCCATGTGCTTGGCCCTTTGCTGAGTGTGCCAAGAGGAATTTACCTTGGCCCAACAGCATCTTTTATTCATAATGGTGGATGACCAAAGCATTGGGCTGAAACTAAAAGTAAAGAGAATTAAAAAGCCATCACTCTGCGGGTGGGTTGCTACCGTAAAGGAACTTCTTAATGTGAAAATCATGTTTGCAATACCACAACTAAATCTTCCTGTGTGTCTGCAGGCCCTCCAGACACAGGCCATGGGCTCTGCTTTCTTATTACCAAGTCACTGTTTCATTAAATGAGTTGGACTCAATAGAGTACAAGCAGAAAGCAATTACTTTTTTGTGTGTTAAGTTGCACGCTTCAGCTTTGCTCCTGGATGAAATCCCAGGCAGGTCTTATAGAATTACCAAATAGCCTCATTTCTCAGATAATAAAAATGTCCAGTTTAATTCAAAATTGAAATTTGTCATACAATTTAAACTCTTTTCTTCCCACCAAGTTGGACCTGATACAAGATTGGGAGCCAAGAGTGGGGTAGCATCGTGGTTGGCTAGATCACTATTTCCACCCCTCCTCCCTCATTCTGCTCCCCCAGAACTGTAGAAGGATGGAAAGAAGAAAGGAAAGACACAAGAAAGGGCTCCCCTGGTTGTCACCATGAGTTTGGTGTTAGGCTGTTTCTTTCTCCTGCACAGCACTCTTCTGTGTTCGTTGGAGTCTTCCTTTGACATCTCACTAAACATCATGGGAATCTCCAACCTGCAATTCTAAAGCAGGCAATGGCTGGGCACTGTGGCTCGTGCTTGTAATCCCAGCACTTTGAGAGGCTGAGGTGGAGGATCACTTGAGCCCAAGAGTTTGAGACCAACCTGGGCAATATAGTGAGACCCTGTGTCTTTTCTTTCTTTTTTTTTTTTTTTTTTGAGATGGAGTCTTCTCAGTCGCCCAGGCTGGAGTGCAGTGGCGCTATCTCAGCTCACTGCAAGCTCCACCTCCCTGGTTCACGCCATTCTCCTGCCTCAGCCTCCTGAGGAGCTGGGACTACAGGCGCCCGCCACCACACCCGGCTAATTTTTTTTTGTATTTTTAGTAGAGACAGGGTTTCACCATATTAGCCAGGATGGTAGAGAGACCTTGTTTCTAAAAAAAAAATTTATAAATTACCCAGGCATGGCGGTGAGCACCTGTAGTCTCAGCTACTCGGGAGGCTGAGGTGGGAGGATCACTTGAAACCAGGAGTTGGAGGCCCCAGTGAGCTATGATTGCACCCGTGCACTCCAGCCTGGGTGACAGAGTGAGACCCTGTCTCTAAAAAATAAATAAATAAATGTTTTAAAATAAATAAATAAAACAGGTAAAGTATCTATCTGCCCACTCGCCTGCCAACCCCTGCAGCCCCTGGTACTCCCCTCTGTCCGTGGGGATGCCTTCATCTCTCAAGCCCTGTCTCTTCTCTGGTCCCTGGCAAGGGAGGCTCCAATCACAATCTTCTCTTTGGGCTTTACAACTGGAAGGCAGATACCAGACTCTGTACCCACCAGTTCTGAGCCACACAGGTAAATCTTTCTGAGTGGTCTCTGAGGCCTCTCTTGCTTCGTCTAGAGTGAGAAGAAAATACCCACGCCCCTTCCTCCACTCCAGGGGCTGGGGTGCAGGTGGTGGGAATGCCCAGCTTCTGCCAATGCTCTTCAAACCAATCCTTGCCACTGGTTGCTTCAACCTCCTCCTAAATTCCTAGTCTTCTCTTTTGCATTATTGAAGGAGGTGACCAGAACAAGTTTTGGGCTACCCCCACAAAGATGATCTAGAATCCCCTTTGAGGTAGTTTTCGGCTTTGGGGGCGTCACCCAAATTTCAACACAGAAGAGTATCATCTTAATATCCCATTGCAGTTACTGTTTCCTAAACAACCTCTATAGTGTTGAAAAGTCACTTTTGGATGGAGAGCTTCTAAAATATAATCACGCTAAATTTTGACTCATTTTACTCCTAAATTTATTTCTCGGGAGAGAGAGGAAGTGACACAAAAGATGCTGCTCTGAACCTAATATAAGTACTTTGAAGGGAACAGAAGGCATAATCAGATGTGCATCTCATATTTTAAGAAAGGAGATATCAAAGGGTGAAGGGTGCATTTCAAATGCACCCACAGGGAGAAACTAAAAGGGAAGATGGGGTATGAGGCGCTCATAAATGCAGAATTACAACAAATATTCTACTAAAAAAGGAAAAGGAGCAGGTCTTCGGGAAAAGCCACGCGGTTGTATGTGCTGTTGAGTTGGGTGCTCTCAGCCCATGCGCATGAGCTAGAAAAAGCAGAGCACAGCCAGAGACACAAGCGAAGGGGCAGCCAGAGCCTGGAAGGAAGGCGGAAGGAAAGCCCGGGCCCAGGAAGAGCTGAAGCCTGCAAGACAGGACAGACGGCACAGTGGCTGGTGTTCAGTGAAAGAACTACGCTCTGTACCGGGCTCTGCCCTGAGCCTTCCATTTGAACTTGTTTGATCATCACAATACCTCGATGATATTATTATCCTTATTTTACAGGTGAAGAAATGGAGGCACAGGCGGGGCGCAGTGGCTCACGTCTGTAATCCCAGGACGTTGGGAGGCCGAGGAAGGTAGATCGCCTGAGGTCAGGAGTTCAAGACCAGCCTGACCAACATGGTGAAACCCCATCTCTACTAAAAAAAAAAAAAAAAAAATACAATAATTAGCTTGGCATTGGTGGCAGGCACCCGTCATCCCACCTACTCAGGAGGCTGAGGCAGGAGAATCGCTTGAACCCGGAAAGTGGAGGTTGCAGTGATCCGAGATCGCACCATTGCACTCCAGCCTGGGTGACAGAGCAAGACTCTGTCTCAAAAAAAAAAAAAAAAAAAAGAAAGAAATGGAGGCGCAGAGAATTAAAATATCTTGTCCAAAGTTGGGCAGCTGGGAAGAGGCTAAGCCAGAATTCAAACCGGGGACCTCAGGCCTCAGAAACTGCCCTTAACTATTGCCTTGCTGCTTTTCTGTGCATTGGTCCATTCTGGTCTCTACCAGGTCTCTGAGACTCTGAGAGCATGGCTTATGCTTTGCTCATCTCTGTAATCCCAGCATGTAGCTCCATGCCTGGTGTGTGGCAAATGCTTCAAGTTTGTGGAGCTGAACAAGCGGGTCTGGTGGAATGAGACTCCTCCTGTGTCTTATTTTTGCCAAAGCCTCCAAACTGAGGTTCGTGGATGATAAGTGCCCTCCATATTCTGAAGAGAAGGGTCAGCCATGGTCAGCTTAAATCTACACAGAGTGCAACACAAGGGTCTGGAACATGTGGGTCCAGCAACCACCTATGCCTCTGATGAGGCTAGTGGCTCTTGGAAGAGAAGAAAGAGGTCTTTGAAGAGAATGTATAGAACTACAGAGAGCAGTGTTGCCTTTCTCCTCCTCCCTGCCTCCAACCCCACTAAAGGTAAGTGAACAAGGGCCTTGGAGAACCACCAGATGGGGGCTGTTTTCTGGAAGGGGAAGCTGGCACTCACTCGCTGGCCAAGTGTGGGCTGAGCGTCCCCCAGGCTGTGGCTGCACAGGGCACAGGAGGGTCCCCGGGAGAGCTTGAAACATGGCCCTTGGGTTTGAGGGTCCTGAAACTGGGGACTGAAGCAGCCCAATGGCAGAGAGGTGGCTGAAGCCCCCACTAGGCAGGGAGAGAAGAGTGGGCAGCCAATGGAGTGCCCTGCAATCCCCCAGTTTGAAAAAAACCAGAGCCAAGCGGGATGCCTGCCAGAGGGGAAGGAGCCTGGAAGCAGACTACAGGCAGGGAGAGCTCAGGGGCACCCTAAGAAATAATCTAAAAGCCCATGGCCCCTGTCGAGGATGGTGTCCTTATGCACCGCCACATGGATCTGAGAGAGTTGTTTGTCAGGAGGTGGGGAGGTGTCCCTAAAGAATCCACAAAAGGGTCCAATGGGAAATTTCCAATATGTGTACATAGGCAATGAGAGAAAGCATTACACAGCTCAGAGCAAACCACAGCTGAACCACAGGTCCCTGGACCAAACCAGGAGCTGCAGAGAGTAGGTTAGAGGCAGGAAATGTGGTGCGGGGAGAGAAGGGAAAAACTTCTATTGGATGAGAGAGTGAAGTTTTGGTTTGGATTACACTGCACTTGCTAATATCTGAAAGTCGACCAGACCTCTTTAAGATCTGCCCAAGATGTAACCAAGCTGTAGTGAAGGGACAGCTCAATCAGCTGTCGAGAGGCCATGATGGAGAAACTCAAGGCTATTTCCTGATGTTGCCGAGCAAACCAGCCTTTTCTGTCACCAGGTGCACAAGGAAGCAGCAGGCAGGTGGGTGGGTAGCAGAATGCTAACAGGTAACTGCATTTCCCCAGTTCTAAGGCACAATTTTCTTTAAAGAGAACATTTTGACGTTTCTGAAATTCAATGCCCTATAAATCTAAGTTCACATTTATTATTTTTCCTCCAAAGACATTTTTAAAATTTATGCTGTCTTAAAATACATCACATCTTAGGATGGAGATTAGTTTGTAATGACAGAGCTGATGACAGGCTTTATGTTTCTTCAAGTGCTCTCGCTGGCACTATCACAGGTTGAATGTCACTCTCTGTCCTTCCTTGTTCTTGTCCAGCCTGCGTAGGAAAAGCCAGAATAGGAGTGAGCAGGGATGGCCTGAGGTTGTAGGGTACAAAGCACAGGGTACTCGCACCCAAGTTATTGGCCAAGGATGTCCAGGAAGCACAAGATTACCCAAGATTTTGAGTTCCAGTGATGAGGTAGGACCAAGAATATAATCTAAAGTACAAGGTTGGCCATATAGAATATGAAAGTGAGTGAGCCACGAGAGATTTTTAAAGAAAGATGCAAGGGAAGGAAGGTAGGAAGTGAGGGAAAAAGGAAGGAAGGGAGGGAGGGAGGGAAGTAGGAAGGGAAGGGTAACTGCCTTCAGTTGAATTCATGGAGAGGAAGAGAGCTGTTAAGGGGACTAAGATGATATAGTCACAACTACATAAACTTAGACAAAGGAAGGATTTTATACATGAGAAAATTGAATCCTATGAAATAGGGGTAAGCAGTGTGTCCGAGGTTACATGACTAGTAAACAACAGAATTAATCAACTTCAATTTTTCTTCCATGTTCTCCCCTAATGAGAAAAAAAGTGTCCATAATGAAAGGGGTAAAAGAAAGATGCTTAGAAAGAAAATACCACTTCAGATGGTTAAAAAAAATAGTAAGAAAACATCTAGGCTGGGGGTGGTGGCTCAGACCTGTAATCTCAACTCTTTGGGAGGCTGAGGCAGGAGGATGGTTAACCTCAGAAGTTGGAGACTGCCGTGAGCCATGAATGTGCCATGGCACCGTAGCCTGGGCAACAGAGAAAGACCCCATCTCTAAAATTAAAAAAAAAAACAAAAGAAAAGAATCTGAGAGTCCACAAAAACAAATATTCATTTTTTTATGGGTGCAATACTAATCTCATTTTCTTCATAGTGTTAGTATCCTAGCATGTTAAGGGAATTCACGGAACAAAACAAATTTGAAAAAGTTCCTTAAAAACAGGTAGAAATACACAAGTTGAATGAAATACGGTTTGGAAAATTCCTAAGCGATTAAAAACTCATACCCAAAGAGAATAAGCTGTACTGTGAATGAATATTAATAAATCATTGTCCAAAGGAAAGGAACATTTATTTATTTCTCTATTTATTGCTTTTACTGCCATTAAAATTCTTATTAATGATTCAAAACAATAGAAAAAAAAATCCTGGTGGAATTATCTAACATTTTTACCAAGACCATGGTTATTTGGGTTAGTAACGTGTATGACCTTTATTTGTGGGTAAGAGTAACTTGGTTCCTTGTTTATGGAGAACAGTGGTTTGTAGAACATTTTTATTTAAACCTTAAGTCCTCTTAGGTGATGAGAGCAGGGAGTTTCATGCTGCAGATACTACCTTTTACTCTTCCAGCTCTTCTGGTGGTATATTACGGATATTGCTTCATAGTCATAAAATTCTGATGATATTCAAGGTGTCAATCATTCTCCATGTCACAATCAATTATCCCTTCTAGCTAAACATACCGGGTTCTTTCAAGCCATAATATGTTATGGCACTTAGACCTTTAACCTTCTGTCTATCCATGAACATGGCCTAGTTTACTAGTGTTGCCCTTAAGATTTGACAGCTAATTATCAACTCCAATTCTCCAGGTAAGGTGTAATCACTTAAAAGCACAAGATAATGATGACCAGCCTTGATCTAGAAACTCTTCCTCTATTAAAACAGACGGAAATTGTACCATTTCTGTAGTATGGGCTTCATACGTCTGGCACTGACTGAGTTTGTAAGCTGAAGCTCTCCAGTATTTTTCATTTGAACTGCTATTGAAACAAGTGTTCTTCATCTTGTCCCTATTGAATTCCTAGGAATAGAATAAATGGCTAGAAATTAATTTCTGTTGCATTTCACTTCTTAATTTTAGCTTAACACATCAGCTAATTTTTTTTTGGGGGGGACAGAGTCTTTTTCTGTTACCCAGGCTGGAGTGCAGTGGCACAATCTTGGCTCACTGCAAGCTCTGCCTCCCGGGTTCACGCCATTCTCCTGCCTCAGCCTCCTGAGTAGCTGGGACTACAGGTGCCCGCCACCACGCCTGGCTAATTTTTTGTATTTTTAGTAGAGACAGGGTTTCACCATGTTAGCCAGGATGGTCTCGATCTCCTGACCTCGTGATCCACCCGCCTCGGACTCCCAAAGTGCTGGGATTACAGGCGTGAGCCACCGCGCCCGGCCACATTTTTTTAACTTAAATGTATCATTGATGTATTAGTTTAGCACAAGTCATCTTCATTCATTCAACAAAATCTTGAGTACCTAAAATACACTGGGTATGTCATAAGCAATAAATCTTTAAGATATGAGGTTCAAATATTTATAATCCACCATAGAACCAATATATTTTAGAAGAAATAACCAAGGAATTCTAAATAGCTGGAAGCTATTCCATACCTGCGACAGGTTTCTCTGACAGCATCAGTTCATCAGGGAAGGCAATGGAGCTTCCCCTGGCCCTCGGCCAGTTCAGCTCCCAATTCTGCTTGCTTCAGATGTGATTAGATTCACATTTTCTTCACAGTCTAAACAAGCTCTTCATTTCTCTTTACCCCCAGAAATTATATCTTCAAATGTTTTCAGTCCTATAAGATTCCCTGGATTTACATGTCAACTCTCATCCCTTTGATGTTGGTGGCTTGAACTTTTCCCTCTTCCATGAATTCATCACTTCTACATAGGAAACAGTCGGGTATTCATTTGGGGGCACGGTAGCAAGAGTAAATTTCTCAGAATGAGGAGAACTGGTTTTTCCTAAAAACATCTGTGTGAGAGAAAGCCAGTCATGCTACTTCTCCAAGCCTCGGCTTCGTTCTTTGTCAACAGAGTGTCATGATGACAGGCTTAACAGAATCATTGACTCGTCCTGTGTGCTAGGGCGTTACAGTGCACTGGTTTGGGATGCCTCTGTAGAGGACCCTCCTTGTGACAATGAAAATGCTTGGGTTTGCAGATAAGGACAGGTAAGAGAAAGCTTGGTAGAAGAGTTCTGCTGGCTACAATGAAGTTCTGGCTTTAGACTGACTCTGAACCCCGCAAAAATGGTCTGTATACTCAGCTTTGAATCATTAATTTTGAAAACTGTGGCCCCTTTCAGAAAAGTTTTCTTTTGAAGGAGATAGGGCAAGAAAGAAGGAGAGATACTTCAAGTGTGTAGGTGTGTGTGTAATCCACACAGAGAAAAATTATTAAAGTTGAACACACAGTTATACAGAGAACATTTGTATAACCACTGGGAGATCCCTTTTAAAATAGAATTTAGTTTTAGAGTACTTTTATTTATTTATTCATTCATTCATTTAATAGAGATGGGGTCTTGCTCTGTCACCCAGGTCGGAGTACAGTGGCATGATTATGGTTCACCATAACCTTGAACTTTTAGGCCCAAGGATCCTTCTTCCTCAGCCTCCCAAGTAGCTGGAACTACAGGCACATGGCATCATGCCTGGCTTATTTGTTTTTTATTTTTTGTAGAGATGGGGTCTTGCTATGTTGCCCAGACTGGTCTCAAACTCCCAGCCTCAAGCGATCTTTCTACTTTGGCCTTCCAAAGTGTTGGGATTACAGGCATGAGCTACCACACCTACCTTAGAGTAGTTTTAGATTCACAGGAAAATTGAGCATAAGGTACACAGATACCATATCTGTGTACCCCTAATCCCTCACCCCCTAATCCCACAACTTCCTGGATTATCAAAATCTCCCACCAGGTGGCACATTTGTTAAAATCGATGAACCTATATTGACATCATTATCACATGAAGTCCAGCGTGCTCATTAGGGTTCACTCCTGGTGTTGTACATTCTCTTTTTCTTTTTTTTTTTTTTTTTTTTTTTTTGAGACAGAGTCTCACTCTGTTGCCCAGGCTGGAGTGCAGTGATGTGATCTCGGCTCAATGCAACCTCCGCCTCCTGGGTTCAAGTGATTCTCTTGCCTTAGCCTCCCAAGTAGCTGGGATTACAGGTGCCTGCCACAACGCCAGTTAATTTTTGTATTTGTAATAGAGATGGGGTTTCGTCCTGCTGGTCAGGCTGGTCTCGTACTCCTGACCTCAAGTGATCCGGATTTGCCCACCTCGGCCTCCCAAAGTGCTGAGATAACTGGTGTGAGCCACTGCGCCTGGCTGGTGTTGTACATTCTATAGATTTGGATATATGACATGTATCCACCATTATGAGACCTTTTTTAAATTGCTCAAAATGCCCAGACTGAAAGTTCAACACCAAAGAGAGCTCGCTGATTCCAGGATGTCAGCTCACTAGAGCTGGGGACCTAGGTTTTCTGTCCAGCTGATTCCTCTCTTTCAAGCCTGGAAAGTACAAATAACCACTTGTATGCTGGGCAATCCTGCCTTACCCTGGCTCCCAGGGAGGCCAGATGGGAAAGCCTTCCAAAGGACCAGAAGAACAAGAGCTCTTTGGGGCTCTGGCAGGAGATACGTCCCCCTCTGAGAAGGGGGGTCACTGCAGTCACTGTACATTTCAGTCAGGAGTCCAGCTCTGCCATCTGCCTGGCTGGAAAGACCAGCCTGGAAAGAAACTGTGAACTAGGGAAGCTCATCTTTGGGGCTCCTCCCGCTGACTCTTAACACCCCCTACCACTTTCCCCATTAGCCACCTAATTGTCTTCCTAACATATGGACGAGAATTTAGATTCCTCCTGCTACATACCAACCCCAAGTGAATGGGAACTCAAGGTTATCTGGTAAGAGTTTAGAGAGTAGCTGCCAGGGAGCACCCTTTCAGCTTCGAAGGAAGGAAGCTATGAAGTTGGAGCAAAAGGCAAAAGAGAGGAAGATTTCCCTTGGCCCCCTCTCTCTCTGCCCTGCCCCAAAAAAGACTGCAAGGTCATCGTGACGCGCCAAACTTCCAGTCCAGCTGGCCTGCCGTGGGGTGACCAGCCCTCTCCATTCTCTCCTCCAAAACAGGGCACAATTTGAAATTCTGTTCAAGTACGTGGAAACACAACTTCCAAGCAAGTTCATTAAGCAAACAAACAAACAAAAAAACCCAAACTGTGAGTGTGCTGCTGCTCATCACACAGAGACTGCACAAGGTCAAGGATACATTTTGTGAGCACAGAGTTCACAAGACACCTCCCCATAAGTGCCAAACGTGACTCACTGGCATCATCTTTATCAATGACAATTTAATGCCATGCCTTTTTGGAAGAACATTCAGCGTATTACAAAGATTCTGAATTAACGTCTAGAATTATAAAATGCTATGGAGAAAGCCAAGTGTATGTTTCATCTCTAGCTCCTGTGGCTTTCTTAACCAGCATCCCTCTACAGAAGCAAGGACGAATGGGGGAGCCACATTCTCTCTCCTTCCCTTGTTCCCTCTAACTAACTATAGTTGTCCTAAGATGCCAGGGCCTTCTCTCCACTACCACTGGCGAGTCGGAGAGTGTTCAGGTTCAAAGCTCATAGCATTTTGATGGGCATGCCAGCTGGAGCCAGACTATCTGGCTTCCAGTCCCAGCCGAGTTCAACCCTTCGTGTGCCTCAGTTCTCTCAACTGTAAAACAGTAATAACAACACAACATCCCTCATGGAATTAAACACATAAATATCATTATTTCCTGCCATGCCCTCATCAATCTTGTCTTCTCATCACTTGTTGCGGGAAGTCACGGACACCGAACGGAGGGACCAGCTGAAGCCATGGCAGAAGAACATAAACTGTGAAGACTTCATGGACATTTATTAGTTCCCCAAATTAATGTTTTTATAATTTCTTATGCCTGTCTTTACTGCAGTGTCTGAACATAAATTGTGAAGATTTCATGGACATTTATCACTTCCCCAATCAATACTCTTGTGATTTCCTACGCCTGTCTTTAATCTCTTAATCCCGTCATCTTCATAAGCTGAGGATGTATGTTGCCTCAGGACCCTGTGATGATTGAGTCAACTGCACAAATTGTTTAAACAATATGAAATGTGGGCACCTTGAAAAAAGAACAGGATGACACCGATGTTCAGGAACAAGGGAGATAACCTTAAAGTCTGGCTGCCTGCGGGCTGGGCAGGACAGAGCCATATTTCTCTTATTACTGAAAACAGGTAAGAGAAGTATCGCTTAATTATTTCCCCAGTAAGAAATATTAATAATTAACAGCGCTGGGAAAAGAATGCACTCCCGGGGGGGACTCTAAAATGGCTGCCCTAGGAATGTCTGCCTTATGCAGATGTAGATAGTGATGAAACACGCCCTAGTCTCCTGCAGCACCCCCAGGCTTGCTAGGATTAGGAAATTCCATCCTGGCAAATTCTAGTTAGACCAGTTCTCTGCTCTTGAACCCTGACAATGCATGCACAGTGGGACGTGGAAGTTCATTAGTGATTCTAGTTTCGCCCTGACCTCCTGCCTTGTGATCTTTTGTTACCCTTGAAGCATGTGATCTCTGTGACCCACACCCTATTCATACACTCCCTCCCCTTTGAAAATTGCTAATAAAAACATGCTGGTTTTACGGCTCAGGGGGCATCACGGAACCTGCCGACATGTGATGTCTCCCCTGGATACCCAGCTTTAAAATTTCTCTCTTTTGTACTCTGTCCCTTTATTTCTCAGACCGGCCGACACTTAGGGAAATAGAAAAGAACCTACGTGAAATACCATTGAATTATCGGGGGTGGGTTTCCCCGATAATCACTCATCTGAACAGCTCTTATTAAGGCTGCTGTAATATCCCAACGGAAATTTGTTAGGCCTCATCTTATTTGGCCTATCCACAGCACTTGACATAGTTGATTGTCCCTTTTATGGAGCACTGCTTTCCTTGGCTCTCAGAATAACAGTGTATTCTGGTTTTCCTTCTGCCTCACTAGTTGTATCTTGATCTCTTTTTCTTTATGATTCCTCCTCATTTTCTTGCCATCAGCATGCCCCAGAGCTCAGTGCTGGGACTTCTCTTCCAACCTCACTCAACACTCAGTTCATCTTTCTGGTCTTGTGATGTTAAATGCCATCTAAGCCCACCTTTGTATTCCTAGGCTGCACTCTCCCATGGACTGCAGACTAACCCAATGCTTCCCTCAAGTTCTCAAGTTAGATCTGTCATAAGCATCTCAAACTTAATAATATGCAAACCCAAACTCCCATTTCACCTCTTCTCTAAATAGCTTCTTGGGCAATTTCTCCCATTTCAGTAAAAATCAACTCTATTACTCTAGTTGCTCAGGAAAAAGTCCTTGGAAACGTCACTGACTTCTGTCTTCCTCTTGTGTACCACATCCAATCCATCAGCAGATCCTGTGGGATCTACCTTCAAAATGTAACCAGGTACCGACCCCTTCTCACCACTTCCACTGTTAATACCACAAGGCGAGAGCCACAATCACCTCCTGCCTGGATAATTGCAGTAGCCATTTAATTGGCCCCCTTATGTTCACCCTGATGTCCCAGTCTATTTTCAACCCAGCAGCCAGAGGATGCTTTCATTTTATTTTTATTGACAAATAATTGCATCTATTTGTGGGGTACAATGTGATGTTTTAATATATGTAGACATCGTGGAATGATTAAATTGAGCTAATTACCATAACCATCACTAGAGGAGGCTTTTAAAACACGCCATGCCTATGCTCACAATTCTCTGCTGTGCTGCCTGTCCAACTCAGGGTAAAAGCCTATGCCCTCCTAGAGCCCTGCAAGTTCCCACACGAACTTTCTCTCCCAGCTACCTCTGGTCTCATACACCACTCTCCTTCCTCCCCACCCCTCCCCTCCCCCCCTCCTTCCCCCCTTCCCTCCTTCCCCCCTTCCTTCCTTCCTTTCCTTCCTTTTTCTCAAGTATGCGAAGCTGCTCACACCTTGGGGTCTTGGTTTCCTCTGGCTGATTTTGTCCTGGGTTGTTCACTTCCTTCAGGCCCCTGCTCAAATGCCACCTCATCAATGAGGCCTAATTACAGCAATATCTACCACCTGCATCATCTGTTCCCCTCATCTGCTTTCTTTTTCTCCATATGACTCAATACTACCTGATGTTCTACCTGTTTTCTTGTTTATTTGTGCTTTGCCTGGCAACCCCCAGTAAAGCACCATCTCCACAAAGACAGAGGTTCTGTGTGGGTCATCCCTATATCCCCAGAGCCTAAATCTGTGCTTGGCATACAGAAGGCTTTCAGAAAAATACATGAATGAATGAATGAATGAATGAATGAATGAATGAATGAATGAAAAAATAGTATTTAAAACATAGGGGCTGGGTGCGGTGGCTCACACCTATAATCCTAGCACTTTGGGAGGCCGAGGCAGGCAGATCATGAGGTCAGGAGATTGAGACCATCCTGGCTAACACGGTGAAATCCCGTCTCTACTAAAAAATTCAAAAAAATTAGCTGGGTGTGGTGGTGGGAGCCTGTAGTCCCAGCTATTTGGGAGGCTGAGGCAAGAGAATGGCGTGAACCCAGGAGGCAGAGCTTGCAGTGAGCCGAGATCGCGCCACTGCACTCCAGCCTGGGTGACAGAGCGAGACCCAGTCTCAAAAAACAAAACAAAAAAACATAGGAAAGACTCAACTGATTCTTGCTGGGTGAATTAACAAATGAAAAGTATTTATAGCAAGACTTCACACATAAGAGGTCAAGCACTAGATGAATGAATGAATAAATACCACTTAGAAGTGGCAGGCACATGGGAAGCACTCTAGAAATACTTGTTGAATGAATGAAATAAAGCATTTACAGCAGTAGCAATACATGGTAAGCCTTCAATAAATTTTAACATTTACTATTCCAATGTCAAAATTCTATCATCAAGGGGTACTCCTCTCCCTCACACTCACAAAGGATAAAAGAAGCTCCCAAGTTGGTGCTGAGAGTAGGGAGGGGGGGGAAATGTAGAATGGATAGGAGCAGGAGGCCCATCCCTGAGAACCTGGGAAGGGATGTCCAGGAGGTCCCAGGACAGGCCCTGGGAAAGAAAGGGCCCTGAGTGGGCTCACAATCTCTTTCTTGCATTTCCATCCTGAGGCTTCCAGAATTCTTGTCCATTCTGATTGTGGAGCTCTGAATATTTGGGGATTAACAGTATGATCTGCTATTCCCAGATGCAACATTTCCTTACCATCAAACAGTCCCCTTCCAAGTACAGCTTAAGGAGCACAGGAAATGGAGGTAACTACCACAATGGAAAATTTCTATTTTGTCCTTGATCTTTGTGAAGTCAATGCCATCCTTCAAGACATTACATTTTCAACCCTGAAACTGTGAAACTGGGACGCTTGAGTTTCTAAAAAGTATTAAAACTGCTTCAGAGATCTATCAGCTGCTTGCTTTTCAGTGTGAATTAATTTCCTCGGCCTTCTCCTCCAAACCCCTTATTGATACCAGCCTTAACTCAAGAGGGAGGGTTTTGCTTGGGATGGGAGAAAGATTGAGGGAGAAATTTTATTGTCAAGTTACCAGGGTAAAGAACAGTGAAGGCCTTTTTGTGAATACATGGGCCTCAGCATGATAACAGTTAAGTTGGTTGGAGGGTGGAAGTTCAGGGTTAAGGGTGAGATCAAATGTAAATTTCTTCCAAATGAAAGCCAGGCAGTCTCCATATTGACTGCAATCATTGTGTGAGGCTGAGCAACTCAACTCTCACAACCCTCTTCCAGGGCAAGGTTTTGATGCTAATTCGGCTGGGCAACTGGGACCCAAGGGAAACCTCCCTGCAAACGTTCCTCTCAACTTCTTTTTTCTTTTCGCTCCTTTGAAGGATCTCAGCTTACAAGGCTATGTCAACACTTGAGCAATCCCAATGAAGTGTATGAGTGTCCAGTACTCTGAGGTCCAGAGTTGGCATCGATTCCATGAATGCAATGGCCTGGCAGGCATTTGTCCTCCTCCTTCTTCCTTGCATGGAAATTTTTTGAATTTTGTGGGTTTGACACATTAACTTTGCAAATGTTGACTCTTATCTATAAGTAGCACTGCTGCCTCCTTGCCTAGAATTTGCAGCCACAGGGATGAGTTAGGAAGCATTTGCTTTCCTCGCAAAGACCAGGGCCTAGGTCTTTCCCAGGGAGCTGCATGAGTAAAATTACAGGAACCAAGTTTTAAGAAAACTCACCAAGGAAAACTTGTAGGTTAATAAATTAGAGGGGGCTTATTTCTAATATTTGTTTGTAGATTATCAATTACTCAATGGATAATCTGTAAGATCAGAGAAATTTAAAGCAAAAATTATAAACTTCCAGGGCTGCTTAGAGATCTGTGATTCATATTTGGGATCCCAGATCTGTCCCTGTTTGGAATCTCAGGAAACTTAAAGTCACTGATGTGCATCATCGATGTCCAGTCCTTCTGTCTTTTCTGCAATGTTCCAGCATCTTATCCTTAAGCTACTTGCCTTAGGAACGAACCGACACCACTGAGATGACCAGTCCATCCTGGGTTAACTTTACCTCTCAGAAAATTCTTTATAATTGGCAATAACCAATAACTCCAATTGATAATAAATTCAATTAAAAAAATTAAATATGATTTGTGAAATGACAGTAGGGATAGCCCTAACTACACCCTAGTTTGGTTCCTGCAAATCCATGGAAGTCACTGCTTATAAAAGTGAAATCCCATGGCTATGAAAGTCACCACCAACCCTCCTTTATACACTGCGCGCCTTTCCAACAGGCAGGGCAATTTGACTTTGTGAGCAATGCTACTATTAACAGCTACCGATGACACAGTGCTTACCACGAGATGGGCATTGTGTGTGTGCTGGCACCTAAGTGGATCCCCTCATTCCCACAGCAGCCCTGTGAATAGGATGGTGTTTTCTCCACTTTGCAGATGAGAAAACTGAGAGGTTAGGGTGGTGGTATGAGTCAGTCACAGAGCTGACAACTGACCCCTGGCAGGTTTCTTTTCCAAGCTCCTGCTTTCCCCACGATGTCTTCTCTCAGGTGAACCCTCTCTCTAGGCACTCCCTGTGGGTCCAATGGCAGCAGTCAAAGAAGAGTGCTGGGGCCAACCATGGGGCCACCCAAAGGAGCCAGTTCAGCATCATTCCCTTCTAATGTCCCCTCAGCTTAATGGAAATGCAACTCCAACTGTCAATTCCTAAAAGGGATTTCAGGAAGGTACTAATAGTCAATGACATTTCTGGATTCCCTTAAAATCTGTGATGCATTTATCTTTTATATAACAATAACTTACATAATCACAGAATCCCAGAATTTCAGAGTTGGTTAGGACTTTGCACATCATCTAATTCAGGCTTCTTCCTGATGTATCTGTTGGGAATAATTTCATAAAGAGGGAACTGAAAGTTCTTTTTTTTTTAAGAAGTGAATAAATGTGAGTGGCAGGCCTAGAATAGTTGCTTTGCTCTGCAGCCCTTTTGGGAAAAATAAGAGAACCTGAAGTGAAGTCCTTGGCTTTAAAGGTTTGAAGGGTGGAAGACAAACACTAGAGCCAAATCAGAGCGTTCTACTGGCCTCCCGTGTTCTCTGGCTCAGTGTACTCATGGTCCAACTACTGCTATGTAGAGAAATATCCCTGTGATATAGATTTCTATTAGCTACCTGGGACTAAGAAGGCAACTAACCATTTCCCAACCTTTTTCTAGAAGCCGTAGAGGACGAAAAAGGTGGAAAGTCTCTAATATATGAGGCTGATATTTTCAAGAACCCAAACTGTTGGTCTGTTCTCCCATACATGGAGCTGCTGTCTGCCCTCATAGCTTAGTTACTATCTCTAGGCTCCAATTTTCTTATCTTCAAAGGGAGAATATCAAATGTACCTAACTCCTAGGATTCCCATGAGGATTAAATAAGAAAGCCTTAGTAATCTGCTGAGAAAAGGCCCTAGCAGAGGTTAGCACTCAACTAAATAATGCCTATTGTCATTCTTATCACTCTATGGCTGGTGAAAGAGACAGATTAGGGACCATTTCTGCATAAAAATGCTTTATATTTGCATTTTGATTGGTCTTTTAAATTTTCTTTAACCATCTATCAGTGTCCGTTTTCTTCCAATTCATGCCATGAGTATTTAAGGCTTTTGTTGAAACTGAACTGTTTGTAGATGTGTCTCCAGACCAATATGGGAGGTAGCGAATGGGAAAATATAAACAAAGGAATCGAGGAATTTTTGCCTTGTTTCCCAGATACATAAACTCAGAGGGAAAAAAATCTTCACTGCCTTATTCTAGGAGGAAACTCTTAGAAAGTCCCTGGTTAGTTTTATCAATAATCAGTCATTGATTGAGAATTTAATGTGCTTAATCACTGTGTACATTATCTCATCCAATCCTCACAACTGTTAGTTGAGATAGATTAGTTTGTCCCATTCTCTGGATGGCTTTCCCAAGATCACTTACTTGGCATGTAGCACAGACAGGCTCTGAGCCTATTTTTATCTCACCCCAAGGCCCAGGCTCCCAACCACCACGCTATACATGTTTACAAAAAAGCCAGTGGATCTATGTCCTGTCTTAAGGCTCAGCCCAATGAAACTGAGAAAGAAAATAGGAGTGCATCATTGTGTTATTTTCAGAATACCTACTCTGGCAAATTTAGGGATCTCTAAAGGAGGTCAGAAGGACTGGGTAATCTCTGATAAATCTCTTTAAGAGCAGGGCTTTGATAAAGTAGCGTTGCAACACAATTGCTCTAACGGGCCCAACTGGGTAGTTTCTGGGAGCAGTTTCTAACGGGGGACTCACTGAGAGGCAGCTGAAATGGCTTATACGTAGCCTCCAAGGTTACCCATTGCCAAGAATGCCTCTGTCCTGTCATCTCCCCAGCATGTAGGGCCAACCGCGGCCCACAGCCCTGATCTCCCTCAATCCTTCAAATCACTCCAAATAAAAATGATAAAAATAACATTTTATAGGAGCAAGTAATATTTAATCTTACATTTAGAGTAAATAAGTCTTGAAAAATATTATTGAAAATGGTATCAAACATTAGGTTTTTTATTTCAATGTTCCTTTTAGATTCAGAGGGTTTATGTGCAGGTGTGTTACATGGGTATATTGTGTGATTCTGAGGTTTGGGGTAGGAATGATCCTGTCACCCAGGTACTGAGCATGGTACCCAGTAGGTAGTTTTTCAGCCCTTGCCTCTCTCCCTCCCTCCCCTCTCTAGTAGTCACCAGTGTCTATTGTTCCTATATGTGCTCAATGTTTAGCTCCCACTTATAAGTGAGAACATGTAGTATTAGGTTTTCTGTTCCTGCATTAATGCACTTAGGATAATGGCCCCCAGCTGCATCCACATTCCAGCAGAGGATATAATTTCATTCTTTTTCATGACTGCATAGTATTCCACAGTGTGTATATATATTTTCTGTATCCAATCCACCACTGATGGGCACCTAGGCTGATTCCATAACTTTGCTATACAAGTTTTTAAGAGGCTGCTTGCTTTGCAAACTCAGCTTTAAGACAGACCCCTGGCCCATCCCCCAAGTCAATGCTATATAGAAATCCTAGAACTGAGACAAGATGAAAAACGTGAAGAACAGAAAGCTTTGCTTGGTGTCTTAAGAATATGGGGCAGCCAGGAGTGGTGGGTCACACCTGTAATCCCAGCAATTTGGGATGCTGAGGCAGATGGATCAAGAGGTCAGGAGTTCCTGACCAGGCTGACCAACATGGTGAAACTCCATCTCTACTAAAAGTACAAAAATTAGCTGGGTGTGTTGGCATGTCCCTCTAATACCAACTACTCAGGAGGCTGAGGCAGGAGCAGGAGAATGGCTTGAACCTGGGAGGTGGAGGTTGCAGTGAGCTGAGATCAAGCCATTGCACTCCAGCCTGGGTGACAGAGCAAGACTCCATATCAAAAAAAAAAAAAAAAAAAAAAAAAAAAAAAAATATATATATATATATATATATATATATATATATATATATATATATGGCACACCGGGCACCCAAGCAGAGATATGGTCTGCAATGCAAACTAGGGGAAATAAGAGCCTGGCAGCAACTCAGTGTAAATATTGAAAAGACATCTTGAAGTGACAGTGTTTGCTCTGGATGCTCTGTGCTTCCAGTAGGTTCCCCCATGATGTCTTATCTTAGGGTTAACCTCTCTCTAGCCACTCTCCAGGGACCCTGCCGGGTTGAAGGGTTGATTTTCTTCAGTTCTCCAGACCAGCCTTTTAAAAATAAAGACAAGAACTGGATGAACAGAACATTAAGAAAAATGTTTGGGAAGGATGTACATGGATATGGAGTTAGAAATAAGGCCCTGTGTGCTGACGCCAGTGTATTTTCTAGATTGCACTTCTAGTCTTTTATATGGATGTTTGACTCTGCTGTGTTCTCTCCCCTCTCCCTTCTCATGTGGAGGGAGAGGATAATCTCTGAATTGACCTTACCTAGGTATGGCTCTTGTTGAATCCAAGGGGAGAGTCAGCCATGAGTGGCACAGCCCAAGGCAGGACGAGTGAGAACCAGGAGACATATAACTTGTCTACAGACCCGGTGCTCAGGGGAGGAGATCCCAGTGATCAGAGCCTGCATTCAGGTCTTACAGGTTGGTAACTCATCTCTTTCAACGGGAGAAGTGTAAATACTACAGGGCAATAGATTATCTATAAGTCTTTTAATTCCAGAAATCTAAATGAGGCCATTAAAGGCGTTCAGAAGATCCTTGGAAACAAGGTAAGACACTAAAAGAAAGACTGGCTTATAACTTTAAGAGTTGGGAGAATCTGCTGCAATGCACAATATGCAAGTGTTTCTCTAAACAGAGACCAGCGTGCTGTGCTCCATGATATATTGACGTCCGTGGCTGTGATTCATAATGACTACGGATTTGGCTCTTATAGGAATGTCTTCATCCAGTGAAGAAAATAATGTGAGGTTATGGGGACCTCCAGTCACCAACACTAATGTTCCTTAATATTACAGTAGGCCAACAGAAATCAGGGACTAATAAACTCTAGAAAAAGAGTAGCCCTGGTAATCAAGAGTGGCACTAACCAAATTTGGCAAACTCAATGAAGGTGTGTCAGTTTTGGAAACTTCTTTATTCAACGGAATGAGAATACTCCTAATTAATAAACTGGGTTTATTGGATTGGATCTGCAACCTTTTTTTTTTTATTTTTTTTATTTTTTTATTTTTATTTTTTGGAGACAGAGTCTCGCTCTGTCACCAGGCTGGAGTGCAGTGGTGCAATCTTGGCTCACTGCAACCTCTGCCTCCCGGGTTCAAGCGACTCTCCTGACTCAGTCTCCTGAGTAGCTGGGACTACAGGTGCACACCACCATGTCCAGCTAATTTTTGTATTTTTAGTAAAGATGGGGTTTCATCATGTTGGCTGATGGTCTTGATCTCTTGACCTCATGATCGGCCTGCCTCAGCTTCCCAAAATGCTGGGATTACAGGCGTGAGCCACGGCACCCGGCCTCAACCTTTTTCATTGTGGAGACATGCTTTCCAGAGCTGATGTTTAGTGCCATCTTCTGTACATCCCACATTGTGCTGTTGGCACTGAAAAAATATCAGATCCCTGCTTCTATCTGCCTTGCTGGTTCTCCTTGGTGTCCTGCTGCCATACACAGTACAGGGCAATAGGCACTCTTCATAGTAAGCCCAACATACCCTGTGTAATTGCCCCATTTGCCCTTAAGCCCAGGGCACTGATGAGTTAAATTCTAACAATGACATGACATAGGAATTGTTCCCAGTGTCTCCATTAGAGAAGGGTATTGATAGGCATTCATTCAACAGACTTAGACTGGGCACCTACTCTTTCCCAGGGACACTGGCATATCCCAAGGATGCTATTCCTCAGGATGTCTACATAAGAAACGTAAAACATTTCTTATCCTCAAGAATCTCACATGTGAGTCGAGAAGACAAATAGCTAATGATTGCTGTGCTACAAACGGTGTGTTGTGGTAGAGCCCTGGATGCATGGGGGACACAGGAACAGCAGCTCAATCTGACTGAAAGGCAGAAAAAGGCCTCTAGAAGGGAGATGACTCCAGAGCTGAGTGGGAAACGCAGTTACAACATAACAATGACTTATTGTTACATCAGCTGGGTTAGGGCACAAGAGAAAGTTCCGAGCACAGAGAACTGCATATGTGAAGGTGTGGCCTCATGAAACCACAGCACACTGTTAGGAGCTACCAGCCTGTCACAAGTGGGTGTGAAGGTTGCCTAGAGGAGACTACCAGGAGATAACACTGAAGGGGTGGATTAGGAAAGCCCTTGTGCACCATCTTGAACTTTACCTTGAATGCAATGGAGAGCTGTGAAAGGGCTTTAAGCAAGGCCCAGGCCTCACTGAATCTGTGGTTTAGAAAGAACTCTCTGGTTACAAGATGGAGCATGGATGCAAGCGAGGTGAGAATAGACAAGAGGGACAAAATAGTGACTAAAGGGTCAAAGTCTTTGCTTCATGCACTTCTTTGATCAGCGCCCCTGTGAACTGGCACTTGATACCATGGCAGTGAGCACTGTCCAAGTCTTTTGACAACATTTAGCCCCTCAACCCAAGAGCTCTGAAACCCCAGCATGTTTCCAAATGTCTTTATTTTACCCTCACCTTTGATTATGTTTATTCCATCTCCACATTGGATGTGTCAACAAAAAGAGCCAAACTCTGTAAAATATCTGAAGAAATTTATTCTGAGACCAATATGAGTGACCAATGGCCTGTGACACAGCCCTCAGGAGATCCTGAGAACGTGTGCCAAAAGTGGCCGGGCCACAACTTTTTTTTTTTTTGAGATGGAGTCTTGCTCTGTCACCTGGGTTGGAGAGCAATGGTGTGATCTCAGCTCACTGTAGCCTCCACCTCCCAGGTTCAAGCTATTCTGCTGCCTCAGCCTCCCGAGTAGCTGGGATTACAGGTGCCTGCCACTACACCTGGCTAATTTTTGTATTTTTAGTAGAGGCAGAGTTTTGCCACGTTGGCCAGGCTAGTCTCAAACTCCAAACTTCAGGTGATCCACCAGTCTCGGCCTCCCAAAGTACTGGGATTACAGGCATGAGCCACAGCACCTGGCCCCACAACTTGGTTTTATACAACTTAAGGAGACATAAGACATCAATCAATATATGTAAGACATACACTTCAAGGAAACTTTGCATTCATAGTAAGCTTTGCTGATGAGCAGTGGTTCTCAAACTACAGTGTGTACTTGGGGGTCTTGCCAAACTAAATCTCAGGCTGCCACCCTCAGTGTTTCAGATTCAGTCAGTCTGGAGCAGGGGGCAAGAACGTTCATGTTTAACAAGGTCCCAGGTGATGATAATACTAAAGATCAGAAAACCACTCAACCAGAACCATTGCTCTGACCAGCGGAATTCTTAAGGACTTCCTGAGAACAATATCTTCCGGTACTTCTCCTTGGGCTGGTCAGATTCCTCAAAGGCCGCTCTCGCAATCTCATGCTTAGGGTCTAGGCCTGGCTGCCAGTATTTTGGTAAACTAAGAGGGCTTGTAGGTCTTATCATTAAATATGTAAATGTCCATTTGATCACCCTGTTATGGTATCTTTGCCATCAGCTAATTCTACAGTCTCCCCAGTCCAGAGAAACTCTGCTTCAACCTCTCCAGAGACTAGAAACCTCTCAACTCATGTCAGTGTGGATGATGGGCAGGGCCTCAGCTGTGCAGGATGAAGGAGAAAACGGAAGACAAATGCTTCCTAAGCAGACTCCCAGCTGAGTTTTTATAGCCCCACCTTTGCTGCAATTCCTGGAACCATCAATTCCTGAGTATTTGGGGTGTTCTGCAGTGTAATAAGTTTGCTTTTCACCTCCCACTCTACCAGCTGAGAAGAAGTCTGCATTTTTGGATCTGCAAAGTCAGCTGAATGTGTCCTCCTCCCTCCAGCTTCCAGGACTGTGTTGTTCTTGTCTCCTCCATCATTTTCTTTGTCCTTGTGGGCGTATGCTCTGTTTAAGCCCCATTGCTGTTATTTTTGTTGGCTTTCAAGAGGAAAAGGAGATAAATGAAAGTAGTCAATCTTGTCTTTACCCAAAGTCCTTCACAGGATTTTACCCAAAAGTCCTCTAAAAAGATTTGGTTGAGTACTAGTTGCTGATAATGCTGAGCTGCTTGTGTTTGTAAAGACAGATGTGGCCTCATTGTGACTATTTCAGGTTTATGGGTCATGTTTTTTCTTTCTGTTCTAAAGAAAGCTTCCTATTTCAAAATAATTTTCTTTAAAAAAAAAAAACAGCACATCCCCAGTCATGACCCCCAGAATAAAATATGGAGACTCTCCCTTTTCTGACTTCTCAGATGTATATTAATTAGAAAGTACCCTCAAGAAACAGTGGAGCTCTAAATCGGATTCATTTCTATATTCAGTGTAACATAATCAAGTTGTCAGAATTTTTACAATGCTTCTAATGAAGTGCCCAGCATAATGAATTGTACAATTATAATAAAATGGGGTTCTAATTAACAATTACCATTCAAAGCAAGAACACTCCAGGTTTTTTTTATCCTCCTCTCAAACTGGAGGCTAACAAGTAGTTAGGAAAAAAATTAACAGGGGGTATGTGTGGAAAGGAGCACAGTACTCGAAATGACTAACAAAGCTAGTTTTTCCTCTAAGTTTGTAAGTGACAGTATAACTTGAGAGAATATATTCTCAGGTATGGTTGCAGGAACTTTTCTGATCATCTGAGCTTTCCCAGATATGATATGGTGGTGTATAAACTTGGGTGTTTAAGCACGAATTAATGACTTACTAACAATAGCTTTCAATTGAGTCTCATCCAAGGAGTCATATCCTTCCCTTCTGTCCTGTGAATTCATGGTATCAAGTGACAATAAGAGGGTAAATGGACCAGAGGTTCTTTGCTGCCATCAAGGGTCTGAGGGAGAAAAAGTCTACGAATCACTGTAGTCATTAAAATAAAAGCTGCTGGCCAGGTGCAGTGGCTCACGCCTGTAATTCCAGCACCTTGGAAGGCTGAGGCTGGCAGATCACTAGAGTTCAGGACTTAGAGACCAGCCTGGGCAAGAGGGTAAAACCCCATCTCTGCAAAAAAAATACAAAAATTAGCCGGTTTTGGTGGTGTGTGCCTGTAGTCTCAGCTACTTCTGGGGGCCGAGGCCGGAGAATCAATTCAGCCCGGGAGGTTGAGGCTGCAGATCACGCCACTACACTCCAGCCTGGGTGACAAAGTGAGACCCTGTCTCAAAAAACAAAGAAAAATACATAAATAAAATAAAATAAAATAAAAGCTGCCCTTTCCTGAAAGGACCAGTAAGCATTATGCTAGATAATTCAGCGTGCATTATTTAGTATTTTCACAACCCGCGAGGTGTATATTTTACAGATGAGAAAAGCTAAAGCTTAAAGATGCTCAGAGGTCAAAGTCATAACCAAAAAGAACCCGAGCCTGGTGTGGCGAGCTCCAAACTCTAGCTGGCCCTCTAGAGAAAACACTGTCTCAGCTTGATTCTGGCTTTGGCGCTGATCCATTTTGCAGCCTGCAGCAAGCCATTTGCTCACTGCTTTCTGGAACCTGCTTTGTGAAACTCCGGGGGGCACCGGTGATGATCTATCCTAGAGTTTTATAATGCGAGAGCTCTGCTTTCACCATCTGCTTTTCTCATTGGGATGCAAAAAAATGGTGAAAATTACCATTGTGGTTGGTTATGATGTTTCTGTTTCAAGTAACGAAACTCCCAACTGGACAGTTTATAAAAGGAGAGAGAGAAAGAGAGAGAGAGAAAGAGAGAGAAAGAGAGAGAAAGAGAGAGAAAGAGAAAGAGAGAGAAAGAGAAAGAGAGAGAAAGAGAAAGAGAGAGAAAGAGAAAGAGAGCAAGAGAGAGAGAAAAAGAGAGCAAGAGAGAGAGAGAGAAAGAGAGAGCAAGAGAGAGAGAAAGAGAGAGAAAGAGAGAGAAAGAGAGAGAAAGAGAGAGAAAGAGAGAGAAAGAGAGAGAAAGAGAGAAAGAGAGAGAAAGAGAGAAAAATGGAGAAAAAGAGAGAAAGAAAAAGAAAAAGAGAGAGAAAGAGAGAGAGAGAAAGAAAGAAAGAGAGAAAGAGAGACAGAGAGGGAGAAAAAGAGAGAAAGAGAAAGAGAAACAAAGAGAAAGAAAGAAAGAGAGAAAGAGAAAGAGAAAGAAAAAGAGAGAGAGAGAAAGAGAAAGAGAGACAATGAGGATGAAGACCTTTATGATAATCCATTTCCACTTAATAAATAGTAAATCCATTGTCTCTTCCTTATGATTTCCTAAACATTTTCTTTTCTCTAGCTTACTTTATTGTAAGAATATAGTATATAATACAGTAACATACAAAGTGTGTGTTCATCAACTGTTTATATTATCAGTAAGGCTTCCAGTCAGTGGCAGTTTATAACAAATGGTTGTTTCTGATATTCGTTGGCAGCCTTTAGTCCTTTTTTATTTTTTATTTTTTGAGACAGGATCTTACTCTGTTGCCCAGGCTGGAGTGCCAGGAGGTTCTGGTGTAGCCCAGATCACTGCGTGAGCAGTGGCCTGTTGGGGACCATCTTGGAAATGTTACCTTGATTTTGAAGAGCAGTAATGCAAACATTTGTTCCTCTTTTTCCATTGGTTGTTATTGTGTCAGGATATGGTGCCTAGAACCATAGTGGCCACCTTGCAGCCCTGGAGGGCCCAGTGGAAGCAATGCTAGTACCTTGAAGGTGACAGGGCAGGAAGACAGGAGCCCAGGGTCCCGATGACATTGTGAAGTCACTGATGTAACCAGACCCAGAGTTGGGCTACACCAGAACGTCATTTGCAGGATCAGACCCAGAGTTGGGCTACTCACGCCCAAGTGACCAGGATGAGATCACCCCAAACTCATTGCTGACAAGGGGCACGGGGTGGTCATGATAAGATTAGACTAATTTGCGTTTGCTCCTGAGTCAGGTTAGAAAAAAGTGAACATCTGGACAAAATGAGGACTCTTGACTGTAAGGAGGAAGGAAAGAAGTGGCCACTGGGTGGAGAACCAAGTGTAACTTCATCCAAGTGAAGTGTGAAAACTTCTCTGAAAAAAGATCATATAAAATCTGGATTCTCATGTTGCCGTATTTTCTACTGTCCTCCGGACTGGGGGTGTGGGGAAGAAAAGCATTGGTTTGGGACCTTAGTTGAGGAGGCACAGAAGAAACTAAAATAGCTTCATCTATGTTAGGACTTAAGCTAAATTTCCATGTATTTAGACAAATACTGTAACAAATGCATTTAACTCTCAATACTATAAAGCAGCAGAAGGATTGAGAATCCATGAATAAATGGATATTTACCTTTTGGTTATAGTTTAAGATACAGGCTATTATTAGCTGATCAGTAACAAGCTAAGGTTAGAATTCAAAGGTGCCAATGACAACATTCACAAGGGGTTTCTGCACATCCCTGCAATCTAATTTCAGTATTTTGGGCTATACTGTGGAGTTGTCATGTTGCTCTGGTTCTCCCAGTGGTATTTGGAAAGAGTTCTCTGCGAGGCTGACATATACAACCTGCATCTCTTCTTACAGATCATTTGTGCTGTCAGCATGCAGTTTTTCCAGTTCAGTAAAGTAGGTCATATAGGAATATTGGATTCATCTGTGCCACTCTTGAAGCCTTTGAAGATTAATGAGTTTCTGCAATGCATGCAAAGTGTTTTAAATTCTTGGAAGACAAGATTTGCCTGTTATGAAACAGCAACATCCCCAATTATCAGCCATTAAGCTTCCCACCAACCTCAGCCAACAATCAAATGCATGGAAAAGAAAATCTCTTTTTAAAACATAAATCTGATGATGTCACTACCTATTCAAAAAGCTTTCATGGTGTCACATTGCCTGCAGGAGGGAATCCAAGCTGTTTTTAAAAACACTCAAGATTCCCTTGGTTGGGAATCTGACCCCTCTTTGTCCTCCATTCCTGTTTCCTCCAGTCTTACCAAGTCCTTCACTATTTCTGCCTGGTATGAACTGCTGACATCTGTGCCTTTGTCTAACTGCAGTACTTTATGTCCACCATTTAAATATCTATTAATGCATTAACACCCTGATCAAACCCAGTTCCTCTAGCAACCTCCCTGTGTCTGCTATCCCCTATTGATTAATCAGAATTAATCAATCTCATCTCTGCGGGCTCCCATCTTTGTTTCTGCCTCTCTAACAATTTTTTACAGTTGGTCCTCCTAATAATAAACATACTTTTGCATCTGCTGATCTTTCTGGGCCACTAAATGAAGAGCTTCCTAGGATGGAAACCAGCTATATCTCCAGCAATCTGGTTTCCTCTTCCTGGACACACAGGGAGACATCACTTCCTAGTCTTCCTCGAGGTTAGTTGGAGGCTGTGTGTTTGGGTTCTGACTGATGTGATGGGGTAGAAGTGATTGTAACCATCTTCCAGGATTGGCCTTTTAAAATATCTCAAATGAGCCTCCAGTCCTCTCTTCACCCAATGTAGATAGAGGCCAGCGTCACAAGATGAAAGGAGACAGGATTCCTGATTAATTACACTTAACCTTGAACAACACGGGGTTGAACTGCTGCAACCACAATATTTTTTCAGTAAAAGTTACAACACGGAGTGTGCCTGTCTCTCCTGCCTCCCCTTCCACTTCCTCCAACTCTTCCACTGCTGTCACCCCTGGCACAGCAGAAGCAACCCCTCTTCTTCCTCCTCTCCAGCCTACTCATGCAAAGACAATGCCCAGCAGTTGTCAGCTGTCCAGCAAGGGTCCATGAGAGCATCCAAATACGGCAAGGTGTTTCTTTGATGTTTCTCAGTCTCAGCATTGGGCTTTTGTTTCTATGAATGTTTTTCTACCAAATAAGATGTTTCTATCACTAAGTCCTATGGTATTATTTAAGTTACACAAACAGCAATTTTGAACGAAAGCAGATTTGGACGGCTGGGACCTATTTGGATGTGTGATGCCAATGAGCTGTATAATCTAGCTCTTTGTTCAGTCAGTGCTGAAATGTGACATCCCTGGGCTGTGATTAGACTCCCTAGTCATTCAGACGGCTGTTCAGAAATTCTCCCCACTTCCTCGTGGAGATGGGCATCTGAAGGATACGTTTCCCCATGCTTCTTGAATATGAAGTAACAACATTTAAACATCTTTCATTCAATCACCATTTAGCTATCAAGGTCATGAAACAGCATGAAATGAAGCACTCAGTCAATTATCTAAAGATAGGCTTTTTAAGCAGTGACCACTGTCCCTGTCATAATTACATCTCTAACAGGAAGGGGAGAAACCCCACCTGGTTTCCTTTTGCCAAACACAAAGTTGCTCCTGTGGGTTCTGGATCTAGAAGTGGAGAGTTTTACTAAGTCAAAGAGGCTGCTTGGGGGTACCAACTCCCGGCCAGAAGGCTGGCAGGTGACCAGGACAGTCACTGCTCTGGTCCCATGGGGATGGCTGCCCTGTCTCCCTTTGCTCAGGGGGATTGGTCTGGGGACACGTTTGCTAATGAACCTGCCTTGTTAACTCTTTTGTCCCTTGAATCACAATCCAGAAGCTGCTTGTGATCTTGGTCCAGTCCAGGGGGAAATCAGTCCCGTTCTATCAACAACCACCAGGCACAATGATCAGACATCAATTACTTGGCTGAGTGAGGACAAAATAATTGAATTGGAACGTGTTGCACGTGCAATTTCTCTAACTTTGGGCTGACACTTATCTAGCCCTGGAGCAGTGAGCAATTTTCCTGTGAACAGTTGCTAATTAGAGAGGGTGTGTTTTCTTTAATGGATTCATAATTCATCCTATTATACTTTAAAACAATGTTTTAAAGTTTGTTACCTCAGGACAGAAATGGTAAACTGAAGGAGATAGTGGCAAAGGTCAGGCATTGGATTTTTAGAATGCAGGATTTTTGTTTGTTTTTGGTTTTTTGAAACGGAGCCTCGCTCTGTCGCCCAGGCTGGAGTGCAGTGGCGCGATCTCCGCTCACTGCAAGCTCTGCCTCCCACCTCTCGCCTCTCCTGCTCCAGCCTCCCAAGTAGTTGGGACTACAGGCGCCCACCACCATACCCGGCTAATTTTTTTGTACTTTTTTAGTAGAGACCGGGTTTCACCGTATTAGCCAGGATGGTCTCGATCTCCTGACCTTGTGATCTGCCCACCTCCCCAAGTGCTGCAATTACGGGCGTGAGCCACAACGCCCGGCCAGAAAGTAGGATTTTTCAAATGCCATTAGTCTAAAAAGCTTCGAGATACTTCACAGTGATGTTTCAGGAGATCTTACCATCTGTGTATGTCTCAGTTGTGGTGAATTACTTAGCAATGCTTTTAGGAGGCAGAATCAGACATCATGCTCCTTCCTTCCTCCCTCTCCCCCTTCCCCCCTCTCCCCCTTCCCCCTCCCCCTCCCTCTCTTTGCCAACAGGGTCTTGCTCTGTCACCCAGGAGGTAGTGCAGTGGCACAATCTTGGCTCACTGCAACCTCTGCTTCCCAGGTTCATGCAATCCCAAGTAGCTGTGATTGTGGGGTTTCACAGTGTTGGCCAGTTTGGTCTCAAAGTCCTGACCTCAAATGATCCACCTGCCTCAGCCTCCCAAAGTGCTAGGATTAACAGGTGTGAGCCACCGTGCCCAGCCCCAGCCTGTTTTTATATTTTCTGCATGCTGTGTAATGACTCATCGCCCTCCTCTTCCTCCAGTGAAGGTGAGAGATGATGCAGTGGGTCCCCATCAGTGTTGGATATGATTCCTCAGGTGAGTTCTGACTTAGCTTGTGACTCCACCAATGACCACAGCTGAGCCTCTACTCAGACGGGCCTTCTCTGTCCTTCAGCCTAAAGAACCAACCTCACCTCATCATTTTCCATCAAGCTGCTATGATTTGCTTTCTTAATAGCACCTGTGGCCACCTGGAATGGTTTTGTGCATTTATTTTCTATCTTCTCTACAAAGATGGGAGAAAGAAGGGGCTGGGCTGACTGTCCAGGGCTCTATCTTCAGCACTCAGAACAGTACTAGGCCACAGCCAAGCCTAACATATTTCTTGGGTGAATACTGTGAGTGGGATCAGAACACAGGAGGGGCTGAAGAACAGATGAATTGGGTCTTCTTCCTGGCTCTCCATTAACTAGCAGTATCCACTTGGAAACCCTGCTTTAGTTTTTCTCCTCGCCTAGACTTAGATAATAATGGAGACTCCTTCAAGGTCTAAGTTCTATAACTAGCAGAGGAAAAGGCTTAACTAAGAGAAGAAATTGCTGCTGAACCTTCATTCATAAGCAGACCAGAGCAACTATTAGGCCCTGTAATGCTTCACGAATCAAAGTATTATATTCCTTTCTTACAGTTTTTTATTTTACATATATACATTTTGAGACAGGGTCTCACTCTGTCACCCGGGATGGAGTGCAGTGGTACGATCTTGGCTCACTGCAGCCTTGACGTCCCCAGGCTCCCATCTCAGCCTCTGGAGTACCTGGGGCTACAGGTGCAGGCCACAATGCCCAGCTAAAATTTTGGTATTTTTTAGATACGGGATTTTGCCATGTTGCTCATGCTGGTCTTGAACTCCTTGGCTCAAGCCATTTTCCTGCCTCGGCCTCCCAAAGTGCTGGGATTACAGATGTGAGCCACAGAGTTTTGGGTCGTAAATGAGCTGCCAAGGGAGGGGTTTTTCCCGAGTCCTCACCTCCTCGCTTGTCTGCTCTGGGTGGCCTAGGGATACGCTTGTCTTGTGGAGGCGCGAGCACTGTGGGCTCAAGAGTGGGGAGCCTCTTTCCCTGGTAAGGGGAGAGCACCAGTGGGATCACTGGTGCCATCTCCTGCAATGGATCTTCTGATGTTGGGTTGAACAGAACTTCAGGAGTTGATTTCCCTGGGCGAGTGGAGCAGGATCCTTCCTTAGCTATCTGTCCCTTTGCTACTAGCATTGCTGCTCCCTGCCCTCTTAGCCACTGTGGGGGGTCTAGCACCAGCTGTAACGAAGAGTCTATGTATGGGAACTAGTCTAAGTATCCTTTACCAGTTACCTTGTGCCACTCCTTAGAAGTAAGGGGCCTGTCCAGGCTTCCTTCTGATGGCCAACCCACTTCTAATGTTGGCCAATCGATTTCACACAAAGCTCTAAGTTTCCCTGCTGTCATAGTAACCCCATAGTCTCCACTAAATCCTTCCTTGAAATTTTTCAACATAGCTCCTAGCGGAGTAGGCTTACTTTGTATCTGACCCATGTTTCCTGGAGACAAAACACCACGCTCACACCACACGCACACCACAGAACAAAGAACGGGTAAAAAGGGCACACACACTCTTTTTCATTTTACACCAGACCAGAATCAAAACTAAAATCGGAGTATCCAGAAATCCAAGCCAGGTCAAAACCAAAACCAAAGTATCAAGCAATTCAAGTCAAGTCAAAAACAAGAACCAAAGTGCTGGTAGAGGCACGCCGTGGGTGATCAGGCCACGCTTCCACTCAGATGGAGTGGGCAAGTTCCAAACACCAGTCTTACCAAGTTTCAGACGTCCAGACTTCTAGTGCCAGTTCCTTCCCGGTGTTCAGCCACCACGTTGATCCTCCGCGGGGGCCTGCCACACACTGCTCTGACGAGGTGTTCCACCAGGGCAATTGCCTACCCGGGAGCGCTCTCAGGATGCCCGTCGCTCAAGCTGGCCAGAGTCCCTTGCAGGGACGCTCCACAGGGCAGGCCTAAGCAGCCTAAGGGGCTGCCTCGACCGTCCTTCAATCACCTCGCTTCCCGGTCACGGAACCAAGAAATGTAGCAGGACGAGTCGCAAACAAAACTCCTCAGACACCGGATTAAAGAAGGAAGAGGTTTTTGTAACCAAGAAATGTAGCAGGACGAGTCGCAGACAAAACTCCTCGGACACCGGATTAAAGAAGGAAGAGGTTTTTGTAACCAAGAAATGTAGCAGGACGAGTCGCACACAAAACTCCTCGGACACCGGATTAAAGAAGGAAGAGGTTTTTTATTCGGCCAGGAGCGTCGGCAGACACGCGTCTTAAGAGCAGAGCTCCCCGAAGACAGAGTTCCTGGCCCTTTTAAGGGCTTACAACTCTAAGGGGTTCCACGTGAAAGGGTCGTGATGGATTGAGAGCACATGTGGTTAGAGTTGGGGGGTTAATCTTTTAACCTCAGGCCGGGTCATCAGTGGCACCGGCTGGTCTTGCCACTGACTTCATTCCTGTTGTTTTTCAACTTTTACTTCCTCCTCCTCTTCAGAGACAGGAGACAGTAAGAGAAATGGCTTCTCTCCTCAGTAGCACTCAATCAATCATAGCATTTTCTAGATTAGAATGACTCATTTCCCCCAGTGGTGGCTTGTGGTGCGCTTATGAAAGTGAGTTCTGAGTTAGTCCTGTGGCGCCACCAATGAGCACCGCTAAAGAGCACAAAGGCCTTGCTCATTATCTGAGTCTCTCCATCCACAGAGGAATGGGAATCAAAATGCAGGAGTGGCTTGAGAATGGATGAATTGGGCTTTCTTTCTAAGCCTCAGCTTTAGGTGGGAAGCTGAGGTACTGAGCATACTGTGTGACTGTGCCCTGTCACACACCACACGGGGCAGATCCAGATCCAGGACTCTATCCAGGAGCTGTTCTTTCCTTCCTAGCACAGTACTGTAAACTCATCCCCGGGAGAGCTAGCTGGGCTTGTGTCTTCCCTTCTGAGGCCCAGACAATGCTCTTATTCTTTCAGCCAACCAATGTTGGAGTGTCTACTCTCCGAGGTAGTGTCCTCTCTCACAAGGTTTTCCCTTTGTGGCAGAAACATCAAAGAGTACAACTTCAATTGCCCATGCTTCTCTAACTCAAAATGGTTTTGGTCTCCTCTTCTAATTCCTAAACCCAGTAAAACCAGGAACTGTGCTCTGCAACCTCAATTACAAACATACAGGAGTCGGTTAATAAATGTTTAAAAATCTGTGAATGATTACATTGGGATAAGGGACAAGAAGTAGATCTTTTCAAAGAATCAATATGCTATAATCTTAGAAAAGCTGCAATTCAGGTAGGTAACTTGAGACTTCTGTATAAAAGAAAAGACTAGAATATTGTTTTTTGTTTTTTTCTTGTTGTTGTTGTTTGTTTTTTGTAAGTTCATCCCAAAGTTGAGGGCTGGCCAAAGAAGTTTTCAGCTAATTGCCTCTTGCCTAGTTTCAGGATTAAACTGTATTTGATTTGATTATATAAGAAAAAGAAGAGAGACTTTGCCCTGAGTAACAAACTGTGGGTCATCCTTATCTAAAGTGTACAGAGGGGTACTTTTTCATTCCTAAAATAAGGCTGACTCACATACACACACATAAAATATGCCAGCGTGGCATGCGGCCCCATTTTTCCAAATCCTTGGCCTGGGAATGTGGAGCTGACAGCCTGGCCTAGATGCAGAGAAAATCCAGGCTTCCCAGGAACTGAAAAGCAAATCGATCTTGGTTCAACATCTTCAGACATTCAACATTTAAGATTATTCAGCATTTCGGCCAGGCGTGATGGCTCACGTCTGTAATTCCAGCACTTTGGGAGGCCAAGGCAGGCAGATCACAAGGTCAGGAGATCAAGACCATCCTGGCTAACACGGAGAAACCCCATCTCTACTAAAAAGACAAAAAAAAAAAAAAAAGACTATTCAGCATTTCAACTGCCACACACAGCTCCCGGTTGTAATTCGGTCACAATTCTGGTTTTAGCTTTGTCTATACAAAGTTGTCTTCAAGGCTCTAAGGATCCAAAGGATCAAAGACATAAGTTTAGCTTCTGGTTTCCTGCGTAAAACTCTGCAAAGAGCCCTGCTGGCTACCCAAGAACACCTTCACCCTGCCAGGATCTGCGTTGAACCTCATGTGTCCCTGTGGGGACCTCAGGGTCTACTGAGATTGCAAGTTACACCTGGACCTTCTGATAAGCTTGACATGAAAATACAACTTGGATCCAAAGACTAAGGTTTCCAAACTCAAACCAGGACCTATGGTCTGGAATGTAGACTGGTAATGGGTGGGTCCCAGAGTACTAAACACTGTGTTTGTCACTTTGATCACTTACAGGAAACTCTAGTACGTTGGTTTTAGATACTGGTTTAGCATGGACAGATGCGTATGTGAATCCTGACTAGGTCTTCTGTTAACAAATCTTCCTTGAATGGATAACACTTGGGGTAGACAGAATAACACCCCCAACCCCAGCCCCACCAAAGATGCCCACAGCTTAATCCATTGTACCTGTGAATATGCTACCTCAAATGGCAAAAGGGACTTGGCAAAGGTGATTAAATTAAGGATCTTGAAATGAGATGGTGAATCCAGATTACCCAGGTGGGCCCAGTATTACAACGAACGAGGTTGTAAGAAGGAGGTGGGCAGAAAGAAAAGAACGAAAGCCTATCATTCACAGCAACATGAATGGAACTGGAGGTCATTATGTTAAGTGAAATAAGCCAGGCACAGAAAGACAAATAACCCATGTTCTCAATTATATCTGAGAGCTGAAAAGGTGGATCTCATGAAGATGGAGAGTAAATTGGTGGTTACCAGGAGCTGAGAAGGGTGGCAGGGAGAAAGGGAGAAAGAGGTTGATTAATGGCTATAAATACACACTTAGAAGAAATAAGACCCGGTGGCTGATAGATCAATAGGGCGACTATGGTTAACATTAATCAATTGTTCATTTCAAAATGGCTAGGCTTTCCTAGCAAAAAGAAAAGCCACATATTTAATGGGATGGATATCCCAATTACACTTTGATTACATGAATGTAGCAAATTCTCAAATGCCTCCTGAAAACATGTACATCTATTATGTTTCAATCAACTTTTTAAAAATTTTAAATGATAGCCAGGCATCGTGGTGCACACCTGTAATCCCAGCTACTCTGGAGGCTGAGTCATGAGAATCTCTTGAACCCTAGAGGCAGAGGTTGCAGCGAACCGAGATTGCACCACTGCACTCCAGCCCGGGCAACAGAGCAAGACCTCATCTCAAAAAATTAAAAATTTAGGCCGGGCGTGGTGGCTCATGCCTGTAATCCCAGGCCAAGGTGGGTGGATCACTTGAGGTCAGGAGTTCGTGACCAGCCTGGCCAACATGGTGAAACCTCATCTCTACTAAAAATGCAAAAATTAGCTGGGCATCATGGCGCATGCCTGTAATCCCAGCTGCTTGGGAGGCTGAGGCAGGAGAATCGCTTGAACCCAGAAGGTGCAGGTTGCAGTGAGCTGAGATTGCACCACTGCCCTCCAGCCTGAGTGACAGAGGGAGACTCCATCTCAAAATAAATAAATAAATAAAAGTTTAAAAATTCAAAATACGTTTAAATGAAACGAAGAGGTGGATAGGAGATCAGAGTGACTATGGGAACAAGGGTTATAGACAGGGAGAGAGAGATTTGAAGACGTCATGCTGGCTGTGAAGATGGAGGAAGGGGTCTACCCCACAGAGCAGGAACTCTACGTGATTCACTGATACCCGTATAGCACCCAGAATAGCATCTGGCACATAGTAGCCGTCCAATAAACAGTCATTGAATGAACAAAGAATTAGAAACTACTTGCAGGTTCTTTGGTGAGGGGGCAGGAACCCACATTTTGCTGGATTTTCCCAAGAGGCCAGCACTGTGTGAACCCTTATGTCATCTCCTAAGAAACACACTAGGATGAAGGTGTTATCCTCACTGCGCATATGAGATGAACAGACAGCACATCTTAACAAAACGCAAACTAGAAATTCTAATGCAAAGATGATCTAACATAATGTATGGTCCTATTATTGTGAAGTCACTGTATGGACACAATTAACTGATCTGAATTCGATATGGAAGAAAAAGATGAGCACAGTCTTAAATTTATCTACTATCCCTACTATCCCACCAAATGAGTGTATGCCCCCCAGTGAGTGAAACAAGGGAAGCACGAACTCACTGGCCTTATGTTCTGCATGTCTCTCATCGTATGAGTATCTTTCCAGGCTGAGAATGAGTCCAGTGTTTAGAGATACACATTTTCCCCTATGCAATACAGCCCTCAAATGGAAGACCGCTATTTCATTTGATGTTCAACTAAAGAAACATTACCAGCACTGGAGAAAACAAAACAAAACAAGACTAGCTATGTTGAACTAGTTGCAAATAATGGTTATCCTTGAGTTATTATTGATTCTTATTTTCCCCACAACCTGTGTCCAACCCACCAGCTGTCCCTGTCAATGCCCCCTACAAAGCATGAACTGAATCTGCTGCAACTTCCCAACCTCAACCCCACCACAAAGGAGGCCAAGCTTCCAGCATCTCCGGCCTGCACTGCTGCAAAACCTCCTAGCTGGCCTCCCTGCTTCCCCCACTACCAGCCTGCAATCCATGCTCCCCATAGAACACGAAAAGAGAATGAGAGAACTCGAAAAGGGAATTCAGATCATGAAGTGTCCTTGCTCAGAACTCTCCCAACACACTTGGAAAACAAACCCCAAAGCATCTATAATTCCCTGCCTGCTTGGCTCCATCCCGGGCCAGTCTCCCTGGGGCTGCTTTGTCCTGGCTTATTCTCTCCGCAGGAGCTTATCCTAGCTCTTCCCTCTGCCTGGATGATCTTTTTTCCTTCCATCTTTGCCTGAGGCTCCTTCTTGTCACTCAGATCTCGGCTGAAATGTCACCTCCTGGGAGAAGACTTTCCTTGTCATTTCCTATTACCATGTAGGTCTTTGAATAGTGCTTAATACCCACTGATGTGTGCTGACTGGAACCCTGCACCAGATGCCAGGCTCTATAAGAGCAGGGACCTTGCCTGCCTCAATCACATCTGCCACCCCAGTAGAGAAAGTTGCCTGACATATATGGGGGTTCCAAGTGTACCCCTCAAATGGATTTATTAAGGACACGCTTACTTATCTTTGTTTTTTGCTTACTTGGTTACTTCAGAACTTGCCCCAGGGAAAAAATATGTGAATCTGCTATAGAAAAGAAGTAGGTATTTTATAGATGAAGAAATGGACGGCTAAAGAGACCATGTGATTTGCCCAAGATCACACGGCTGTAAGTGGTGAGTTGGGCTTTAAACCCAGGCCTGTCCGATTCTAATTCTCAGGTTCTTTCTACCATGCCACAATGCCTTCTTGGGCGTTGGGAGCCCAAGAACAGGATGGAGCTGGCCTGGGAAGCACTTCAGCTAGGAGAGGTGGATGGGATCCCCAGTGGAGGTGCGCTGAAAGCCAGCATGCTGAGAGCTCAGGCTCAGGCGACCCCCATGCAGCAGCTCAGTGGCCTTGCAAGAAACTTAAGTTCTCTAAATTTCTGCTTCCTCCAGTGGAAAATGAAGACTATAGTAGCTGTTCCATAGGACAGGTATAAGGATTTCATGAGCTATTATACATACTATATTTAGCAAGGTACCTGGTGCACAGTAGGCCCTTCATAAATAGTAGCATCATTGCTATCAGTATCACCAGGACAAAATTTGCACATTCACAGTTATCTGCAAAGCCACACTAAGTCTTGACTCTACCAGTGGTGGGTCAGAGGGTCCCCCTAAATGACCAGTTACTTCTCCTTTCAGCCAAGGCTTCAACTGAGCAGGAGCTGACTATATGCCTCTTTGGGTAGACTTGAGGGAAGGGGCCCAGGAACCTTGTCCATATCTAGCTTGAGAAAAATGAGAACTAGTCTTTTTCTTTTTCAGAATCACCACCCAAGCCCCAGTGGTACTCATAGCTGCTAACTCTGGCTTGATTTCAATACCATCTTCCCCTTCTCAAACACCTGCCGTGGCCTATGGTGTCTGCACAAGTCCACTAGAATTAGACTATTAGAAAAAGCCCACTTACACTAATTTAAAAAAAATCTATCTCCCTTTTGCTTATTGTTGGCCCTTGTGACAATTTAGAGCGAGTCTAATGGTCCAGCCGTAGCCCTTTCCACATTGGGAAGCAGCTGTCAGTCTTCCTATTTCCTTCAGCGTCAGCTCTCACGGGAATGATCTCCAGCCCTATCACTCATCTGGTTACTCTTTCTAGTTTGTCTAAATCCTTTTTAAAATGCTGTGCTCAGAATGACATGCAGTACTCCAGATATGATCTGATAGTGTGGGGATCGCTATCACAACAGACAGTGTGGGGTTATAACCTCTCCATTCTCTATTTAACTCAAGGCATTGGGCAACCATGTGACATAGATACCTTTTGCAGTGTTTACTGTCAAATGAAATTCCGCAGTTGTTTTTCGACATCGGCCTCCAGCCTTCCCTTTCATGCATGGGTATGTCAGAGTCAGGGAATATTTTGGGAGGTTTTGGTGCCACAGAGTTGGCTCCACATACATCAAGTTCTGATGTTGCAACATTAGCTAGTAGCTGAGACCACATCAAGACCTTGTTCTAGGGTCAGGGCTTGGTGACAGTGGCCCAAGGCACACAGAGTCATAGATTTTTTTTTTTTTTTTTTAAAGACAGATTCTGCACTCTGTCGCCCATGCTGCAGTGCAGTGGCATGATCTCAGCTCACTGCAACCTCCGCCTCCCAGGTTCAAGCAATTCTCCTGGCTCAGCCTCCTGAGTAGCTGGGATTACAGGTGCATGTCACCATGCCCAACTATTTTTTTTTTTTTGTATTTTTTTAGTAGAGATGGCATTTCACCACGTTGGCCAGGCTACTCTCAAACTCCTGACCTCACATGATCCACATGCCTCGGCCCCTCAAAGTGCTGGGATTACAGGTATGAGCCACTGTGCCTGGCCCTGAGTCATAGACTCTAAGGAATCCAGTTTAGTGTAGGGCCTGCTGTTCTTGCCTCTGACCCAACAAGTGCAGGGATCCTTGGGAATTCTGCTAAGCTTTAAGATTTGACCATGGGTGCACAAGTCCAAAGATAAGTCAAAAACCACAGCATCAGTCTGTGTGTTTGTTATGAGTAAGATCCCAGACTTTCTTCAGTCCAGATATTTACCAGCAAAGATCCCAGCACATAGGGGAGAAACACCTGGAAGTCTGGGAGAGGTACAGAGAGACTGGGTCCCTGGGGCTGAGTATTAAGAAAGTAGGGTACACAGTGGTCCTCAGTAACATAGGAACCAAACGCAGATCAGGAATCAGAACAGGGTGCTGAGGTCAGACAGACACTGCTTCATGCTGCACTGCAGCCTTTCTAGTGTTCAGCAACCTATTTTATTCTAGGACATGGTCTCAGCTCCAGAGTAAGTGAAAGCGAGACAGAACCTTGTCTTTGTTCATTGTCCAGCAGCATGGGGTTCTGGTTCTCCTGTGTTCCTGGCTTCCCCAGTGGAATCCCTTTCTCTTACCTCCATCACTGGATTTCTAGAGAGATGACCAGTTCGGGGGCACATTTTTGTCTGCTGTTAATTAATAACAGTTTGTGTATCTATGGATGTTAAATGCAAGTTAATCACCTTCCATTTGGTATTTGTTTCCATTTTAAAAACCAATATCACAGTTCCTCCTTTGTCTCCAACCTAAGTTAGATGCTAATTAGAATTCTTTTTTGAATTCTCATTGTATGCTATGCTTTCCTTTCTTAACTTTGGCTACAAAGATAAAGAAAGATGTGTATAATGACTTGTTCGATGTCTATCTCCCTAATAGACTGTGAGGCCTGTGAAGACAGGAGCTACATCTTTCTTTCTTTTTTTTTTTTTTCAAATGGAGTGTCATTCTGTCACCGAAGCTGGAGTGCAGAGTTCAATGGCACGATCTCAGCTCACTGCAACCCCTGCCTCCCAGGTTCAAGCAATTCTCCTGCCTTAGCCTCCTGAGTAGCTGGGATTACAGGCATGTGCCATCATGCCTGGCTAATTTTTGTATTTTTAGTGGAGACGGGGTTTCACCATGTTGGCCAGGCTGGTCGAGAACTCCTGACCTCAGTGATCCACCTGCCTTGGCCTCCCAAAGTGCTGGGATTACAGGCGTGACCCCTGTGCCCAGCCAGGAGCTATATCCCCTGCACCCAGCCAGGAGCTACATCTACCTCATTCCATGGCTTATCTTCCAGTACAGTGCCTGGTGCACAGTGGTTGTTCATAAATATTAGATGAGTGAGTGAGTCAATGAGTGAATGAATGAATGAATGAGGCAAATCATGGTTACAGTTGGGACTTGACTTTGTGACCAAGATTTTTCCACTAGGCGCTACATCGCCCTGGGGTTAGAAGGTAGACCAGCTGGCCCACCCCATTTATCCAACCTGCTTGCAATCCTGTGTCTACCTGCAACCCCCAGCCTTATAACTCTAGTTAGTCATCTTTGAGGTCAACCCCTCCCCATTTTATTTGTGTCTTTCTCCATTTGTCTGTCTTTGGAATTCAATTTCTTCCATCTCTATTGTCTGGCTTCTGATATGGGACTGGCTTTCTTATTAAAAGGAATTCCAGTTGTGTTTTTTCTTGGTTTATTTTATTCTTGTCTAGGCTATAGGTGTCCCTGCATTCTGAGGCCACTAATGTTAGATTGTCTCTTTTTCATTTAGTACCTTTTGGGACCTTATCAAGCTGCTACTGCTCCAATCTGGCCTCACTGAAAGGCCTGATCATATACCCTGTTTGGTTCTATACAGGCTTTATACGATAAAGCCAAGAGGAGGTTGGGCACAGCGGCTCCCACCTGTAATTCTAGCACTTTGGGATGCCAAAGTGGGAGGATCACTTGAGCTCAGAAGTTCAAGACGAGACTTGGCAACCTCAGGAAACCCCATCTCTACAAAAAAAAAAAAAAAAAAAATTTAGCTGGGCATAGTGACATGTGCCTGTAGTCCCAGCCAGTCAGGAAGCTGAAGCAGGGGGATGACCTGAGCCCAGGATGTTGAGGGTGCAGGCAGCCGTGACTGAGCCACTGCACTCCAGCCTGGGTGACAGAGTGAGACACTGTCTCAAAAAAAAGACAAGGGGATTTCTAGTCAACATTTACTTACATTATAATATAGAACATGTAAGACTTTTTTGTTCTTCAAACTTCATAGTATTTTTGAGGAGGAGCTGCTTTACAATAGAATGGAGAGGAAAGAACTGGGGTGATACCTAAGACGAGAACATCAAGATACACTATTAAAGATCACTGGGCTACTCAAGATGCACAGGCTAGCAGTGTGACCATGAACAAGTCACTTTTGTGGGCTACAGCTTCCGAATTTGTAAAACAAAGGTATCAGTAGTTTCTCAGATGCCTTCGAAGTTTTATGATTCTCTAGCATTTTGAGTTTTTCAGAAGAAAGTTTGTTATAGAAATACTAAGAATAATTGCTAACTGCCCCAGTTTGCACACAATCAGAACTTTGTGTTAATTTGTTCATAGACCAAGTTGAACTTGCATTAGTGCCCTTGACAAAATAAGTATTGGCTTTTTAAATTCTTTAATTACCACGAGACTGGTGTATTGACATGGTTCTCAGAGCAATCTTAGAGAACAAGGAACTGTTTATGAGTCTAGTAATCTTGCAGTAGGCTATTCATTCTTTGGTATTTGGTTTGACCTTTATTTTTCTTTTTCAGTCACATTGATTTAAATATCATTAGCCCAAAAATGTACCAAAGGGTAACTGCATTGACTGTTATGGCTCCCCTCAGCTATTACTTTGCAATTCATCTTTTATGGCAAAGCTTCCCTCATAAATGAGCCAAGAGGGCTGAGTTTGAATCGCAGTCACACTTTTTGCAGCAAGTGGGGAGTGTACTTTAAATGTAACAAAAGCAAAGCACAGGATCAGGGAAAACATTTGCTAAATGGCAAATGGCTATTTGGATCTATTCAAGGGAGTGTATGTTATGAGAGGTGTGAATGGCACTATTCAATTGTATTATATTAAAAAGGAAAATGAGTGAAAATCAGTTCCCATGAAACTGTACATTTCCATTGAAAAATCTCCCTGGTTGATTACATTTTGGATCTTACAATTAACCCTTGTTAATTGTTCAATTAACCCATTAATATTCCACCATTTCTTAATTGTACAATTGTACAATGGATGTTTCGTGGAAGCTGGTGGGTCTATCCCTAAACTGAAGAACTACATTTCTTAATTGTACAATTATACAATTAATTAGTAGTACAATTAACAGGGGTTAATTGGAAGATTCAGTTGGCCAGGTGCAGTGCCTCATGTCTGTAATCCCAGCAATTTGGGAGGCCAAGGCAAGTGGATTGCTTGACCCAGGAGTTCGAGACCAATCTGGGCAACATGACAAGACTCTGTCTCTATGAAGCATTTTTTTTTTTTTTTTTTTAAAAAAGAAAGCCTGGCATGGTGGTAAGCGCCTGTAGTCCCAGCTACTCAGGAGGCTTAGGTGGGAGGATCCCTTGGAATTCACCTGGTGGCAGAGCAAGACCCTGACTGAGAGAGAGAGAGAGAGAGAGAGAGAGAGAGAGAGAGAGAGAGAAATTGTAAGATTCAAATAGCCCAAAGGTTTCTAAGAGCCACCAGAGAAGAAAGAGAATCTTTAGGGATGCAGGACTTATTGTTTCCAAATGTGATATCTTTCATCCCATAAGGTCAGAGCTCAGAAAAAAGGAAAAGAGTAAGAAAGCCTCTGTCACCTCAGAATTTAAACATTTTTGGTTAACTGTCTTTTTAAGTCTATTTTCTCTGACTGAAATTCCAAAGCTGGGGGAGATTTGGATTGTAGGGAAGGAGTCTCCCAGGTTCATCTTATCCTTGTTAAACATCTGTCATGATGTTAATGGATGTTTAGTGGAAGCTGGTGGGTCTAACCCTCAACTAAAGCAGTTTTTTCCCACAGCCCTTCTGCTGGATTTGTGTTGGGAACCACTTTTTATAATTAACCAGCCAGTGCCCTGTCTTTGGGGCAAAAGAAGAGTCAGCTACAATGTGACGAAAAGAAACAATGAAGAATTTAAAAACTCATATTCCTGTAGCGCTCCTGTTTTGTGGAGGGTTTGTGTATTTTCACTGTCCTCTCCTCTCCCCTCCCAATCTCCCTCCTCCCCAGCCTCTAAAATGCTTGCCCTTTCCATAGGTTACTCTTTTCTTATCCAAGTTTTCAAACCTGAATTTGCAACACCTACCATTCTTAAGAAATGGTGGAAAATTCTTCCAAGAATCCTCATTCATTCCAACTAAAGGAAGAAAGTATGTTTTCTCTTTCAAAAACTAGAGGCAGAGGGAGGGGCTTAAAGAAGCAAATAAAAGAGGTTTCAGAAGACTAAACAAAGTTAACAATGCAACTACTAAAAAGGGATTGGAAATTATTGAATTCTACAAACTTATTGTTAGATTTTTTTAAAAAAACTGGAAAACTGAAGAAGACACCAGATCAAAATGTAAAGTGAAGCCCCATATGATGCCAGTTCACCAAAACCTACTGACCTTCCACAGTGAGAGAAGTGTGGCTGATGTGCAGCCCAGGCAGGCACCACATCTCCAGGACCCCATGGAGTGGATGGTGGTCACGTGACCACATTCTGGCCAATGGATGAGAAGGGTGCTACTTCTAGACAAGTCTGTCACACTTTGCAAGCATGCCCCTCACGTTCTTCCCTTTTTTTTCCTGCTGGCTGGCTATCTGGGCATGACACCTAGACAGGCAAGACAAATGGTTTAGAGAATAGAGAATAAACAAGCAGGAAGCAACCTGGGTCCCTGAGTCACTGCGTGGACAAACCCTCCTGCTGATCAGGCGCACCACCCAGGACTGTTAGGTAAGAAAGGAATCAACTTCTATCTTACCTGAGTCATTGCATTTTTGGGGTCTTCTCATTACAATAGTTTATTGTGATGCTAACTGATAATTTAGGTGTTGGTCTTTAGCAATTAAATCACAAAGCATATGAACAATAGACTTTTTGTCAACGACCTTATGATTGCTGTATTGGCAGAGAATCCATGGCAGTGTGACTGTCCCCTTACGTGAGCCCTACGCAGGCAGAAACCATGCCTCCCCCTTACTTACCCTTTGCACAGAAACAGTGCTTCTGTGTGCAAGGCCAAAAATCACTGGGAGGTAATACTCCATAGTGACAATGGTGAAGACGACTAGCATGAATCTCTATGATGCAGGTCTGCACTTCTTTGTCTCCCCTGCTCATTTTCAAAGCTGGCTGAATTCAGCAGGAGGGAAATCTGGCATTAAGCTCAGCTGTTCTCTGTGCTGGGGTGCCACAGAAAATCAACAGTGGGCACAAGCGTACCCTTGTTCGTCCTTTCTCCAGGACACAACAGCCTCTTTTAATTGGCACCTCAGCAGTGGCAACTTCTTCCACCAAACCAGTCTCTATACTAATGTCCTGTTATCATGGAGGTCTCATCTACCTTTGATGGAGGGCTTTCCAATGTCCCTCTTGGGCTCCACTCCGTCCTCAATGCTAGAGCTTCTCCCAGTGCTGCTGCAGAAAGCCCTGAGCATCCAGCTATCCATCTATCCAGCTATCCACCACTTCCATTGCCTGACCACAGCCCCATCTCCCCACAAGCAAATAACAGCTTCAAGTTACCTTCCGGTTACCTTTTGAGATGGGTCCGTTCTTCTTGTAATGTTTGCAAAACATTGTAGAGGAGAGAGCTAACTACAGGAAATGCTCTAGGTTTCAAATAATACACATATAAATTGTCTATTCAAATCTGTCAGTTGACACCTGCCACTGAAGATGGCACTGGCAGAGTAAAGGATCTATCTTATTTTTGGTGGTATATTGGAGCAAAACTACAGAAATAACTCACATGTCCAGAAATTAGCAGCCTGACAACCTGACTCATCTTGAATACAGGTAAATATCAGGAAGTAACAAAAAGGGTCTCCAAGTGGCTAGCATACATGAGGAGAGTGGAAAACAAAGATGAAAAGTGGAAAACCCAGAGGAGAGTTCCTAAGACCGTATATTGAAGCCTTTGTTTTTTAAAAATAACAATTAGAATAAGTTAACTTCATCTGGATTCCCAGTCCACAGAGAGTCAGAAACAAAAGCTGAGAATGAAAAATGAAACCCCATTGGCTGAAAGTGATGTTGCAGACAAAAAAAAAAAGGAAGAAAGGAAAGAAAGAAAGAGAGAGAGAGAAAGAAAGAAAGAAAGAAAGAAAGAGAGAAAAAGAAAGAAAGAAAAGAAAGAAAGAAAGAAAGAAAGAAAGAAAGAAAGAAAGAAAGAAAGAAAGAAAGAGATATTAAAACAGACACAACTAAGAAACCCATAAGGCTCACAGAGCATTGAGTGAACAACTCACTGTCTGACTAGCCTCAGTTACCCTGAGGATACATCTGTATTATAACACAGTTTTACAAGTGATGCACCCAATAGGTTTTTGAGCTTTGGTGTTTAAAAACACTGGACTTTCATCAGTCTGTAAATTTTAATATATAATTGAAGTACTCACTATTCAGAAATGCCTTTAAATGAGCTATCATGCTGGTGCAGTGGCTCACGCCTGTAATCCAGGCACTTTAGGAGGCCAAGGCAGGTGGACTGCTTGAGCTCAGGAGTTCAAGGCCAGCCTGGGCAACATGGTGGAACTCCATCTCTATGAAAATACAAAAATTAGCCAAGTGTCGTGGCATGCGCCTGTAGTCCAGTTACTTGGGAGGCTGAGGTGGGAAGACAGCCTGAGCCCCGGAGGTGGAGGTTGTAATGAGCTGTGATTGCGCCACTGCACTCTAGCCTGGATGACAGAACGAGACCCTGTCTCAAAATAAATAAATTAATAAATAAATAAATAAGCAAGCTATCGTTACCTCATTATAGAGATAAAAACCTCTGGATTAATAGTTCTGTGTTGTGCACACTCGTTGTGTAAATTAGACTCCCCATTTCCTCATGTACACTCATGCCAAGAGGCCAGCACTAGGAAAACGTCAGCATTCCTTGTGGTTATAAGTTGACAACAGAAACAATCCATAGTCTGGAGGTGACCAGGACTCTTGGAAGATGGAGGAACATTTTTCTTGAGGGTAGGTGAAGGCTATAAGCCAAAGGCAGAGGCTGAGGCACGAGTCAGAGCATGCCTGTGGCTTCTGCATCTGCAGAGCTGGAAGTCTTATCTGCAAAGTTAGTGAAGGAGGCAAAGCTCTCACCTAATATGCTCTTCCACTCTTTCTGTACTTATCTGACACCTTCCTCTTCTTTTAAGGTTGAGTTCAAGCTGTATCTTACAGTGCCATTTATGACCACATTGGCCCTTCCTGGTCTTCCCCTTCTTAAGTCTGCTCATATGATTATCTAAATTACTCACTTGGCACTTGTCATAACTGTTTTATTTTGTTGTGTATGTATTGTTAAAACAAATAAGAAGGAAGCCATTAGCTGGAGGTTGTCTTGGTAACCAGAGCTCTTATATAAGCAAACCAGAACTTAACTTGAAAACATTTCTTGTAATTGACTTTAAAACAAAATGAGCCTCAGCCAATTGCAAGCAGCCAACTAGCCAATTGGTTATATAACTAGAGACCTCACATCAGACCATACTCAAATAAGGCAAACACTTATCTATAGCCAATCAGGTAATTTTGCCTCTGTGTTCAGTCTATAAAAGCTTGCTGCTCATGCTGCTGGAGTGAAGCTCCCTGAATCTCTTTAAGTTCTGATCACTGCCCAACTTATGAATCATTCTTTGCTCAAATAAAATCTGTTAAATTTGTCTAAAGTTTTTCTTTTAACAATTTGGTGTCATAAGTGAGATCTGAAGGAACCCTTATGCAACTCTCAGGAGCAGTGAGTGATGAAGCAAAGGTACACACCAGGCTCACTGTGCCCACTGCTCTTTCATTACAACTGAAGGTCATGGGTGAGTTCCTTCTTAGCTTCCAACTCTGCAAGTTTACATTTTGAGCTCTCTCTGTAACTCTATTTGAATAATTATTTAGCCAGATTGGATTCAAAATCAGATTGGATCTGATAATTAACTTTACTGAATCCAGTTAGGAGCCTTGGGTAGGTGGCTTCTGAAAACAGGTTCTTTTAAGATTCCAGGAGTCTGGGACTTCATTTTGTGAGACACTAGCTACATTTATGTACAAAACTTATGGTTCAAAAACCTGTGTATTTTTGGATAAATAGGTTAACCTTACTAAAGATAACATAATTACAGTGTTAACAACAGGGAAGTTTAAACTGGCAAGGCACATTAGAAGAAAAAAGCAGATTCCAAAGTGCCTCAAAAACAATGGGATGGATTTTTAATTGGCATGCTGAGGCTTCTAAAAAACTAAACGAATCAAAGACTGCCTTTCCAAAAGACTCTTTACAAAAGGCAAATGAGAACTTTTAAGTATTTTTTCCACAAATACTCATTGAAAACTTTAGCCATCTAGATCGGTAATGTTGTTCCACGGGCCAGAAATACAGCTCAAATCCAGATTTTTTAACAAACGAATGAGCTTTATATTATTGTACCTGGCACATGACTCACACAATTAAAATTTAATAATGAAAGCCTCAGCCAATCACAAACAGCCAACCAGGTTATTGGAGATACAATTAGGGACCTCCCATAGGACCATATCCAAATAATGCAAATAACTCATTATATAATACTCAAATACAGCTATATTGTATAGACAGAACAATACATGAATTGTTCTCTGCTGAAGTAAACTCTATTAAATTTAATCTGTGACAAGACATGGTGGCTCATGCTTATAATACCAGCACTTTGGGAGGCCAAAGCAGGAGGACTGCTTGAGCCCAGGAAGTAGAGGATGCAGTGAGCTATGATCATACCACTGCATTCTAGCCTGGGCAACAGAGCAAATCCCCATCTCTCAAAAAAATAAAAAATAAATAAAATAAATGTAATTTGTCTAAAGTAATTTTATAATGGTATATATGTATGCACATATGTATATATTTTAATTTTTGTTATAGTATAATTTATATATTTCAAATAGACAAAAATTAATATCATTTACAGTATCTTAAGATAAATTGCCTTTGAATGAGAGCTTTCTTCTCTATAGTTTGAGGTCTACAAGACATAGCTAGAAAACTTACTACTGTGGAGAACAAAGACCGATGAAATCAAATGAGGGAAGGGGAAGACCTATATTTTTTTCTTTTTAATTTCTGTAATATTGTCGTTCAGGTGACTGAGAGAGTTTCATATTTTCTTTAGATATCATTAGGCACCAAAGCTCTTACAGAACAACTCTAATGCAATATGAATTCTACCACTTTGCTAGCACTGATATGTGGCTCTTGGGCCCACTATTCTATTAGCACTATTATATTCATATTGATTTTGTTACAAATCTTACAAACTGGGGGTGCTTCTGGGGATTTAGGTTCACATTCCATTTTAAGGTTGTATATTCGGTTTTTATAAATTGTACTTGGAGGCCCAATGATTATCCTTGTCCATCTTGTATTATATCCTCATTATCTTCTAGACCCCAAGCTAACTGTGCCATCACTTCTTCCTTTCTGGTCTTCTTTGAGTTCTTGCAACAGTCAGAGATTTCAAGGCACTTTTATTCCTGAGCCTGCAGTGGCTGCCATCTTGCATCAGCATTCATGGAGATGGTATTTAAAACCGTGAGTGTGTGTAAGGTCACCAGTGGGGTGAGTGTTCATAGAGATGAAAAGAGATACAAGGACTCCTACTTCCTCTTTCCCCAACTGTTTTAGGGGGAAAAAAAGTCATAGGCTGGTGGCAAAATTAATTCTTCAAGAATTTGATTCTGTTTTAAGATAAGCATGTGTGAGTCCACACTTTGGAGCATGCAGAAATGAGAAATGAGAAGACAATCCAGCAGCTAAATGACAGAACCCATGGAGAGAAACAAATGCAGCAAATCCTCCAGTTACTACAGCTCACCCAGCTGTGCTGCTCAACTGCCTGTGGTTGTGGTTGAGCTTTATATTTTGTTTGTTTTGTGGCATTCTCATTTTGGAAGGAAGAGAAAAATAACTAGAAAACAAAGTTTCATCAGTATTTTAGGACAAAAAGTAACTTCCAGTCTCTATCCTTCAACTTTTGACAGTCTTTATTCCTGTTCTAAGAGCCGATGAGTAGAGTTAACCTAAAAAGCCACAAGGTCTTGGCTAAGCAAACAAAGGTTCAGTTTCATTCACTGAGCTATGCTTTAGAAGGCGGAGGTAGTAGGTAGGTAGATAGGTAGATGATAGATAGATAGATAGATAGATAGATAGATAGATAGATAGATAGATACAGATATACAGATAGAGTTGTATACATAAAATATATATTACGTAAATATATACATAGGAAGGATGACATTAACAGGCATTTTCTAGTAAATTAAGAGTTAGCCAGGAAATGTAACCATGACACCTTTAACCCCCTCTCCCCAGAATCCCAGTTGTCCTGGTATTTACTAGACACTATTGTTGAACCCATGGGAACAAGACTTTTCAAGTTGTTTTATATATATATATATATATATATATATATTTGAAAAGTTGTATATATGTATATACACACACACAGGCACACAAGTAATAAGGCTGGCATTAACAGACACTATTGCTGATTTTTCAAAAACATATATATATTACTGTGATCAAATACACATACATAATCTTGAGCATATATTATATAGTGAGGCTGTCATTAAAAGACGATATTGTTGATTTTTCCACAATACTGTAATACTCTCCTTCAGGTGGCTGGGAGAGTATATACACATATATAATATAATATATTTGTGTGATATAATACACATATATAAATAATCTCACACATATATTACATATATAACATTCATAGTAAGGCTGGCATTAACACACACTATAGAACCACTGGGAGCAGGACTTTTCAAGTTCTAAGCACATAAGCCACATTAAACAAAACACTACCCAGCCCTTAGAGGATTAGGCTGTGGGTCTTTGACTTCTGTGTGCCTTTTGCCACGTTGGCAGGTGGTACAACTCCTCTTAAATCATCAACCCCAAGCCGTCCAGTTTGCCACAGCCGAAACAACCTTGGCCCTAACAGATGGAACAACGGTCCCACTCGAGGCAAGTTATCAATGAGGTTGTTAGCAGGAACTTTCCTTATTAGCTTCTGCCAGAAATTACAGTCGGGATGCCTCGTGACTTGGAATAGCGGCGGTAGGAACCTTGCCAATCAAGAGCATCTGTTTCCAAGTCATCTGCAGTGGCCCCAGAGAGGCTCCACCTGATTGGCTGGGAAGGTCATATACCTAGCCAATCAGAATATTCAAGAGGCCAGTTAAGCAATTTCGTCCACCCTGGAAGATTAAAATGGAGCCTGAATGTACTATTGTAACATCTCTTTTCTTTTTCACCAGCCAGACTATCCTCTTGCTTACGTGGCTTTTCTAAAAGACCCAAGAAAGTAACCCCAAAGCTATTGTAGAAAAAAAGATAGCATTAAAGATTTTTGCCCTTTCATTCTCTTCCTCCTCTGGCCACGCCTCTCCTCTCCTCGGATCTTTCACAGCCTGGAGGGAGGGTCTTGCATCTCACTCCACCATCTTCTTTTTTATTTTTATTTTTTGGATTTTTTTTTTTCTTTCTCTTCTGGAACTAGAGAGCTGAGTTTTGAAAGTCAGTTTCAGCGAAGCCTTTTTTTTTTTAATTAACATTTTGTGTTAAGTGATACTGCCAGGCTAGGATTGACTTACCAAATAAAAGGACATTAGAAATCCACAGAGTCAGATCAATCTTTAATGAAAACCCAACACAAATTAAAAAGCCACCGCTAAGTAGCAAGGGGTTGAAGGCAACTCCAACTAATTGGCAGCCATAGCGCTTTCACTTGCTGCCAAATTCCGGAGAACTGGCTCTCAATGCTGCGCCACCAAATAAGGCCAGTTCTCTACAGGGCTTGTGTTGCTAAGTTGCTAATTAGGATAACGTGGGATACAGAACACCCCTAACCGAATGCAGTTTCTTCTCAGCATAGATGCTTCCCTGAAACTCCAGGAGATTTAAATGCCCCCTAAAACTCTCCCTGCCATTTTGTAACTTGCATCAGTTAGCGGTGATGAAATTGCTAAGCAGTATCTGTTCTCACTACATAACGCTATACCCACTCCCTAACAACGGCAGGACTGAACAGGGTAAAGAGCTCATTGGAGTAAGAAATATATTTCGTATCAGTGGGGCAATAGACCATGCTTTATCAAATCCAGGTCTTTTAAATGATAATACAGAATGATGCTCTTTGCAAACTTTAAATTGTCAGGGTTTTTCTAATCAACTGATTGTTTAGAGCCATTTTTCTCACCCGTAGCTGCATATGAGAATCAGCTGGGTTCGGGTAGTGGTGCCCAACAGAGGCCAATCATTCAGAAACTCTGAAGATGGAGCCCAGACATCAGTGCCTGCCTTTCCCCAGTCTCCCTAGCTGACTGCAATATGAAGGTGGGATTGAGAACTGCAGTTCCACAGGAATAAAGTTTATTGTTTCAAATGATTTTTACAAATGTAGAATGGGAAAAAAAAAAGTGTTGTGTAAGGTATTTTAAAACCTGATCATTTACAATCCCTATTTAGCCTTATAGCTTTGGATACTCATTCATGGAGTAGGTTTTACCTGCAAAATTAATATTTTTCTCAGAGGTGTCGAGAAAATGATGAGGAGCTGTATCAGTTTGCTGGGGCAGTTATACCAGAGTACCATAGACTAGGTGGTTTGAACAACAGAAACTGATTTTCTCCCTTCTGAAGGCTAGAAGTCCAAGGTCAAGGTGCTTGCAGGGTTGTTTTCTCTGAAGCCTCTCTCCTCGGCATGTAGATGGCCATGTCTTATTGCTTCTTCACGGATTCTTTCTTCTGTGTGTGTCTGTGTCCCAATCTCGTCTCAAGGATATCAGTCATGTTTGGATTTGATCCACACTTATGACCTCACTTTACATTAATTACCTTTATAAAGGCCCTATCACCAAACAGTCACATTCTGAAGTACTGAGAGTTAAGATGCCAACGTATGAATTTGGAGGTGGGGGGCACAATTCAGTACATAAAAGGCATTTTGAAGTGATAGTGGATGTTATGTGTGTGTGTGTGTGTGTGTGTGTGTGTGTGTGTGTGTGGATGCGGTAGAGTGACAGTTAAGATTGAGTGCCAACTAGATTGGATGGAAGGGTGCAAAGTATTATTTCTGGGTGTGTCTGTGAGGGTGTTGCCAAAGGAGATTAACATTTGAGTCAGTGGACTGGGAGAGGCACACCCACCCTCAATCTGGGTGGGCAGCATCTAATCAGCTGCCAGCACAGCTAGAATAAAGCAGGCAGAAGAAGGTGGAAGGAGCCGACGTGCTGAGTCTTCCAGGCTTCATCTTTCTCCTGTGCTGGATGCTTCCTGCCCTCGAACATCAGACTCCAAATTCTTCAGCTTTTGGACTCTTGGATTTACACCAGTGGTTTGCTAGAGCCTCTCGGGGCGTTGGCCACAGACCGAAGGCTGCACTATCGGCTTCCCTACTTTTGAGGTTTTGGGACTCAGAATGGCTTCCTTGCTCCTCAGCTTGCAGACAGACTATTGTGGGACGTCAACTTGTGATGGTGTGAGTCAATGCTCCTTAATAAACTCCCCTTCATATATACACATCTATCCTATTCTGGCCCTCTAGAGAACCCTGATACAGGTGGTGGTGCTGGGAAGGTGAAAATTCCTCTTTAAATCAAATTTATTTTTTTAAAAAAAGACACTGAGAATAGATTCAAAAGTTGCCTGGGCATGTGTAAAGATCTTGAACCACGGCCCATCATGATGGGAAGATTGTGCCAGAGGAAGGAAGTCTTAGGACCCACTGAAACTCTAGTGCTGCGGGTTTCCAGGAGATGCCTTGTAAAGACGTAAAGAATCACCTACTCATTTGAATTCTTCAATTGCCTCCATTGTTCAGAATGCACCAGACAGCCTAGGATGCTCTAAGAGCATGGCGTAATAGGCCTTCCCTTCCCAAAAGATCTCTCCTTTCTTGGCTCCTCAAATGCTTGCAAATTTTATATTCATTGAAAAGGTAAAGCAGTCTGTACAATGTGTGAAGTCTTGGTGCTCTTGAATTGTAGACATCTGTTTAGTTAAAACACTGAAAAATAATTTTTTTCACCTTAATAATCCACTCCCTAAAATTGTGGTTCCTGGGAAATATCGCCTCAGTGCGTTTGAACTTTAGTGCTGAGTTTAGCTTTTATAACATTGCATATTTCCAGAAATGAGAATGAGAGCAAATATAGAAACAAAACAGAAGGAGAAATTACAATATCTGTGTGTGTGCGTATGTTCATGTGTGTATGTGCGTATGTTCATGTGTGCACACATGTATATGTATCATGTGTGCATGTGTGTACATGTGTGTGCATGTGCATGTGTGAGCATGTATCTGTGTATACACGTGTGTATGTGTGTATATATGTGCACATGTGTGCATGTGCATATACACATGTGCAAGTGCATGTATTATGTGTATGTCCACACATACATATGTGTATGCATGTATGTGTATTGTTCATGTGTGTATGAGTATGTGCCTGTGTATGTGTGCACATGTGTGTGCACACAAGTGTGTATGTGCATGGATGTGTTGAGTGTGTGTATGTATGGGGTGCACAGTTAAGGGAGCATAGGACCAGAAAACGCAAAATACAAGCTCAGGGAGGATGTGATCTGACCTGGTTGTGGATTTAGACCTGTCATGAGTGTGAGTTAGTTTGAATGAATCTCCCAGTTCCTTGACTTATCCTACAACAAGAACAAAGATAATCACCATTTGTGCAGATTCTATGCCCCATATCAATCGCTGTGCCATTCCTCTAGCAGAGTAGATTGTTTCTGAGAACCTTACATGTGCATAGCACTGTGCAGAGAGCCATGGCCAACACAAAAAGGTGCATGATATACTCAGTGAGCTTGGAGTTTAGTTGGACAGACAATGTATACTGTCGGAGATAAAGCCGGACACTAACGAAAGTGGCAAGGACAGCTTTTAGCAGTCGTATACTATTGCAATAGGGAAAAGAGTCCAGCATGAAGTGACCTCAATTTTGATTTGTGCAAAGTTAACCAGACATTTTAAAAAGAGAATGAAGGACTGGGGAAGGAGACAAGGGGGTTTCTCAATAGAGTCAAGGAAGTGAAAAATTACGAAAAGTGGAAGAGGGGACATGAACCCAGCTGGGTTTGCTCACTGACTCTGATTGAAGTTAGGCTTTCATCCTCCCATAGAGCCTGGGAAACAGGGGCCCTACCTTCAAGTGATGGCTGCAACCAACAGTAAATTCTTTTGACAGCCTTGAGTTTTCTCAGGTAGTCACACTAAGGGAGCTGGGGTCATCCTAGGGACGAGGCTTTGAACTGTCAAAAATTATGTTAGTGCTTGTTCAAGTCTATAGGCCAAAGTTGAGGCCTAGTAGAGAAGAAGGCTCAGAAGAGCCTGGTTAGGGTGTGGTCAAAGAGAGAGTCTTTGTCAATACACAAGTCCAAAGATACACAACACCGTGAAACTTACAGAGCAATGCAAAGGCTATCATGGGGTTATGGTATACAAATGCCCGTGTAGTGCCCCAAAAGAAAAAAATTCAATCCTTTCAGAACCAAAGGCTTCAGTGAGAGATGTGAATTCGGAGCCATCCCTGTGGACTGGACTTAGGACAAGGAAAACAGGGAAGAGAAACTTCGAGAATGAAAGGACTGGGATAGTTCTCATAATGAGTCAGGCACCACCATTTTCATTTGTTTGTTTTTCACTGATTTGCACTTATCAGATTTCAAATTCAGGAGAAAAGCACTGAACACATTTGTAATAAAATGTAAGTCAAATTTGAGTCAATCTCTCAGTTTTGAACAGGTCTTTCTTTCAGTCCCATTCCTACTCTAAACAAAAAGGCAAACAAACATATGACTTCATGACCAGCTCACACTATGATTACTGTCAGTGGGAAACTAGATCTTGGCTAGGGGCATGGAAATTTAAAAGGGTTCAATTTGGCCCTCAATAAAAACTGGTCATTACAGAACATGTGAGACCTGACCCTCCTTCACGAAACTGCCCAGTGTGGCTAAAATTGGCCTCCTGAATTAGAAATTGCTCAGGAGAGAAAACACACCATGGGCTGAGGGACTTTCAAAACTCTTTTCTTGGTCCAAAAGGAAACTAGGCCAAAAACAGCAACCAGAGTGGACTCAAGTTTATAAAAGCTATCTAGATTCTACCACAGGAATGTGAAGGAAACTTAGGTCTTTTCTTTTTCTTTCTTTTTTTTTTTTTTTTTTTTTTCTAGACAGGGTCTCATTCTGTCACCCAGGCTTGAGTACAGTGGCATGATCTTGACTCACTGCAACCTTGACCACCTGGGCTCAGGTGATCCTCCCACCTCAGCCTCCTGAGTAATCGGGACCACAGACAAGCACAACCTATGCACAGATAATTTTTGTGTCTTTTCTAGAGATGGAGTTTCACCATATTGGCCAGGCTGATCTCGAACTCCTGGACTCAAGTGATCCACCTGCCTTAGCCTCCCAAAGTGCTGGGATTACAAGGGTGAGCCACCGTCCCCGGCCATTAAGTCTTTTCTCAAGCAGTATCTTTTTATCCAATTTGCTTTTGAAAAAGAATTTGCTGTCATGTTTGGGTTACTGTCCCTTTTCTACTATTTTTTTAAAAATTTAGTCACTTTAAAATAAAAGCCAAGAATATGGGATGCCATAGGAGATGACTTCTTAAGCGAGGAAGACTTTTCTCACTCTCCTGCCCCAGGCTGCAATACACATGGCGCAATACTAACCTGCTCTTTGGGCCTGGGAATGTGTGATCACATGATCTGATTTCCCTTTATCACTCTGAGACCCACGTGCCCCTTCATCTACCTGGTAGGCCAGCGAGCCTTTGTGCAACCCATTTGCTCTCACACAGACCTCAGGCTGTCACTACCCTGTCTTGTTGTTGTTGTTGTTGTTGTTGTTGTTAGTAAGAGGGAAAATACATCCTTGTAAATGGTTAAGTCTACTATTGTAAGTAAGCTGAGATAATTGCATGGCTTTGGGCGAGTCGCTAACTAGCTTTCCTTGTTCATAGCTCTCCTGGGTAGGCAGTGGAAGGAAATGACAGTGAACTCGAAATGTGAGTGAGACTTCTCCTCACCCAGCTCCATGCTTTGTCCTCCTCCTCTTTCCGTTCCTCCTCTTGGAAACATATCCAGCTGGATGCAGCATCCAGGACCCTAATGAATATTCCCTTCCAGAATCTCCACCTTCACCCAACTGTTTTACCTCCCTGGCAATAAAACCATCATGAAAAAACCTGCGTTGTGCCACATTTTTGAGGGTATACTCTATACTGGCTTTCCAGTCAGGAAGATCAAGGGGTAGTGGCAACAGATGACTCATCAACTGGCTAGACAACTTCAATATGTGAATTTAGTGGTATCTGTGCACATGCCAAGGGATCTGGCAGCAGAGATGGTAGGCCCAGTATAATGCAGCTATTGTTATTCCACACCAGCCTGTTTCCCTGGGGAACACAGACCCAGGGTTATCTTGTGAGATTTCAAGGGAAGCTCAAACTCTGAAGGTTTATGTGAGATGTTCTGATTTTCCAAGGCTGGCTTAATTTCTTAAAACATTGCAAGAGCCAAACAAACTATGTCTGAAAGCCACCTTTATCCTTAGGCTGCCAGTGTAAAACCTCTGCCACTCTCATGGCTGCCATCTTGAAAGGGACTAACACCTCCTGTTTGCATGGGAATTAACATGCCATTGAATGTGAATGCCTACCTGGTTGCTTTCATACATTAAAAATGCAATACATATCTTCTTCCTGGTGTCTAGTTAAAAAACACTGCAATACAGAGTTACGGATACTGGTGGCTAGCTATGTGTTTTGTTTTGCTTCATTTTGTTTTAGAAATAGGATCTTGCTCTGTCACCCACGCTGGGGTGCAGTGGTGCAACTGTAGCTCACTGCAGCCTCGGCCTTCTGGGATCAAGCAATCCCCACTCCTCAGCATCCCTAGTAGCTAGGACTACAGCTATGTGCCACCACACCCAACTAACAAACAATGTCTGAAAGCCACCGTTATCCTCATGCTCCCAATGTAAAACCTCTTTTATTTTTATTTTTTGAAGAGATGGGGTCTTGCTATGCTGCCCAGGCTAGTCTCATACTCCTGGCCTCAAGTGATCCTCCTCCCTTGGCCTCCCAAAGTGCTGGGATTGCAGGTGTAAGCCACCATTCCCAGTCGTTAGCTACGTTTTTTGCTGTCTTTGTTTGTAAGAAGGACAGCATGCTCAGACGCGCATTCATCACACAAATACTGAATGGTGACTCTGCCTGGGACTGACTCCAGCTGCCTCCCAATGAAAAGGTCTCTCCTCCAAAATCAAAGCCAAAGATACTGTTAAGGCAGAAAAACAATCTTGAAAAAATGTTACTTTTGTGTTTGCATAATAAATGATATTTGAGGACCAGGAATTGTGGAACTGGCAGTACCACAGCAAAGGACTTTCTGGTAAATATTTTATTAATGCTGAAAGAAGAGTAGGGTCTCAGTGGAGAAGAGCTAAAAGGAGGACAGGGCAGACATCTCCATCCCCTCTTTCCTCCGTCTGCTGGTGAAGGATGGGCAGGCTTAGTTAATGAGGTACCAGGCTAGCTTTTCCTAATGGGGAAGACTCGGGAGTAAGGTGTGGTGTGAGCCTTATGGAAAAACCCACATTCAACCCAGACATCAGCAGGGATAACATATTACATGGGAATTATAGAAAACTGTTCCATTTCAGTGTTCTCTCTCTGCTTTGCTAGACATTTTCTCCAGTCTCCTGCCCTTTTTTCAAGCCTCCTACACACTTGGCATCATGCTGCTCTCTGGCTGCCCAAGACTACCTTCTCCTCCCACATTCATCCACATACCAATACCCTCGGCCTGTGTCAAAATTTCCACTGCCTCTGGCCCAATGCAAGCTTGCTCTAATTATCCAATTGCAATAGAGGGAAGGTAGGGCTCACTTCAACTTCTAGAGAAATGCTGTCCAATAGAAACATTATGTGAACCAGAAATGTAAGCTACAGGTGTAATTTTAAATTTTCTACTAGTTACATTTCATAAGTAAAAAGAAAAAGTAAAATTATTTTTAATAATAGATTTTATTTAACTCAATATACCCAACATATTATCATTTCAATACACCATCGGTATTTTTCAAAAATTATTAATGTGATATTTTACATTCTTTTTTCTTTGCACTCAGTCTTTAAAATCCAATGTGTACTTTATACTTACGGCACATCTCTATTTGAACTAGCTACACTTAAGGTGATCACAGTCGTTAAGTGGCTAGTGACTATTATTTGGATTGCACAGACACTTCCTTAATGTGGGATAGTGATTAAATTCCCACCTCCTGGCCGGGCATGGTGGCTCATGCCTGTAATCTCATCTCTTTGGGAGGCCGAGGTGGGTGGTTCACTTGAGGTCATGAGTTAGAGACCAGTTTGGTCAACATGGTGAAATCCCATCTCTACTAAAAATGTGAAAAATTAGCCAGACATGGTGGTGGGTGCCTGTAGTCCCAGCTACTCGGGAGACTGAGGTAGGAGAATCGCTTGAACCCAGGAGGTGGAGGTTGCAGTAAGCCGAGTTTGCACCATTGCACTCCAGCCTGGGTGACAGAGTGAGACTCTGTCTCAAAAAAACAAAAGCAAAAACAAAATGAAAAATAAATTCCCACCTCCAGGTCTTTGTCAATCATATAATGCAATAGTGCCTAGACTATCCTATACTTACATATTTGAATAAAAATTAAAAATGTTTTTAACAAATTAAAATGGTCCGTTGACTCTTACAGAGTCAAAGGCAACTAGGCTAAATGAAAAATTCTATATTTAGACTCACAAAAGTCAATCACGTAAATACAGAATGAGGAAGACTGGCTTGGGAGTTCCTGTCGGGGGGAAAAAAATCTGTTTTTAAGTTAAGCACACTCTTCTAAGAGCTGCACTGTGATAGGATTTTTTTAAACAGATGCAATTGATGTAGCAACTCAGAACACAGGAAATAATCGGTCAGAGCCAGAGCGGGATTTAGGGGTGTCTCTACCATGCAAGTGTCCAGAAATCCAAACTATAAGATGCTCCATGTCATTGGATGTGTAAAGAGAGGAAAAAGAATGTCATTTTCTTGAATTCTTGGTTGAATGTGATACTTTGTGATACGCTCATTGCAGTGAAGGCTGAGCTCTCTGAGGACAGTTTGAGTTATAATTGAGAGTCATTAAATGGCTTACAAGGAGGTGGGTGCAGTTATCTATAGTAGGACTAACGTTTGCTAGTAGGGTGTGCAGGACTGGGCCAGAGCTGAACTGATTAGAGCAGTAGAGAAGAGGACCAGAGCTGCTGCGAGCCAGTCTTCCTTGCTTGACCCCAAGTCACAGTTAGACAAATATTGAGAGCATATCCATTTGAAGGAACCTAAAATTATTAACTAATGACTATTATTTATTAACTGCCTAGGGTACCCGTAGTGTCCTCATCAGGCTATATCTAGAGAAGTGAGCTGAATTTTAAACATAACATTTCAAGATTGACTTTGGCAAATGTTAGCTTCTGAGGAGTGAGGGAGAAGGCTGAGAGGGATGAGGGAACTGTTGAGATCCAGAGCTGGAGTAAGGAGTGAGTCTGCCATGAAGGTGTCCAGGGATCCAAACTATAAGATGTTCAATATCACTGGATGTGTAAGGAGAGGGAGAAAATGTCATTTACCAGAATTCTTGGTTCAATGTGGTACCTCCTGATATGCTCATTGCAGTGATGAGTATATGGTCAATTGCCTCCCATGTGAGTTTGAAGAACTACAGACGTGCAACCTAAGAGAGAAGACTAAGAATATTCAGAAGATTCTCATGTAAATGGTGGAGCAGATTTATCCTAATCTCTGATTCTCTGGACATCAACTGGGTATCCAACAATTCAGTTTAATTCTGACACTACCTGGAGTTAGCCTCAGATCCCACAAGTTAAAGGGGCTCAGTCCCACACACTGCTCTCCCTTAAGACATCAGTTATAGGTACTGGGTTCCCAGGTCACCTGAATTTGTCTGACTTTGCTACAAGTTCCAGGGTTTGCAGCATGCCACCCGCCACCTGCCCTCGCCCCACGCCACATTTCCTTAATTTGCTAGAACAACTCAGAACTCAGGAAAATGCCATACTTGGAACTATATTTTATTATAAAGGATGGGAATGAACAGCCAGATGAAGAGGTACATAAGATGAGGTCCAAAAATGTCCTGAGCACAAGAGCCTCTGCCTCTTTGGAGTTGAGGTATGCCTCCCTCCCGGCACATGGATGTGTTCACCAACACAGAAGCTCTCATTCAGATTTTACGAAGGTTTCATTACGTTGGCTTGATGGATTAACTCATTGGCCATTGGTGATTGAATTCAATCTCCACTGCCTCTTTCCTCCCCATAGGTTGGGGACAAGAGCTGAAATTTCTAACCCTCAAATAATGGCGTCATGTTTGACCAGCCCCCATCCTGAAGCTATCTGGGAGTCCCACTCTGGGGGTTCATCTCATTAGCCTGAACTCAGGTGTGATAGAAAGGGGCTCTCATTACAAATAACAAAAGACACTCCTATCACTCAGGAAGAAGTTCCAAGGGTTTTTGTTTTGTTTTGTTTTGTTTTTAGAAGCTCTGTGCTAGGAACTAGGGACAAAGACTAGATATATTTCTTATTATGCCACATCTGTATTATCCCTAGCATGGATTACTAGTGGAAGTTACAAGAAGGCAAGTTTTAATTAAACATGAGAAAGGATTCCCTCAAAATTAGAGAGTCCCATCAGTTGAAGGTTGGTGTTGTCCCCTGGGTACTAAGACAATGAGCACCCTGCTCTCCAGATACAGCAGAGGGAGGCTAAGCTTATTAGGGTTGTAGAGATTCTCATTTAAAAAAAAAAAAAAAAAAGTTGAATCCAAATACCTTTAAGATTTTACCAGCTGCGTATGGTGGCTCATGCCTGTAAACTTAGCACTTTGGGAGGCCAAGGCAGGTGGACTGTTTGAGCCCAGGAGTTCAAGACCACCTTGGGCAACATGGCAAAAACTCGTCTCTACAAAAAATACAAAAATCAGCCAGGCATGGTTGTGCATGCCTGTAGTCCCAGCTACCTGGGAGACAGAGGTGGGAGAGTTGCTTGAGCCTGGGAGGTTGAGGCTGCAGTGAGCCAAGATCGCACCACTACACTCACCCTGGGCAACAGAATGAGACCCTATCTCAAAACATAAAAAAAATGTTTAGAAACCAACTTACCAACTTCGATATTCTAAACTTAAAAAGAAAAATCAAAGATTTAGGATTTATATTTTAAAAGAACAATTCTTTTAAAATGTCAAAGTAAATACAGATCACATGGAGAAATTTCACGTTTTTCAGGTATCTTGCCAAATATCAAAATGACTTCTGCAGTCGTCCCCGGGCAGACAGAGGAGAAAAACACCCAGGGAATCCACATTTCGGCTCAACACCATTGCTATTGCTTCACCAGCACAGTCCCCACACCCGACTTTGCAAACTTGTGCACGCATTCCTCTCAAAGAAAGAGGTAGATCTGGGGGAAGTGTTAGGGTTGACCCAGAAAATCTGACTAATAGGAAAAAAAAAAGGTGTGTAGAGAATCTTCCTCAAAGTGCAAACTTACTGTTCAATGCCTCTTTGGAAAACCCTTTAAATTAATTTGGTCAGAAGCTATAATCATTGCTGTTTGTGTAGCCACAGATTCCTCTCCAAGAATGCACATAATTACAATTGGAAAAATAAAAAATCAGGTTTCCTTCTAAATTTGTTGCTAAATACATTGGATTATTGGGCCCACAAGTCACCAATCCTGAATCAGCTCCATTTTCAGAGTACAGAAGTGGTGAGATTGTTCTTACAGAGGCAGGCTGACAACAGTATTGTTACTATTGGCATCCAGCACAGAAAGTACACATTAATATGGCTAGCCTAGAAGAATGACTTATTGACTAAACAAAAGACCTCTATATTTCCAACCCTAGTTGTCACTGCTCTGATCTCATCTTACTCAACTTCTAAATGGCATTTGATCTAGCTGACCACATCCCATTTCTTGAATTATTAGGTGCTGTAGATTTCCTTAACACCACATTCTTTGTGATAGTTGTATTCTTGTTCCCAAAGATTCACGGTGTATCCCTGTGAGAGAATTACCCATCCCCTCAACCACCAGATTGATCATGGAAAGTGAATGCAAGTGACAGATGCTGCATTCCGGGAGAATATTTTAGGGTCCTTGCCTGGTTCTACCATCTCTCTTTGGCCTCCCCTGCAGGCTGCTCTGATGGGCGTGTATCTTTCAGTCTGGGTCTGGAAGGAAGATGTAGAATAGACTGACAGTAGGACTGCAGCCACCATGTAACTTGAGTGAGAAATAGACCTTTTTTCTCAGAAGGCACTGAGCTACAGGGACTGTTTGTTGCCTTGCATAATAAAATTTGAATAATGCACACCCCCTCCCCAGTATTCTCTAACTTCAGTGTTCTTTTAACAGTGGAAGTGGTGAGCAGTGACCTGATGCAGAGCGTATGTCAGAGGGGAACCAGAGAATGGGCTGATAGGTTGAGTAAAAAATATACAAGATAGGATCAATGTCTGACTTCTAGATTTTTAAATTTAGGCAGCTGGCACATAGAAATGCCATTTACTGAAATGGAGAAGAGTGAGGCAGGAAAAAATTTTGGCAGGGGGACATCAAAAGTTTTGGTTGGGACACATTATACTTGAGCTATATATGAGTCTAGACTAGAAGTAATCAAACTTTTTCTTTTGGGATCATAGAGTCCCTGTTATACACTCTTCTTTGATTTTTTCCCTATCTTTTAAAAGTATAAAGACCTTTCTTAGCTTTTGGGCCATACGGAAATGGATGCCAGGCCACAGTTGGGCTGTAGTTTGTCAAACACTAATTTGGAGCTTGGTGGAAAAAGCAGGGATTGAAATATGCATTTGGGCACAGAGATTGACCTAAAATCCCAGGACTAGTCATGAGCTCATGCAGGCAGAGAGATGAGCTAGAGAGGAAGACAGAGAAAGAGTGAGTGTTCTTTACTGAACTCACTCTTTCTCTGTCTGAGTTTTCAAGGTCTTTAAAATCCTGGTCCAGGCTGCCATCATCTCTTGTCTGGAACCACAAGATTCACTTGGGCTCCTGCTCCCCCACCCCGTTTATTCTTATTTATGACAGTAGCTTGATTTGTCAGAGATGACTCTGAGACCCCATGACTTGCTGCTAAATGACCTTCAGTGGCTTCCCGTTTTCCCATGGCACCCCGCCTCTCCACCCAAACCTCCTAGCATGCACCACCTATTCTCTACCCTAGAGCCTCTCTGGTCCACTTTCCATCCCTCAAACACACCAAGACTGTGCCCAGGTCAGGGACTTTGCTCTTTCCTTCTGTCTGGATTAGTCCCCCCTAGACATTCACTCGGCTGCTTCTTCATGGCATTAGGGCTTGCTTCATATGTTCTATCTTCAGAGAGTCCTTCGCTGCCTCTGCAACAAATTTGAAACTGGTGAAGTAAAACAGAACATTCTTCAACACTTCTTTCCTTTTCTGGCCCAGATATTCAGGTCTCAGTCCACTTTTGCTTTAGCTATCAGAGCTGGCATTGTCATTGGAGGAGCCATCTCAGAACCTAGAAGTTGCATTTCAAGATTCCAGTTACATGTCTCTATGGCCTAGACAATTGATGTACTGATGTTGCTTGAGCTATGAAAAAGATATGGAAGCCCCAGAATCTGGACGTGGCTTTGATGGACAAAGAAAACACTCCTTCTATTTGGAGCAAAGTGAGACGTAAGCTGGGTGGGGCAAAGCAGTGTGGCAACCAGGATAGTAGCCTTTTGTTAGAAAGGAAAGTCTGAATCCAGGGGGTAATTAGAAAAGTCAATAAGGTGAAGTTTTCTGAGAAGCCTAATCCCTACTCCAAAGCACCACTACACAAGACCAAACATCCCTCCAAACAAGAAAGAGAGGCAACTCTCCATGGTTTTAATTTACAGGACTCAAGATTCCTGACATTCTCCTCCTCATCTACCACTGATACCAGAAAGGAAGTTTTAATTTTTTCCTTTTATCTTATGATACTGGTTCCCATTAGGTTGAAAATCTTCTTGGATACAGAAACTCTTAAAGACATTTAGAAGGACATGAAGAGACACTTTTCAGAAGACATACATGCGACCAAAAAGCACAAGAAAAAAATCTCAACATCACTGACCATTACAGAAATGCAGATCAAAACCACAGTGAGATACCATCTCACACTAGTCAGAATGGCTATTATAAAAATATCAAAATATAGCAGATGATGGCGAGGTTGCAGAGAAAAGAAAATGCTTATACACTGTTGGTGGGAGTGTAAATTAGTTCACCCATTGTGGAAAGCAATATGGCAATTCCTCAAAGAGCCAAAAACAGAACTACCATTTGACCTAGCAATCTCATTACTGGTATGTACCCATAGGAATATATATCTTTCTACCTTAAACATACAGTCATGCAGATGTTCACTGCAGCACTATTCACAATAACAAAGACATGGAATCAATCTAACTGCCCATCTGTGATAGACTGGATGAAGAAAATGTGGCACATATACAGCATGGAATACTGTGCAGCCATAAGAAAGAACAAGATTGTGTCCTTTGTGGGGAACATGGATGGAGCTGGATGCCATTATGCTTAGCAAACTATTGCAGGAACAGAAAACCAAATACTGCATGTTCTCACTTATAAGCATGAACTAAATGATGAGAGCACATGGACACAAAGAGGGGAACAACACACACTGGGGCCTACTTGAGGGTGGAGGGTGGGAGGAGAGAGTCAGTCAGAAAAAATAACTATTGGGTGCTAGGCTTAGTACCTGGGTGATGAAATAATCTGTATAACAAACCCCCAAGACACTAGTTTACCTATATAACAAACCTGCACATGTACTCCGAGCCTAAAAGTTTCAAAAAAAATAAATCTAAAAACTACATTTGGAAGGAAGAAGGCAATTAACTTTTGTTAAATATATAGTATGTGACAAGTTCTGCATTCGAAACTTGAATTAGCTTATTTCATCCTTACAATCCTAGCATCCCTGTTTTACAAATAAGAAAACAGCAGCTCAGGGAGATGAGGTAAAATTGCCAGCGGTCAAACAGGTAGTAATTGGCTTCTAGAATTAGAACTCAGTCTGCAGGTGTCCTAAGCCACTGTTCTTTCCGCTCTATGATTGGCCCCTGTTTTGTCACAGATACTTGGGTTAGAATAAAAGGTTGCAAGGGCGAGGAAAGGGCAGGAGATTTGCAGATGGCTTCACAACTGAACAATGTGGATCCAGGATAAGGCAGGAAGCTGGGCACATGGATTTAGAATCCTAGACGATTCAAACTGGAAAGGACTTAAGGTATCACACGGCCCAACCAAGCCAACTTCACATGCAATAAAAATGAGCTTCAGAGAAGGGAATTATCTTTCTAAGTGGAAAGATAATTATTTAGACATTTTACTAGTAAGCGCTTACTAGATTATACTATGATTACAAACAACACTAGACCCCAGCTCTCAGTAGCTTACAATAACAAAGATTTGTTTCTCATGTGTGTTGGTTACATGTCAGCTGTGGACTGGCTCCAGATGCCAGCTCTGCACAACAGTAAGTTGGCTGTGGGTCTGTTCTACAAGTCCTCTTCCTTCTGGAATCCAGGCTGAAGGAGCAGGCTCTATTTGGACACACTATTCTCATGGCAGAGGAAAAAGAGTCAGAGGAACTGGTCGAAACATGGTGGCTTTTAAAGCTTCTGCTCAAACAGGGCATTACATTGTATCTGCTCATATCCCATCAACAAAGCAAGTCGCAGGGCTAAGTCCAACATCATTTGGGGCAGGGAATAGATATTTCTCCCACAGGAGAGCACAGCAAGTCACATAGCAATTTGGGGGCAGGGATGTCTAATCCTTGAAGAAAGAGGGATTGAATAATTGGGAACAATAACACCATATACCACTGATGTTAATTTGTGTTTCATTCACACTGAATTCTGCCTTCCCCAGGGAAGATGGTATCCAACTATTGCATTGCTAGCCTCAGAAGGGTTTGTGTTGCCAAGATAAAGGCAGAGTTTTCTGGTTTTGGTTTTGCAAAGCCTAAGTTAGAGATGTCTCTGGAGAGGGTGAAAAAAGAGGTGAGTACCCTGGGGAGAAAAGAAGGGGAAATGCTATAGGAACAGAGGAGAAAGATTTTATTCCTCAAGCTTAAAAGACAAACAGGATTTTTCAGTGGGGGATGTCACAAGAGTTGCAAGAATCAGCTAAACCTTGCTATACCACAAGGGATGGCCAGACCTCACAGAAGCATGCTTCTGAGGTGTTCCTGGAGAGGCCAAGAATGCCAACCTCGATGAGAAGCTCAGCTGGGTGCAGGCTTGGTTCTCCATGTGCCTCTCCAAAGAATCCCTCTCCAAAGGTTTTAGATGGTGTGAGGCTGCAGGGACCTTCCCCAAACCCAGGGATGTGGGGGCAGAAGCGGAAACATCATAACATTAAAGTTCCTGTCAAACCAGTTGCACAGGGAGCAGAATAAATTTGACTTAAAGAAATAAGTGAGACATTTCTTCCATCTCATACTGTGGAGCAAAATTCATTCATTGAGATCTCACAGCTTAGTAAGGGACACGACGATTCCTTAGATTTTCATTGAAACAATTGTTCATCATTCCCTGTGCCAAGCCCTTTGTATTGGTTTGCTAGGGCTGCCATAACGACGTACCACACACCAGGTGACCTACACAACAGAAATGTATTGTCCTGGAGTTCTGAAGGCTAGAAGTCCTAGATCGAGGTGTTGGCAGAGCCATGCTCCCTCTGAAGGTGGTAGAGAAGGACCTGTTCTGGGCCTCTCTACTTGTTTCTACTAGTTTCTTGGCTTCTGGCAGCATACCTCCAATCTTCATACAGTGTTTTTCTTCCTGTCTGTGGGTGTGTCCAAATTTCCCCTATTTATAAGGACACAATATATTAGGGGTCCACCCTACTCTGGTATGACCTCATCTTAACTAATTCTGTCTGCAATAATCCTCTTTCAAAATAAAGTGACATTCACGGGGGTTAGCACTTTTTTTTTTTTTTTTTTTTTGAGATAGGGTCTCTCTGTCACCCAGGCTGGAATGCAGTGGCGCAATCTCAGCTCACTGCAACCTCAACCTCCTGGGCTCAAGCGATCCTCCCATCTTAGCCTACTAAATAACTGGGATCACAGGCATTCACCACCGAGCCCAGCTAATCTTTGTATTTTTTCTAGAGACAAGGTTTCACCACATTGCCCAGGCTGGTCTCGAACTCCTAGGCTCAAGTGATCCACCCGCCTCAGCCTCCCAAAGCTCTGGGACTACAGGAATGAGCCACCATGCCCAGCCCAGGTTAGGACTTCAATGTATAAATTTTTGGGGACAAAATTCAACACATAACCCTTCTTGTGAGGCTGCGTTGTATATTGCTACTGAGAGAGTCATGGACTTTGAACTCATGGGGCCAACCATCGAGGAGAAGGCAGACTCTGAGTCCACTAGTGTGAGTGTGAGGCGGATCCCTCCATCTTTACCGCTTCACTCCCCTGTCCTATGGCCATATTGAGGCACAGTCTTCCGGTTAGACGGGTGTTGGAAATGCTCTTGAGAGCCTTATTAAACTGCAGCAGTCTTTGACAGTGTGCATACCCGGCCCATCAATCTGCTAAAAGAACCAACAGCCATTCCCCTGTGAGGTGGCCTTAGCCAAGACTGTGCCCCATAGGAATCCTCTAAGAACAACAAAGTAAATGTGTGAGTTGTTCTATCAGGTTAATTGGGCAACTGATGTAGTATTCCCAAAAGCAAAAGAAAGCTAGCAAACCAGTACCCTGATAGCCCCAGATGCTCTTCTGCTGCCCTGGAAGAAGTCAAGTCAAGGCAGCCAAAGGACTGCTCATTGCATCTCCCCGGCTTTTGGGACACCTGTCTTGACGTGAAACATTAATTTCCTCATTTAAACTCATTCTGCACCAAACACATCCACACAGGATGCCCCCTGCTGCAGCGAATTGCCACCTCCAACTCTATTCCATTAGCTTTCTGATCCTTGTGAAGAGAGAAGCAGCTTCCTTGTGTGGGTTAAAAAGTTCATGGAACCTAACAACGTCCTTGAAAATCTCAAATTAAGAAGAAGGTGCAGTTTGGATAATCTGGAGAAGGATGATTCCAGTGTATTTTATGAACAGTTTCCCACCTTGAGTCTTATGTATGCCAAAAGACAATTTTTTTAATACAATGAGACGCTCCTTGGGCCAGCTGATTTAGGTAGAATCTGGAATTAGTGGAAATAGCTGTTTTTCTCAGCCATAACCTTGTCTTGTATCTGGCACTTTGTTTAAAACAAAAAAAATTTAGAACTTTACATACATTATGTATATACTTTTGTATGTCGATCATACCTCAATAAAGTGGTTTTTAAAAATTGATATTAATATTGGTATTAATATAAGATTAATATTTTATTATATTAATATCATTGTATTAATAATTAATGTTACTAACTGCACAAGCATATGACTTACACTTGGTCTAGGTGGGCTTGAGATTGTGTGACTTTTCTTTTTCTCTTTTTTAAATTTAAGATGGAGTTTTTGTGTCTATTTTTTGATGTTTTGGATGAGTTTCAAAAGAGGGAGAAGGAAGAAAATGCCTTTACTCCTCCATTCGATAACTGACCATTTTCTGACCACAAGCCCCAAATTATCCCAGAGTTCTCATGGAAAGATTCTATTTAAACTTGTTCACTCAATGACACTCTGTCCCTTCACACATCATCCCTCTTCTCCACAAAGAAGCCAACATTCTGAAGCTCCTCCAGGAAGGAGAAATCAGGCCCTGAGCCTGACCCGCCACCTGGAAGCTCAAGGCAGAGAGACCACTGTGAGGAGAGGGTGAAGTTGACCGGACTGTGGCCCAGAGAAATGGACTCAGGCAATCAAAATCACAACGATAATAATAATGGTGCACTGATTGAACACTTAGTATATGCTGGGCTCCATATTAGGAACTGTAAATATATTGCCTCATTTAATTCTCCCCGTTTCACAGGTGAGAACATGGAGGCCCAGAGATATTAAGGAACTTGTCTAAGGAATTAAATGGCAGAGTTGGTGATATGGTTTGGCTCTGTGTTCCTACCCAAATCTCACCTTGAATTGTAACAATCCCCATGTGTCAAGGGTGGGGCCAGATGGAGATAATTGAATCATGGAGGGCAGTTTCCTCCATACTGTTCTCATGGTAGTGAATAAGTCTCATAAGATCTGATGGTTTTATAAATGGGAGTTTCCCTACACAAGCTCTCTTGCCTGCCGCCGTCTAAGATGTGACTTTGCCCCTCCTCCGCCTTCCACCGTGATTGTGAGGCCTCCCCAGCCACGCAGAACTGTAAGTCCATTAAACATCTTTTTCTTTATAAATTACCCAGTCTCAAGTATGTCTTTATTAGCAGCATGAGGACAGACTAATACAGCTGTGTTTACAGCCTACGAGACCTCAACCTTTTTCTCATAGTGAGTTTTTACTTCCTGTTTCCTTCCAAGAAGGAGTGTAAGAATCTGCATTAGTCCCTCAGGGATCAAGCCCAGGAGCTTGGCTCCCTGCCTTGGGAGAGTAAGTCTATCCCGCTATCCCCCACTCATGGAGGGTAATCAATAAAGCGTATTCTTGGGCAAGTTGTTAAAGGAGAGAAACAAGCACTTGTCATACTTTTGGCTGCTCAGCATCTGAACTCCCTTCTCAAGTTCCACCTTTGTGTGAGCCTTCATAGGAAGCTGATAGGATATGGGGTTGCCACCAGGATATCGCCAGGAACCACTCTTGCCTAGAACTTTGAGTCTGGAGCAGGGAATCCTAGGAGCAGAGATAATTTAGAACCTATCCTAGTGGCACCACCGACAGCATTCAGGGTCCAGTGGCACCCATGCAGCAGTAGTGATGGCAGCCACCCTAATCAGCCTGTATCCACTGTGCGGTGCCCTGCCCTGTGCTGGACAGCCAGCTTTTCTTGGTATTTTCCTGCTTCTCTGTCCTCCCTGTTAATTGTCTGAGCTACTCCATATTCTACCAGTAGGTTCCCTTTCTGCCTATAATAACTAGAGTTTGTTGTTTGCTAATGCTGAAGGGCATGAACAATTACAGGTGCACAGGCAAACAGAACCAGCTTCATCCAGCTTAGGAACAATTAATCTTACTTTGAGATTTCTCCACCATAGAGGCCAGCCTGAGCCATTCATCTCCCTCTGCCTCACCAAAATTTGGCATCTTTTACACATTTTAAATTGCTTATAGGCTAGGTGCTGTGGCTCACGCCTATAATCTCAACACTTTGGGAGGCCGAAGCAGGCAGATCACCTGAGGTCAGGAGTTCATGACCAGCCTGGCCAACATGGCAAAACCCTGTCTCTACTAAAAATACAAAAATTAGCCAGGCGTGCTGGTGTGTGCCTGTAATCCCAGCTACTTGGGAGGCTGAGGCAGGAGAATCGCTTGAACCCGGGAAGCGGAGGTTGCAGTGACCCAAGATCGTGCCACTGCACTCCAGCCTGGGCGACAGAGCAAGACTCTGTCTGAAAAAAATTAAAAAATTAAAAATAAAAATTAATAATCATAAATTAAAAGTAAAATTAAAAAATAAATTGTTTATACTTTTATGTTCTTTGGAAGACCTACAATGAAAGAGGAATATATTTTGAGCAAAAAATGGAGAAGATTTAAATGGTGTTAAAGATGGTGGCAGATGGTAAGAACTCACTGTGAATGCCAAAGACACATCACCTTTTTTTTTTGTAGACTGTGCGTTTTCTCAATTGAGATTTTTTAAAATTTGCTGATGTCATGTTTCCTGAATTTGTTGGCTGCAGCTGCATCTCAAGACATGGTTAAGTATAGTCCAGTGAACCATGGTCATAGGAGTAGTTTGGAATGGGCCACAATCAGCCTGCACTTGACCCTGAGAAATGGAGGGGAATGGCTACATGTGTGGAGAAACAGGCATATGTAGTAGAGAGAAGGCAAAACACCAGGCCAAGGCCCAACCCAGGCAAGCAGCATGTCGGTGCTGGGGTTGTCTGTGATTGACATGGAGGCATGGGTATCCCCTCCCCAGTCATGGGGGATTCAAAAGTAGCAATTCTCTGGTTCCAAGCAGGCAGCTGACATTAGATAAGCAACACAGGATGTAGCACAGACCAACCCTTGAATCAAGGACAGGATGGGCTGATGAGAGAAATACAGGGTCCTAATTCTAAAGAATCTGCAGAACCCCCGGTTTTGAAACATAATGATTTAGAGAAAGAAAAAAATGGCAAATGCCAGTCATCAGACATGGGCACAAAGGAAGGTGGGGTCCCCGGCAAAAAAAAAAAAAAAAAAAAAAAAAAGGACTTGATGTAAGTAAGAGAACCTTCCATCCCTGCTTTCTGCAGTCAAGGCCTTTCCCAGAAGAAGAGCAGCAGCAGAATCAGGCTTCTGAATGTAGGCCATGCTCTCAGACAGAAAAACATGCTGCAGAGACTGAATGACCACTTGCAATGGATCTTGTCTCATTCATTCTTTCTTACCGAATTTGTTAGCAACAGAAATCTAGAAGAACCTTATAGGATGAGCTGGTCTGTCCTACCTCAAGACCAATAACACAAACAGAAACACTCCAAAAGAGCCACTGCCTTTGACTTGTTATAGGAAAAGAGATTCTAAAACTTCCCTCTGTATGTAGCTAATTCTACCATTTATTTCCTACTCTTGTGTCTGACTCAAAGCTCTCAACTTTGCTTAAAATTGAGGCCAGCATACACCAGAAGTATACATGATTTATGTATACTTGTCAGTACTCTCATAGAAATTCCTTATTTGCTTCAAGTTCAAAATTATGTTACCTTATTCAACAATGTAGAGTGCATGTATCGTGTAATAGGTTTTGAGGATTCAAAAATGAATAAAACACAGTCCCACCTTTGGGAAACTTATAGTATAGTCCACAGCTGCCTTTTCTCAAGACAATTTTACCCCAATTCCTACAAAAATGTTCAGCAAGAGAAGTTTAGAAAGGAGGGGAAGTTGGAATGGGGTAATAGAAAAATAAAGGCAATATATGAGAGATTTAAAAAGCAAATAATGATGAACCCCATCTTTCCTGTTTCTGGAATGGGCTGTCTCACAGGCCAGAAGACTAGGACTGCCACAGGGGGATGCCTACAGGTCCATGGAGGCCTGTCTGTTTCAGACCAACCTGACACACACAAGAAAGCCACTATGATTTACTCCATGACTAATTGAGAGACACAGAGTACTGTGGGTGTAATAAACTGTTAGCCATACGACCTTTGTCCTTGCTTAATAACAGCAGTGGCTTACACCTATAATCCCAGGGCTCTGAGAGGCCAAGGCAGGAAGATCACTTGAGCCCAGGAGGCTTGGGCCCAGGAGTTTGAGACCAGCCTGGGCAACATAGCGAGACCCCATCTACAAGAAATTTTAAAATTAGCCAGGCGAGGTGGTGCATACGTGTAGTTCCAGCTACTTAGGAGGCTAAGGTGGGAGGGTTGTTTTAGCCCAGGAGTTGGAGGCTGCAATGAACTATGATCCCACCATTTTACTCCATCCTGAGTGACAGAACAAGAGCCTGCCCATTCCCCCAAAAAAGATAATTTATTAAGTAGAGATTGTGGTCTTGGAGCCCAAAGAACCACAAAATGAGGAATAATATGTTGTTTGCATCTTTCTGGAGTCTCACATTGTAACAGGAACAGGCTCTATGGAGCCATTTGGTGCTGTTCAAAGCTGCTGTTGGTTCACATAGGCATGCAGCTCAGAGGAGAGATGCTTAATCAGCTTTTTGACTCCATGAGGAAACCACTCTTCAGCTCTGTGTGAAATGCTGTTTGCGGAACTTTGCTAGCCCTCTGTTTGCTGCACATATAATTCTATGCAGCCATTTTCCAACAGAAGAAAATGCAGAGTAGATCATTTTTGCAGTGTGCTAGGGTCTCCATGATGATGAGCCTGTTCTACCATTTAGGGTTGAGGAAGGATTGTTGAAGACTGACAACATTGTCAAGCAGCCAGGTGTGCTGCACGCCTTGTCCAAATCACAGAACTATAAAAGTTGTTGGACGGTACTGAATAATTCAAAAACCTGTTTAATATGGAGCTTGGATACTATGTAAATGATATTTTCTGATCATCTCCTAAAGAACCCTGTAGTACTGTTATTTGCTTTTATGTTTAACTCATGAGAAATACAGTACACATTGTCCTAACAGAATAGCTTAAGTCACTGAACCCTGCTGGTTGTCTCTCCACTTCTTTAGATCTTTCTTTCTTCTTTTTATTTCCTTCAGAGAAGTTTTACGTATTTCTTCAGAAAGATTTTTCACATTTCTTTTAGATATGTTCTGAGTATTTTATCATTTTGCTGCTATTGTGAATGGACTTTTTTGCCCATTATATTTTCCAACAAAGAATTGCTGTATAAAGAATAGCAACTGGCTTTTGTACATATTTTTTCTCTATATTTTACGGACCATACTTATTTGTTTCAATACTTTTCAGCTGATATTTTTGGATTTTCCATGTATGAGAATATATCATCAAAATAATCATGCTTATCTCTTCCTTTCCAACCTATGTATATATTAATTCCATTTTCTCCCTTATTAGCAAGTTTGGATGCTAATAGTAATGGGGCATTCTTACCTTGTTTCTGACTTTTATAGAAATTCCTTTATTAATCAATCATTGAATATGATAGTTGCTGTTGATTTCTTTATATACTTTTTGCCATATTAAGGGAGCTTCCTTTGACTCCTAAGAATTTAACTAACATTAGGTAGAGTTTTAGGGCACTAATGAATAACTTTTTCCCACCTTGAGTTTAGAACCAATTCTGAACACAAGAACCAGACAGATACAGATCAAAACACCAGCTTAATTGGTGAGAACAATTGAAGAATGTGGCACAGATGTGGGGACTCAGATGGCTTTCTAATTTTTCACCCTAGAAATAAACTCACCTAGATGAAAGTGCAAAACGGTAAGCCTCCTCCACATAGCCATGGCTGCCCTGGTAAAATTAATATCACACGAAGGAAGGCATTCCAGAAAAAGACCCTGTCTGCAGGCGAGCACATCTAAAATGGGAAGCTCACAAGGGGCAGAGCCAAGGAATTTCAGTGTATTCTCCAATACTCACCAGACACTCCCTGGTAGGAAGATCCAGAGAGAGGACAGAAACATTACTGTTAGAAATCCCTTTATGGAAAGATGAGGCCCACAGAATTAGAGGCTTCTTATATAAATGGCTAGTCAGTTTTCTCAAAAGCTTGTTAGGCATCCGAATGAGATGTCTATTACAACATAACAAATTGCCACCAACATAGCAACTTCACACATGCTTATTATCTCACAGTTTATGTGGGTCAGGAGCCTGATCATAGCTTAGCTGGGCTGTCTGCTTTGGGATCTCTTATGAGGCTGCAATCAAGGTGTTGGCCAGGATGGAGTCTCATGGGAATGCTCAACTGGGGAAGGATCTGCTTCTAAGCTCCCTCATGTGGTTGTTGGAAGATTCAGTTCCTTTTGGACTGTTGAACTGATGCTCTCAGTTCCTAACTGGCTCTTGATCAGAGGCTACCTTTAGGTCCTTGCTTAATAGAGCTTCCTGATGCAGCAACTTGCTTCATCACAGCCAGCAAAAGAGAGTCTGCTGGGAAGATGGAAGTCAAAATCTTTTGTCATTTAAACATGGAAATATTATCCCCTCAATGTTGCTGAATTCTATTGGTGAATAGAAAATTATTCAAGAGTAGAAGACTCCACAAGGTTGTGAATACCAGGAGGCAGAGATCACTGGGGACCATCTTAGAGGTTGCTTCCTACAGGCAACTATAAAAATGACATAATCAACACAGTTCTTAATTTTGAACTATTCTTAAATTCTCAAAAGTTCCTTGATCATAACGTTTTTAATGAACAGATGGATTAAATTGCTAATATTTTCTTTAGGACCTTTACATCTATACTGATGAAGTATTAGGTCTACAGTTTTTGATGTTTTATTGGGTTTGAAATCTGGATTATGATAACCTAAAAAATTGAATTGGCAAGTGTCCATCTTTTCTTATACTGACATAATTTGATAACATGGGAATTGGCCTGGCATGGTGGCTCACACCTGTAATCCCAGCACTTTGGGAGTCCAAGGCGGGCAGATCGCCTGAGGTCAGGAGTTCGGGACCAGCTGACCAACATGGAGAAACCCCGTGTCTACTAAAAATACAAAAAATTAGCCGGGTGGAGTGGCACATGCCTGTAATCCCAGCTACGCGGGAGGCTGAGGCAGAACTGCTTGAACCTGGGAGGCAGAGGTTGCGACAAGCCGAGATCGCGCCATTGCACTCCAGTCTGGGCAACAAGAGCGAAACTCCATCTCAAAACAAACAAACAAACAAACAAACAACATCAAAAAACCATGGGAATTACCAGATCCTTTAAAATTTGAGAGTATCCTCCTGTAACACTATCTGGAAGTAAATCTTTGACAAAATTGTCAATCTATCCTTTCTCAATTTTAATAACTGCAGGTATTTTTTTTTTTTTTTTGAGACAGAGTTTCACTCTTGTTGTCCAGGCTGAAGTGCAATGGCATGATCTGGGCTAACTGCAACCTCTGCCTCCTGGGTTCAAGTGATTATCCTGCCTCAGCCTCCCAAGTAGCTAGGATTACAGGCATGCACCACCATGTCCAGCTAATTTTGTATTTTTAGTAGAGACAGGGTTTCACTGTGCTGATCAGGCTGGTCTCAAACTCCTGACCACATGTGATCCACCCACCTAGGCCTCCCAAAGTGATGGGATTACAGGCGTTAGCCACTGCGTCCAGCCCAGCTATCTTTTAAAGTGTTTTCTTGGCCAGGTTTATCAGCGGTTTGTTTCTCTTGTTGATATTTTCTAAAACCACTCTTATGATTTTATCAAATTTTAAATTTTGTTATTTTCTAATTCTTCATTAATTAATTAATTTTATTTATTTTTTTGAGACGGAGTCCCGCTCTGTCGCCCAGGCTGGAATGCAATGGCATGATCTCAGCTCACCGCAACCTCCACCTCCCGGGTTCAAGCGATTCTCCTGCCTCAGCCTCCCAAGTAGCTGGGATTACAGGCATGCACCACCACGCCCAGCTAATTTTGAATTTTTAGTAGAGACAGGGTTTCTCCATGTTGTTCAGGTTGGTCTCAAACTCCCAACCTCAGCCTCCCAAAGTGCTGGGATTACAGGCGTGAGCCACTGCGGCAGGCCGTCTTCATTAGTTTATATTTCCAACTTTATTTTGGTCTTTTATTGTTAAAACTTCTTGAATTAAATTTTAACTAATCTTCCATTTTTCTTGTTTTATCACAAAATAACTGAAAAATATGGATTTTTCTGTCAGGATGCTTTTTGCTGTATCCTTTAGATTCCGATGTGCACTGCTTCCATTTATCATGTCTTTCAGTAGTCCGAATTTTAGATTTGTTTTCTTCATTTATTCAAAAGGCATGATAAAAAGCTTTTATTGTAATTTTTAAGAAGTTAGACCACTTTTGTCATCTTTTAATAGTTAATTTCCAGTTTAGTGTATTGCAATCAAATAACATGCCCAATAATCATTTAAATTTTTACACTGTATTGAGATTTTCTTTGTAGTTTAGTACATGGTCAGCATTTGCAAATGCTCATTGGTGATTTGAAAAACTCTATAAAGAACAAAATTGTATTTGTCTATAATTAAGTGTATATACTTACATATTCAATACATATTTGAATGTATTGTTTATTCAAATATATTATATATCAAAATATTCAAACATGCAATATTAAAATATTTTTGAATATTCAAAAGTTTTGGTCTTATTTTCAAACTACTTAATCTGTTCAATACTGAAATAAAAATATTAAAATTGACTACTAATATTAAGATCTGTTAAATTCTCATAAGTTTTCTAAGAGTTTTATTGCCTTATACACATTTTTGCTATGTTACTCAGTACATAAAGTTTATGACTATTGTAGGTTTTATATGATTCTACCTTTTATTATTTTTAATATCATTTTGTCTCATTTAGACCCTTTTGTTTTTTTATTTTGTTTTGTGTAATAATCTTGCCATCCTCCTGTGTTAATAATACTTTCTCGGCATATCTTTCCCCATCCCTTTTTTTAAACCTTACTTTGACTTTTTACTTTTAAAATGCAACCTTAGATATTCAACTAAATTGTCTTTTAAAACTACATGAGAATCTTTGAAAACAACATAAGAGTCTTGTTTTGGCAGCAATTTCAACCCACTCACATTGATGATGGCTTTTACTTATACTTACTGTTGGAAATATAGTACAAATATCTTGGGCTTATGAGGTGTCAGGCTCATATATTCTATAAACCATTTTTCTCACTCATACATATTTTATCTAGAACCAGTCCTGAAGAAGATGAGCAATTCTGCACTGAATAAACATAGGGTCTTGGTGAAATTCTTGCGGCAACCCGCTGGATGTTAACTGTCTCAACTTAGACCTATTATCGGGAGCCTATACTTAAAGGAGGCAGAGGCACAAAGTAGAGATCTGTAAGTTTCTTTCTGCATAGCAAAAATTACATCGGCAACATTTCAGTGCATCTCAGCTGCTCTGATGGTACTCAATATCGCAGTGATGTTGTCCAATAATGTGTCTTGAAGGGCCCAAACCACCAATGTTAGGGTATTAAGGTACACAGAAATACTAAGAAAGCTGCATCCATCCAATTCTGTCTTTTCTTTAACATGGGGATAGTGTTCTCAACCTCAGTCATCTCAACAAATCTCCAGAAAACCTTTGCCATTTTCATGTCTTAACTTCTTCAAAAATTGGACAGACGTCTATGCTTTGCATGTCGGGAGCTCTGTTGGTGTCTTATTCTGTTAATATCAAAGTCAAACTAGATTAAAAAACAGATAAGATGACTATATTGAAAGAAAATAGTTGGATTAAGTAACAGTCTCTTTGGGTCTGTTTTGGATATTCTAAGTAAAAGCAGAGAAAGAAAAGATGTTCTGTTTTGATTCTAATCCTAGGTCTTCCCCTATAAAGAGCCTCTAATAAGTGTGGAATCCTGGGTAGAAATAAGACAGCCTTGAAATGACTTTGTAAGAATAGGTGGGTAAAAATTTATATTACTGTAGAGAGCTACTAAGGGTGATAAGAAGGAAAAGGAAAGATTTTTAAAATCACATTTTAGAATTCATGTGTAATTCCTCACTTTTGTGTAACTAAGTCCAGGAACTTAAGAAGGTATTATGTTGAATTATTTTATTTCTATTCTAGGATTGAGTAGGTAAGTAAATATCTGAGTACTCGAATTCTCATTTTCAGAGAAATGAATTACACATAAGAAAATGGGAAGGCCAGAATGAGCCCTATGGGTTTATATTGGAATTGGAGATAGCATGTACTTATGGTTTTTAATATTTATACAGAGAAAAATAGAAACAGATGTTGTTGCTGAGTCAAACCTGGGTCTGCTTTCCTGGGGGTGAAGTAAAGCCAAACATCCACACTGAGGTTTTGCAGTGGGAGAAAAGAGGGTGTTTATTTGCAGGGCACCAAGCAAGGAGAATTGGGCAGCTCATGATTAATAAATACACGGCCTCCCTGAGGGATTACAAGCAAGGGTTTTTAAAGGCAGGGGTAAATCTCAGGAAAGCAGAAGTTACAGTCGAAAGTGTAAATCGACACTTGGAGGTTATACATTGGTTTGGCCTAAAAAAGGTGGAATATCTTGAAGCAGGAGCTCACAGGTCATAGGTGGAATCAAAAATTCTCTGATTTGTGACTGGTTAGGAAAGTGAAGCTTTGTCTGAAATCCTGGGGTAAGCCGAAAGGAATGTTAAGGTCTGGCCCGTGGCATGACTTCTTCCAGGTCCTTCAGGAAGAAATTTAGAACAAAGGAGGGTGGTCAGAATTCAGTCCTCAGTTTCCCCCATCTGAGGTCCACGTGCCAGCGGATTCATTTGGTGGGGCTCTAGGTTTCTGAAAAACAACTCAAGGACACGTGTTAAGATGTTATCTTTAGTTTCTACAGGGAACCAAACACCTTGTGGCTCTAACTTCCTTGACTATTCTTTTTAAGCTACAATTACCTCCTTACCAGGTTGCTCATTTGGTTCTCAGGGCTAGCTAGGTGTCTGTTATTTACTTTCCTTGAAAAACTCAAGATTTTGTTTCCATGTTTGCGGCTGGGGAGGGCAGCAGGCCTGTAAGAGGGTGCCCCTGCTCCGTCTCAATGTGTGTGTATTATACATGTATTTCTTCGCTCTGCCCACTAAGAGGATCTAGAAGAAATGTCTCTGCACCAGCGATGAGAACAATCAGCCCCCAATCTTAGATTCTAAAGACCATTCTCCAAAAAAAAGACACAGGGCTCCTTGAAGAAAAGGCTGAATGAAGAGCTGGAGCAAGGAAAGAACAAGACGAGCCTGGAATATGTTGATAATACTGTAAAGTAGGAAAGTGTCCAAGGAATGTGCCATGTCACACGACACACAAACCCCTATGAAGGGGCTCCCAATGGCCAAATCTGGGATAATTTGAGCCAGAAACTAAATAATGACAGCAATGCATTATATCTCATAGAATAAAATAAGAATCCATGAGCCCATATTGACATAAATAAATACTTTTTTTGGGGGGGGGGGGGGACAGAGTCTCACTCTGTCGCCCAGGCTGAAGTGCAGTGGCACAGTCTCAGCTCACTGCAAGCTCCGCCTCCTGGGTTCACACCATTCTCCTGCCTCAGCCTCCCATACAGGCGCCTGTCACCACGCCCGGCTAATTATTTTTTTTGTATTTTTAGTAGAGACAGGGTTTCACTGTGTTAGCCAGAATGGTCTTGATCTCCTGACCTCGTGATCCACCAGTCTCAGCCTCCCAAAGTGCTGGGATTACAGGCGTGAGCCACCGCAACCGGCCAATAATTTTAAAGTAAATAAATAGGGGAGAAAGGGAGACTCATCCTTTCTGTACAATTTCAGTGAAGTGAGAGAATTAGAAAATCACCACGTAGAAAGCACCACAGTCATAATTGTTTCAGGTAAGAATCCTCAAAGGATGCTAAAAGTGTTGGGTGAATGTCTGATGAGGACCAGGATATTTATTTTCAAAGTGTCTCCTCATCAGATACTGCACTATTTGCAGAGGGGGAAAAAATAACTACAGTAATCAAGTAATCAAAGTGAATCTCACCAGAATGGATCAGTGTCCTGATATATGCATCAAAAATGCACAACCTACATCTAATCAGGAAGACCCATCAGACAAATCCAAAGTGAGGCATATTCTACACAATAGCAGGCCTGTACTCTTCAACAGTGTCATGGTCATGAAAGACAAAGAAAGACCAAAGAACCACTGCAGATGAAAGGAAAGGAAGAGAACAGGACAACTAAATGCAACGTGAGATCCTTGACTGGACCGGACCAGAACAAAAACATGAATGGGACAACTGACAAAATTGGAATATCTAAAGATTAGATGATAGCGTCATATCAACGTTGATTTCCTAATGTGGATCTCTGAACTCATTTTACTCACATCATTGTGATTGTGTAAGAGGTTTAAATTTGGGAAGTCTGAATAAAAGATATACAGTAATGTTTTCGTATTTTTTAAAGCTGGAAATGATTTCAAAATGAAAAGTTAAAAAAAAAAATCCAAGCACTACTCTTTTGTGGATAGACAATATGTCCATCTGGTTTTGAACTTGGTAATTTCATTTGAATGTGATAGTCCTGTATTTTACAGCACACTTCTAACCATGTTTTTACCCACCCAGAAGCTGAGAGTTCAGACTAGGTGATTAAATTCCATGATACACTCCACGGATGCAGTCATAGTCATAGGGCAATTAAAGGCACTCAGAAGCACTGGTGGGCCGGGTGCAGTGGCTCAAGCCTGTAATCCCAGCACTTTGGGAAGCCAAGGCAGGTGGATCACTTGAGGTCAGAAGTTCAAGACCAGCCTGGTCAACATGGTGAAACCCTGTCTATACTAAATATACAAAAATTAGCTGGGTGTGGTGGCAAGCGCCTGTAATCCCAGCTACTCGGGAGGCTGAGGCAGGCGAATGGGTTGAACCTCGGAGGCGAGGTTGCAGTGAGCCGAGATTGTGCCACTGCGCTCCAGCCTGGGCAACAAGAGCGAGACTTTGTCTCAAAAAAAAAAAGTGTTGGTGTTGGTGGAGCCTGGGAAGGAAAGCTAGAAGCGTATGAAAAAGAGACAAACAAAATTCTCGTCTTTTTTCCTTGCTGTCTTTTCTTCTGCCTTGCTGGCCACAATCAGCTTTAGAATGCAAGCCAACCCAGAAAAGATCCAGTCTCTTCAAAATACAGGTTTTATTTTGATTTTGTTTTGCTTTGTGTTTTGAGATGGAGTCTCACTCTGTCACCCAGGCTGGAGTGCAGTGGCGTGATCTTGGCTCACTGCAACCTCAGCCCCCCGGGTTCAAGCGACTCTCCTGCCTCAGCCTCCTGTGTAGCCAGGGCTACAGGTACCCACCACCATGCCTGGATAATTTTTGTATTTTTAGTAAAGACGGGGTTTTGCCATGTTGCCCAGGCTGGCCTCGAACTCCTGATCTCAGGTGATCCACCCACCTCAGCCTCCCAAAGTGCTGGGATTACAAGTGTGAGCCACTGCGCTCAGCCCAAAATACAGGTTGATCAAAGACACACCTGTGGTCTTAGATTCAGCCCACTAGTAGTAACTTCTGAGAGTGGCAGGGGGTGGGGCAGAGGATGTGGCTCCCAGACAGTCACCCCCAGTTGGAAAAATTTTGGTGACCTAAAGTCTATAGTCTGACAGGCAGATTCAGAGGTGTTTGAGAGGAGACTAAAAATCTGGCTGTTGGTAAAGGATAAAACTGATTCAGGTTCCTGGGCAGCTGCTCATCCTCACGTGGCCTTCAAAGCCAAGATGAGCGCATGTGAAACAAAGGAGCCCAGGAGCCAAGAGCGGATGGGCACCCTCCCCAGGCGTCTTGCTACACTGTTGGCATTTTCCTGCAAGCCTGCGTTTCTGCTAGGAGTTAGAGGCTTCAGAAGTTTATTCTTCATAGTCCCTTTCCTTGGAACAGAAGACCTGGTCACGCCACTCAATCTAAATGAAAATACCTTTAAATTAAACCTGATATTTGATTTTTTTTTCTTCCCATGGGTTGTGTTGGCTGTGGGCTCAATTTGCATTGAATCTGATAGACCTATTCTAATATCCTTGCCTACCTGGAAAAAATTCAGCATACACTCATTCCTTTCCGAATCATTGAGAGACTAGGGGTATGACAAAATATAGCAGTTCCTCTACAGGTCATCTTAAGAATATTCATGTTTTTTAAATGTGAAATAAGCAGTGACGGGTGACACTGTGCATTTCTTACATTTTTAATACACCTCAGAGCTGCAAAGTGGAGCTGGTGGAAGTCATCCCTGCTGTATTCGTTTTCTCCTACAGAGAGAGAAAATCATTAGATTTTTGCTGGGGCAGGACATCCCATCTTTCTGTTTAGACCTTTAGACGCTGTGCATGTGCCTGGACTCCCAACTAGGCGAGGTGACGCGCCCTCGCGGATCCAGCCTCCCAGGCTCAGCCTCTGTGCTTCCCCCCAGGTGAAATATGCAAAGATGCATGAGAAGTACTCATGGAAATGCCATTTGCACCAACTTCTAAATTTTCTTGTAGGTAAGGAAGCAAAATGGAAATGGGTGGATTTAAACATCAACTTGGAACCCCTTCTCTTACCAACGCTAAACTTCTCCAGTAGAAAAGCTGTTTGGTCATATGCATATATGACTGGTTCCCACCTCCCACAGCCAGAGACTGCCTGCTGCCTGATCAAAAAAAGTGTCTAAAATGGAACCTTTTTGTCGTTGTTGTTAAATCTAAGACACCGAGATAGGGCACTCTTTCCCAGAAGGTCTTGCACAAATGGAGGGTCTTTAATGAATACTGATAAGTCTGAACATGAAATGAAAGATTAACAGCTATGTAAGCCAGTGACAGATGTTGCAAACCAGTACAGCACAGCCTCGTATGCCGTCAGCATCACTCCCGACAGCACTAAAGTAGAACAGCTCATTAATATAGAGAACATCTCCTGTCTTTCTTCTGCTTGAAAAGAGCCACTCAGTTTCCTCAACACCAGACTGGTTGTTTTAAACACTAGTTAGAATTTATTGTTTTGGCCTGGCCTTTTGGTGGGGAGCTTTATTGTTGAATTTAATTCGTACAAATCTCGTTATGTTTAAATTATTTTGCAGCAAAAACAAAAATGAAAGACAGTGCTAACGTGTACAAGCAATTTTCACTTATATTCTAAGACACAGAAAAATATCAGAAATGCATATAAATAGCATTTTTAAAGGTTTGACTCATCTAAACCAGGCAACAGTCATAAAAATAAAGCAAATTAGAGATAAGAAGACACAGAAGGGAAACTGTTCAGTGTCCACCAATCAGTAGAAAAGCCCTAATCAGAAATAGGAGTTCTGGAAAGCCAGGCCAGAACAAAGAACAGAAGGGCTGGGGGCAGTAGAACAAGATATTCTTTTGCCACGGTGAGATCAGGAAGTTCTCAGATAGACCACAGCTTAGATGTTGGTCCATTTTATTTTTCATCTCCTCTGGCAATACATATTATTTCAGAGAATGAACATTTTAAATTTGAATGGAGCTATGTCAAATGCAAACTCCTTTTTAATTGTCTCAAACCATAATTTATAGATATCTCAAAAGTTTAAATAAAAATAAGGATTGTGTGATTTTTCAAAAAAATGATGACCTACTTTGAAGAATCCCAAAATGCAAGGAATACACTAACTAAACCAGGTTAGTAAGGAAGCCTGTGTATTTTCAATGACAAAAGCAGCTCTCAGACATTTGTGTGGTGGTTTTCTGGTAATTAGGTATTTGAAGTTGAGTTAGGAAAGGATTGATCTAGACGCACAAGGAGAAAGAAAGCAGAGAACAGGAAAAATAAAGGGTTAGGCATATTATTATTTCAGCAATTCCTAGCTTGACCATTAATGTAATATGACATTTTTATTTTATTTATTTATTTATTTTGAGATGTTGTTTTGCTCTTATGTGGGCTGGAGGGCAATGGTGCAATCAGCTCACTGCAACCTCTGCCTCCTCGGTTCAAACAATTCTCGGGCCTCAGCCTCCTGAGTAGCTGGAACTACAGGGGCGCGCCACCATGCCCAGCTAATTTTTGTACTTTTAGTAGAGATGGGGTTTCACCATGTTGGGCAGGCTGGTCTCGAACTCCTGACCTCAGGTGATATACCCGTGTCAGCCTCCGAATATCATGTTATTCTTTTGCTTCATGGCATTCACCACAAACTATCATTATTCAGTTCATTTATCAGTCAGTTTATTCCCTTTCAGATGCAAGTTCTGTGTGATCAGAGAGCCAGCCTGCCACCTTCAAAGTTCTAAAGATAAAATTTGGCCCAGGGCCTAACACTCGGTAGACAGGCAAAGATAATTTTTTTAAATAAATAACAAGTACATGAATGAATGAATGAAATTCATAATCAATAATTCAATACAGAATCAGTAAGGAAAAAATTAATACATACATTAATGGAAAATGAAATTAGATTTTTTAAAATTTCATGCTCTTCCATTACAGGCAGTCCCATTATATAAAGGCTGGGGCCCGGCGCAGTAACTCAAGCCTGTAATCCCGGCACTTTGGGAGGCCAAGGCAGGTGGATCACTTGAGCTCAGGAGTTCAAGACCAGCCTAGACAACATGGGGAAACCCTGTCTCTACCAAAAATACAAAAAATTAGCCAGGTGTGGTGGTGTGCACCTGTGGTCCTAGCTACTTGGGAGGCAGAGGAGGGAGGATAACTTGATCATGGAAGGTGAAGGTTGCAGTGAGCTGAGATTGCACCACTGCACTCCAACCTGGGTGACAGAGTGAGACCCCATCTCAATAATAATAATAAAATAAAGCCTAAGTGGTCTCTAACATTCTATAACTGAGAACTGACTCCTTCCTGAGTCTCCCAGGGATCCATGGGACCTATAACATAGGCACACCCATCATCAATGCACGTGTTTAGGTGGCTTTGACTACTTTGGAGTCATCCTGCAGGCTTTTATCTGCTGCCATTTTTCTAAAGCTTCCATCTGATTTACAAAGGCTCTTAAACTAGAATTTGGGAAGGAGTCACTTAGAGAAAACATTTGCTTTACTTTCTTCTTCTCAATTTGCTGAGGAAGCATTTCTTAAAACTCTATGGGGAGAAAAATTTGCTCCTCAAAAGCCAGCTGGAACTGAAGAAAACGTTGTCTAAGAAAGTATTGATTGTCAGCAGAAGAGAGAGTTATGTGAGGGCAAGTTTAGTTTTTTATGATACAATTGATTTATTATTTTATTTTTATTTAGAGACAGGGTCTCACTCTGTCACCTAGGCTGGAGTGCAGTAGTATGATCATAGCTCACTATAACCTCAAACTCCTGAGCTCAAGCAATCTTCCCACCTCAGCCTCCCAAGTAGCTGGGACTTCAGGCATGCACCACCATGCCTAGCTAATTTTTGGTTTTAGAGATGGGGTCTCACTACGTTGCCCAGGCCAGTCTCAAACTCTTGGCCTGAAGGGATCCTCCTACCTTGGCCTCCCAAAGTGCTGGGATTATAGGTGTGAGCCACCATGCCAAGATGCCAAGCCTAATATATATATATTTATTTTTATTTTTTTTTTTTAACAAAATCTCACTTCTTCGCCTAGGCTGGAGGGCAAAGGCACGATCTCAGCCCACTGCAACCTCTGCCTCTTGGGTTCAAGCACTTCTCCTGCCTCAGCCTCCCCAGTAGCTGTGATTACAGTCATGTACCACCATGCCTGGCTAAGTTTTGTGTCTTTGGTAGAGATGAGGTTTCACTCTGTTGGCCCGGCTGGTCTCGAACTCCTGACCTCAAGTGATCCACCCACCTCAGCTTCCCAAAGTGCTGGGATTACAGGCGTGAGCCACCGCGCCCAGCCCTTATGATATAATTTTAACCTCATTTTAGAAGTCGGGACTTAATGAGGACTGAAATCAGGACTTTGGGGCAGCTTGTATAATTACAGCTCCTATAATCCTTGTCAACATGATGGAACTACAAGACCCTCCTGATCTTTGAGTCTGTCACTATGAGCCACTTCCTGAAAGGAAGCTCCAGCTTCTACCTCCACTGGGAAGGCTCAAGTCATCTTTGGCCCCGAGGAGAAGCTAGGGATGCCAGTGTTCAGGCCCCCACAGCAGAGGCGGGCCTGTGTCAATATTGCAGGGAGAACCTGCTCTCTATCGCCAGACCTCCACAGTAAGGACAGGCACTCTCGGTGCTGATGAATTTGGAAATAGGAAAATTGGCACAATCTTAGAATGGGATCTTCATTTAATAAATGAGGACTTGGAACCCAGAGAGGTAAAGTGAATTCTACAAGATAAAATCATGGTAGAAAAATCGTGGCACAGCATATAGATTCTAAGCAGAGAGAAACTAAAGGTCATGTTTTAGGGTGCAACAAAGACATGTTAAGTCCTTCTGTCCAGTGCAATCTATGTTTCAGGAAACCCCCAGCCTGAAAGTTGTTCTCTGCAGGAGGGGTTATGGAGAAAAGACCACAGATTGCCCCTTTTGCTACTGCAGTACCCACAGACAGGAGACAAAAGGAGACGCCCGTGTAAAAGGAAATGCGGCTGGCATATTGCAGCAAGAACAGAAAGAAGTTCTAGCCATTGTACACATCTGAAAAGAACCCAGTGAGGGAGAGCAGCCCCTGGAATAACTGAAATAGAAATTAATGAAACCAGGACATTAAAATCTAAGCTTGATGTGACTGTGCTCAGATCTAGAGACGTTTCTGCACTTAGTAGAAAAACTCCAATATGTCGATAAAAGCATCCAGACTCTACCCTGCAGGGAACAGAGGAGAGGCGCGGCAGTGAGACACAGCCATGGCAACAGAGAGGAAGGTCCTGACCGGACATCTCAGAGATATCGCCTTCAGCCATTGCCAGCTAAGGCTTCATCAGGGATTCCCAACACCTGGAGCTATCACCTGCACAACAGTGAACCCCAGCGAACTGTGGGGGGGGCACCAGTTATAGAAACCGTATTGGCTGAGGGGTTTAGCAAACTGTACAAACTGTACAGTAACACATCCCACACCAAGGCTTCTGTCTCTGCAAATGAATCCCTTTAGAGAGTCCCACATTCCTGAAGAGTTGTTGGAGGTAGGCGTTAAATTTGCCAAGCTACCAATATAAATTTTATCAGCTCACAAGACTGGGGCCGCATAGAGGTCCCCATGGAGTCACACACTATGCAGAGACCTACCTGGAGACAGGCTGTTCCAGCCTGGGTGTGCAGCACATGACACACACTGCTCCACGGCTCTAAGAGTCAGGGAAACTGGGAAGGCAGATGTTTATATCCAGAAAAAGCATGAATTGTGGAGTTAGGCAGAACTGGGTCAGAATCCTGGGCCCTACCACTGATTGACCCTGGCTAAGTAAATTAAGTTGGTGTCTTAGTCACTTAGGCTGCCATAACAAAACACCAGGTATTAATACTAGCTTGAACAACAGGAATTTATTTCTCACAGTTCTGGAGGCTAGAAGTCCAAGATCAAGGTACCAGCAGGGTGTCTAGTGAGGACTCTCTCCTTGGGTTTGCAGATGGCTGCCTTCTTGGTGTGTGCTCACTTGGCCTTTTCTCAGTGTGTAAAGGTGGAAAGAGAAAGAAGAAGCTAGCTCTCTGGTGTCTCTTCTTTGGGCACTCATCTGATCATATCCATCCAGCCCTCATGCCTCATCTAAACTTCATTACTTCCCAAAAGCCCCATCTGCAAATACCATCACATTGGAGGGAGGATAGGGTTTCAACATATTAATGAGGGGAAGACACAATTCAGTCCATAGCAGTTGGCCTGTGAGTCAAGTGACTTTCTCCTTCCCAATCTGTGAAATAAAGACAGCACTGTTAAAAGAATTAAATAACCTACTCTACTGAAAAAGGCAGAAAGCTGTTAGCATAGTGCCTGGTTACATGGTAGGTACTCATATTCATTTTCTGACAGCTATCTAGACCATAAACCTGTGGACACTTCCCCCGATTTTTAAAATATTGCGATAAAATCTGCATAACATAAAATGTACCACGTTAGGCATTTTTAAGTGTACAATTTGGCAGTGTTAAATGTATTCACGATGTTGTACAACCAATCTCTAGAATTCTTCTCATCTTGCAAAATTGAAATTCTTACCCATGAACAACTTACCCATGAAAGAACTCCTCATTTCTCCCTTCCCTAAAATTTTTAATTAAAAGGAACAAATTAAAAAAATCAAGAACTTTAATTGCTACTCTAACTAGCTGCTAAGAATCTTCTTTATTTATTTATTTTTTTGAGACGGAGTCTCTCTCTGTCGCCCAGGCTGGAGGGCAGTGGCGAGATCTCGGCTTACTGCAAGCTCCACCTCCCAGGTTCACGCCTTCTCCTGCCTCAGCCTCCGGAGCACCTCGGACTACAGGCGCCTGCCACCACACCCGGCTAATTTTTTTGTATTTTTAGTAGAGACGGGGTTTCACTGTGTTAGCCAGGATGGTCTCGATCTCCTGACCTCATGATCCACCCGCCTCGGCCTCCGAAAGTGCTGGGATATAGGTGTGAGCCACCAAGCCCGGCAGAATCAGATTTTTCTAACAAACTAAATTCCAGATTTTTTAAAAAAGTAGATATCGTCCCGTCTCCACTAAAAAATACAGAAAAATTAGCCGGGCGTGGTGGCGGGAGCCTCTGGTCCCAGCTACTTTGGAGGCTGAGGCAGGAGAATGGCGTGAACCCAGGAGGTGGAGCTTGCAGTGAGCCGAGACTGCGCCACTGCACTCCAGCCTGGGCGACAGAGTGAGACTCCGTCTCAAAAAAATAAATAAATAAATAATATTTTTAAAAAGTAGATATTGTAGTTGCTTCACAATGAGAAATTCAAACTAAATTCCAGATTTTTTTTTTAAAGTAGATATCTTAACCGTTCCACAATGAGAAGTTCATGCAGGAACAAGCAATGAATTAAAACTGTCAATACAGAATGATTGATTTGGTAAAACTCTATCTTTAAAAGATTATGAGGGTTCAAAATTACCATATTATATTCAAACTCTGTCAAATGGAAGCCTACAGAGTCATTACAAAGGTTGTTTGCACGTCCAGCAAATACTTAGCAGGTCTATGTGAATGAGGCAGGAAAGAGAACAGGAAAGTTGTAAGGCAGGGTTTTCCAGACTTTCCTGATAATGATCACCCGAGATACTTGTTAAAACTACAAATTCCTGGGCCCCATCCCAGACCCACTGAATCAAAATCTCCAGATTGGATTTCAGATGTAATGTTCTAAAACAACAGTCTTCTAGAGGGTAAGAAATCTGTATCCAAGAAAAAGAGCTGCCCAATAATGCTGATGACGATATAAAGCAAGTACTTGAGGATGGTAGCTCCAATCTGTCAGGTTCTGAAAGGTGAACTTAAAGGTTTGTTCCAAGCACAGAGGCACATTTAGCCACAAATGAGGCACACTGCTAGGGGACACTGCTAGGGACACTTGGAACAAAATCAGGGATAGGGCACTATGGGATGTGGTAGACAGGAACTAAGAGCACAAGTCATGAACTAAGGGCACAAGAAATGAACTAAGAACACAGGGGGAGGTGGAAAGGCTTACACACGGCCATGTGTTCCTTTCAAAACATGATATGACTTGGAATCAGTTTATAATATCTTTGTATTTGTTTTTTGACAGTGATAATATCAGCAATTTAAGAAGTCAAGATGGAAACTGAAAACAAAAGCTAAGTAGCATGTCTTAGAGACCTGCCTGTGTTACCTGGGGCCTCTGGTGCAGGGAGCAGCCCCTATCGCAAGCAACTAGGCGGATAAAAAAAAGGAAGATCTCCAGGGTCCAGGGGATGCAGTGGGGACAGAGCATGGAGATGGAGAGAGAAACCAGGTCACAAGAGGAAGTTAGCTTTGGGTCTGAGTTGGGAGACCCAGATGTTTTGTGCCAGATGAAGCCTCCAGCCTTGTGTCCCCTGCCTGGCTCCCACTAATACCAGTCTAAGAGAACAGGCACTCATAGTCTTCTAACCTAATTATTCTATGCACAGTTACAAGTGAGGGTTTTAGTGCCAACATCGGCACCAATAATTCCTTACTCAGTATTATTTATTCTCTTTATTTTAATACCGCTGGCATCCATCAGAAAGAATACAAAAGAAACACTTCCTGGCAAAGTCCAATCAATGCTCTTAATTTGCTACAAGGTGAGTTTTTTTTATTTCTGCACATATCTTCCGCTTCTAATAGTCCAAGCATTGACTCACACACAATTCCTGTTGCTAGATTTCCCATGGCTTTCCTTTCTCATTGAAGGATTAATAGATTATGCTTAACCACAGTCGTTAAGAAGGCAGAGGTGTAGGTGGAAGAGGAAGTGCAGACTGTATTAAAACTATGTTAAAAAAAACTCCTTTGTCTCTATAAATCCTAGACTGAACCACGGGGCTCCAGACAAATCAGTCTGTCTCAATTCCCACCTCCTTCAGATCTGCAGTACTGAAGCAGAGTGCATCATTCTGAATTAACGCTATTCAAGTCAATGATGAAAAACACAAACAATTGTAAATCCCTTTTGAGATTGCAACATTCTACAAGAGCTGCTGCTGCTGCTGCTGCTGCTGCCGCTGCTGAATTGTGGTTCAACAGTAAAGTGAGAACTACTCAAGGTCAGAATATGAGTAAGGCAGGGAGGGAAGGCTGGAAAAGATAATTACATTTTTGAGGGTCCTTATGTTTTTAACACCATTAGATTCTCAAAAGGCCCAAACTTAAAGCACGTCTGTGGTTCCTTAAAATATATATGCTCTATTAAAGACTGTGGCAAGTTTTCAGCAAATACGTAGGAAGTGATCTATACCAAATAAAAGCAGATTTTTAGAGTATTACATTTCTCTGATAGGATGATCTTAGAAATTACCTCTCTAGAACTAAGGAATTCAAAGAACACATTTAAAGGCTAAGTTAGCCTTTCACACCTCCTAAGAGTAAGATTACACTTGAGGAAAGGATGGAGGATGGGAGGGAGGAAAGAGGAAGGAAAGGATGGAGGATCAGAGTACAATATTATCCTTAGTGCAAAGAAGAAATGTGATGACCAAGCTAACTTTTTAACAGCAGGCAGCATGTTATTGATCCAAGGCTTGCCAGCCATCCAAATTATTCTTTGGTCATTGTGTCTGAATAATAGAGATAGAAAACCATATTATCCATAGGAATGGAATATTTTATCTCAATCCCACATAGGAAATGTCTAGGTATAACACTACGGGAGAAGTACTGGGGAGAAATGAATCCAAATTTTGTGGTAATCAGGACAGAAGCTGAGCCTGTGCAAGCAATTGCTCACAAATCAATCCCATGGCAGTTATGGAGGCCTTCAGCTCCCCAGAGAGGGCCACAGTGATTGGGGAAGGTGTCCCCCGGGGGTGGTGGCGAGCACTCTGTGACGCAAGGGATCCCTGGGGTGTGGAAGATGTAGTAATAATGAAAATGCAGCAATTAACATTTACTAAGGACTTCCTATATTCCAGGCACTATGCTCAGGGCTTTACGTACATCATCTCATTAAACCCACACAATGAATGGGTTAATGCAATACACACATTATCTCATTTTACAGATTAAGAAACTATTAGCGGTGGAAGAGATCCAAGTTACCTGCGGCGTACCTGTACTGGTCAGAAGCAACTTCAGTCCTTGCCTCCTCAGAAGAAAGAATTCG